>NC_000019.10:46028752-46331783 GCF_000001405.40 Homo sapiens | reverse complement strand
TCCTGGGTTCAAACAATTCTTCTGCCTCAGCCTCCTGAGTAGCTGGGATTACAGGCATGCGCCACCATGCCCGGCTAATTTTGTATTTTTAGTAGAGACGGGGTATCTCCATGTTGGCCAGGCTGGTCTCAAACTCCCGACCTCAGGTGATCCACCTGCCTCGGCCTCCCAAAGTGTTGGGATCACATGCGTGAGCAACCGCGCCCAGCTGACTTACTGCCATCTTACATGTATTTGCAGAGTTTTTTTTTTTTTTTTTTTTTTTTTTTTGACAAGGTCCCATTCTGTCGCTCATGCTGGGGTGCAGTGGCGCAATCTCAGTTCACTGCAGAGGTTTTTAATACCCATTAGTGAAACTAGAAGATCAGGCTTTAGTCTCAGCTGGCCCACTGACTTTCTGTATGACCCTCAACCAGCCCCTGCCCCTCTCTGGTTTCCTATCTATAAAACAGTAGGTTTAAGCCAGCTAGGTAATGAGGGCCAGAGAATCCCATTAATCCCCCAACACACCAGGCTGAGAGGAAAGAGCAGAAAGTTTTCGTGTTCTGGGCTGGGGGACCTTTTGGGAGGTCTCACTCCCAGCAGCTCCACTCCCTCGTCCTCGTCCTCTGAGCTCTGGGCCAGGGTCCTGGAGGAAAACAGGCAAGAATCTCAGGACACAGCAAACCTGGGCAAGTGTGGATAACAGTGTAAGCAGGTGATGAGCATTCATTCACTCCCCTGAGCACCTATTTATTCCTTTAGTCATACACCCACCAGTCCATCCATCCATCCACCAATCCATCTTCTCATTCATCCAATGATCCATCACCCACCCACCCAACCTCCATCCATTTATCCTTCCATTCATCCACCTATTTATCCACCTAGTTGTCCTTCATCTATCCATCCATCCTTCCACCCAGCCATCCACCACCCATCCATCCATCCATCCATCCATCTGCCATCCATCCACCATCTGTCTGCCAGCCATCCACCATCCATCCATCCATCCATCCATCCATCCACTGATCCACCCATCCATCCATCTGCCATCCCATCTGCCATCCATCTGCCATCCACCATCCATCCATCCATTAATCCATTGATTCATCCATCCATCCATCTGCCATCCATCCACCATACATCTGCCAACCATCCACCATCCATCCATCCATCCATCCACCATCCATGCATCCATCCATTAATCCATTGATTAATCCAACCACCCATCCATCCACCATCCATCCACCATCCATCTGCCATCCATCCACCATCCATCCAACTATCCATCCATCCATCCATCCATCCATCCCTCCATCCATCCGATTCATCCATCCATCCACCATCTATCCTTCCTTTCAGCCACCCATCAATCCATTGACCCATCCATCAATCCTTCTGTCTACCCAGACATCCATCATTCATCCATCCATCCGTCCAGACATACACACATACATACATACACCCTTTCACCTACACATCCATCCATCTGTCCTTCCATCGACCTATGCATCCATCCACCTGTCCACCCATTAAAGTGCCAACTATATTCATTAATAATTCCCTCCCTCCCTCATTTAATAAGTATTTATCAGGCCCACTTTATAGCCAGTACCAAGCTGGGAGCCTTGGGAGATACCAAGATGTATCCATAAGGATAAGACCACTCTGGATTCGAAATGAGCACATGCTTGCAATTTAGTTCTAGACAGTTTCTTTTCTTTTTTCCATTCCTTCCCTCCCTCCCTCCCTCCTTCCCTTCCTTCCTTCTTCTTTCCTTCCTCCCTTCCTTCCTCTCTCTTCACTCTCTCTCTCTCTCTCTATCTTTTTTTTTTTTTTTTTCTTGACAGGGTCTCACCATTGCCCAGGCTGGAGTGCAGTGGCACAAGCACAGCTCGCTGCAGCCTCGATCTCCTGGGCTCAAGAGATCCTCCCACCTCAGCCTCCCAAGTAGCTAGGACTACAGGCATGCACCACCACACCCGGCTTAGATAGTTTCTCTGACACACGGCAATGTCTTCTAAACTCTGACAAAAATTGTCACCAGATCAGATATAACTATGTTCCAAAGGAGAGAGCCCTGGTTGACAGGTGGGATTTGGATAAACAGTGAGAGCAGTGGAGGGCACTCCAGAAGGGGTGTACAGCCTAGGCAAAGGCACAGAGATTGGCACAAACTTGGCATGTGCTGGGCCCACCGAGGGCCTGGCTGGAGCAGAGATCAGGGTTAGAGAAATGGTGAGGGATGAGGCTGAAGCAGGAGGCAGGGGCAAGACGGGGTGAGGGGATGCTGCCTTGATGTCCCCCCTTTACTGTGGCTCACCTCTTCCGAGCCCCAGCCATGGGAGAGGATGCTGAGGGGTCCCCTCTGGAAGGGCTGGAGCAGCTCAGCCGGGGGTCACTCCCCCAGCGGGGTAGCAGGGAGGGCTCAAGGGCTGGAGGTGACAGGCCATGGAAGCTCCGAGCACGGGGCCGGGGGACAGCCCCCAGAGGTCTGTGGTAGGCCCTGGGTAGCTGCTCGCTGGCGTTGAGCTGGAAGTCATCATCCATGGAGATGTAGGGGGCCAGCATCTCCAAATCCAGAGCATCAGCATCCTGCGGAGGGCAGGAGGGAGGTAAGAGGATGAGCCTTGGACTTGGGTGGACCTTGGCTGAAGTCCCAGCACCATCACTTCTGAGTTCTGTGCCTGTGGTCAACAGTCTGAGCTTCAGTTTCCTCATCTGTAAAATGGGTATAAGGACTCCCTGAAGAACATGTTAGAGAAATCCTAAACTGGGTCAGAAGCATGGTAGCTCACACCTGTAATCCCAGAGCTTTTAGGAGGCTGAGTCGGGAGCATCACTTGAGGCTAGAAATTAGAGACCAGTCTGGGTAACATAGTGAGACCCCCACCTACACAAAAAAGGAAAAAAATTAGCCAGGTATGGTGGCCCATGCCTGTAGTTCTAATTACTCAGGAGGCTGAGGTGGGAGGATTGTTTCAGCCCAGGAGTTTGAGGTTGCAGTGAGCATGATCACACCATCGCAGTCCAGCCTGAGTGACAGAGTGAAATACTGTCTCAAAAAAAAAAACAAACCTAAATGCCTCAAAGAAACCATTGGTCAAAATCTGAACATTGAGAAGACTCAGTGAGGGCTTAGAGAGAAGTGAGAAACATATCACTGGAAACCAGAGGAAAGAGAATTTTTGTCCTGTAGTGGCTGAAAGTTTAGCAACACTGTTGCCTGCAGTTATGTGGAAAGTAGAAAATATAACAAATACACGAGGTGATCCAGCTAAGATTCCCAGCCAGAGTGTTGAAGGGGCTGCCTGATTTCATCTTGTTACTTATAGTAAAAGGCAAGAAGAGAGAGAGATAAAAAAATATTTCTCCTAAAGGAAGAAATGTTAAACATGAAGGAGATAGTACTTGAAGGTTTTGAAGATTCTCAACCTCCTTGTGTAGTGAATAATTAACTTTACCCAAAGAGAGGTCTGGCTTTTGTCCCAGCTCCTGGAAGTTAACCTCTAAACCTCTGGAATGTTCTGAGTGATAGCAGTGTCTTTACTATTCACTGTGGGTCCTTTGGATAGTTTATGCTAACCAGGTGACTCATGGTGAGCCCCTAGATAGTTTTTGCTAATGAGATAACTCAGGATGGAGGCTGGCCATGCAGAAAGAACCACCATTGTGATTAGAGGGTTGGGGCTTTGGCCCGCACAAAATCAGCCGGATCCAGGGAAGGTAGAGGTAGCATTGGAGACTGAATTCAATTACATGGGCGGTAATTTGCTCAATCATGCCTATGCAATGAAACCCCAATAAAAACTCTGAACACTGATGCTTTGGTGAGCTTCCTGAGTTGGCATTACTCTCCACATATTGCTACATGTCAATACTGGGAGGACAACATGTCCCTGAGGAGAAGAAAACTTTCCATCTGGGACCCTCCAGTCCCAGATTCCACCTATGAATATCTTCCTTTGTCTGTTTCTGATCTGTATTCTTTCATTATAATAAAACTACAATCTTAAGTATAGCACTTTCTGAGTACCATGAACACTTCTAGCAAATTATCAAACTTGAGGGAGTCTACAGGAGTCTGGGAATCTCCACATTGGTAGGCAGCTGGTCTAAAGTAAGGGTGACCCTGGGGACCCTCAAACTTGTGTCTGATGTCAGAAGTCTTGGGCAGACTTGGCAGTCTGGAGAACCATGCCATTAACCTTGAGTTTGGCTGACTGCAGGAGCCCTCCAGATGGCAAATGATGCTAACATTAATAAGTGGTCTCTGAGCCAGCCTGGTGAAACCACATCTCTACTAAAAATACGAAAAATTGGCTGGGCATGGTAGTGGGCACCTGTAGTCCCAGCTACTCAGGAGGCTGACGCCAGAGAATCACTTGAACCTGGGAGTTGGAAGTTGCAGTGAGCCAAGATTGCGTCACTGAATTCCAGCTTGGGTGATAGAGTGAGGCTCCATTTCAAAAAAAAAAAAAGAAAAAAGAAAAAAAAAGTGGTCTCAGAGCAATGAAGAGCACCCTTGGGCCAGGCACAGTGGCTCACACCTCTAATCCCAGCACTTTGGGAGGTTGAGCCTGGGAGTTCAAGACCAGCCTGGGCTGAGACCCTGTCTCTATTTTTATATATATATATATTTTTTTTGGGACAAAAGTCTAGCTCTGTCATCAGGCTGGAGTGCAGTGGCACAATCTCGGCTCACTGCAACCTCTGCCTCCCTGGTTCAAGTGATTCTCTGGCCTCAGCCTCCCGAGTAGCTGGGATTACAGGCATGTGCCACCACACCTAGCTAATTTTATTTTTATTTTTAGTAGAGACAGGGTTTCACCATGTTGGCCAGAACGGTCTTGATCTCCTGACCTCAAGATCCACCTGCCTCGGCCTCCCAAAGAGCTGGGATTACAGGCGTGAGCCACCACGCCTGGCCCCCAGTTTTTTTTTAAAGTCCTAATGAAAGAACTTGTGATATTTTCCCATATGGATTTCAAAACTGCTATGGACCAGGGATATATGCATGCCCCTCTTACCCCTCCTTTTTGAATAGTAGTGTCTATTCCTGTCTCACCACTGTATATTGAGTATGTGGGTGACAGATGACTTGTCCCCATTAGTCCACAAGCCAAAATGTTGAGAGGAACTGTACTCAAGGAGCTTCCCCAGCACCAAGACCAGATTCAGATGATCAGATTCTGGACTTCAAGCTGATGCTGTAAGGGGAAGAAACTTTGGGAGACTTTGGGGGGCCTTGAGAGGTGGGTGAGTGTATTTTGCATGAGGGAGAGACATCAATCATTGGAAGTTCCCAATGATCCCTGCCTCTTGATGTTCACACTCTTATGTTATTGCCTCCCACAGTGTACAGGATTGATCTATATGACCAAAACAATATGGCAGAAGCGATGATTTGTCACTTCTGAGATTAGGCCATGAAAGACTGTGTCTTCAGTCTGGGACTTGTACTTTCTATCTCTCTACTTCTCCATTTGTCCCTTTTTCTCTTTGTTGGATTGTTTGCCTTAGGGAAGCCAACTGCCATGTTGTGAGGACACTTAGGGAGTCTATGTAGAGGTTCACGTGATGAGGAACTGAGGCCTCCAGCCAAAGCAAAGTGAGGGATTGAGGCCTGCCAACAACCTCATGTGTGTGAGCTTGGAAGAAAACCCTCTAACCCCAGATGACTGTAGCCCTGACTGAGAGTTTGACTTCAACCTCATGAGAGACTCAGCAAAAACCAGCAGATAAGGTGCTCCTGAATTTCTGATATTCAGTCACCATGTGACATAATAAATAGTTGTTGTTTTAAGGTGTTAAGTTTTTAGGCAATTTGTTACACAACAGTAGATAACTAATACATCATGCTGCTGTCATTTTATCTATGCATTCAATAAATCATCCATCCAAGTATCACCTATCCATTTTTCATCCAGCTATCAAAATATCCATCCAAACATTCATCCACCTACCCACCCATCTATCCATCCATTAAAATATCTGCCTAAACCTCATCCATTCATCCACCATCATCCACCTAATGAATACAATGGTCCATCCATCCATCCATTCATTCCTTTAACCATCCCACTACCCTTCTCTAAAGCCACATATGTGAATCCCCAGAACACAGGGCTGAGGATTACTCCCTTCCATGCCAGCCCTTACCTGAGCTATATCTAAATCTGTCTCCACTGCCTCAGTGTCTTTCCCGGAGGTGAAGAGTCTGTGCACATTCTCGGTGCCCACAGGTAGTTCATCTGGGAGATCAGCCTGTGGAGAGATGGAGTAGAAACTTCAGGAAATCTTGAGCCTGGGAGGTATCAACATTAAGACAGTCTGCAGCTCAAGGGTAGAAGTGGGGATCAAATGCCAGGCATCTGGGGCACAAAGGGGGTCCAACGGCAAATGCAGATGAGTTTTGAACCTGGGTGTTCAAAACTCAGAATGCCTGGGTGTACATAGATGGATGGGGCAAACATGGAAGTTCCAGTTAGAAGGATCAGAGCCTGGCTGGGCTCAGTGGCTCACACCTGTAATCCCAGGACTTTGGGAGGCCAAGGTGGGTGGATCACTTGAGGTCAGGAATTCGAGACCAGCTTGGCCAACAGGGTGAAACCCTGTCTCTACTAAAAGTACAAAAATTAGCTGGGTGTGGTGGCACACATCTGTGGTCCTAGCTACTAGGGAGGCTGAGGCAGGAGAATGGCTTGAGCCTGGGAAGCAGAGGCTGCAGTGAGCTATGATCATGCCACCGCACTCCAGCCTGGGTGACAGAGTAAGACTCTGTCTCACACACACACACACACACACACACACACAATATATGTGTGTGTGTGTGTGTATGTGTATATATATATATATGTATATATATATGTGTATATATATATGTGTGTGTGTATATATATATATATATAAATAAAAACATGAGCTTGAGGCCAAGACTTTTTTTTTGAAAGGGAGTCTTACTCTGTCACCCAGGTTGGAGTGCAATGGCGTGGTCTCAGCTCACTGCAACCTCCACCTCCTGGATTCAAGTGATTCTCCTGCCTCAGCCTCCCAAGTAGCTGGGATTACAGGCGCCCTCCACCACGCCTGGCTAATTTCTGTATTTTTAGTAGTGACAGGGTTTCACCATGTTAGTCAGGCTGGTCTTGAACTCCTGACCTCAGATAATCTCCCCACCTCAGCCTCCCAAAGTACTGAGAGTACAGGCATGAGCCACCGCACCCAGCCTGAGGCCAAGACTTTCAAACAAATCCTCTGGGGTTAAAGGTCTTGGAGCCTGGAGTTTAGTGGGGAAACAATGGAGAGTTCAGCTGTCTCAGGGGTAAAGGATGAGGTCAAAGGTCACAGTCTGTATTTCTCTGGAGAGAGGATATTTTCTTGGGGTGGAGAGTGGGGATGAAGACAGTCAACACTGGATAACGTGGACCCACTGAGGTCAAAGGTCAGACTATCTTCACAACAAATATTGATAGTAACTGGTATGATCTGTTGAGCACCGATAGGTGCCAGGCCCCTACTGAGTGCTTCTCATGAATACTGTCACTTAATGCTCAGAATAACCAATGATGTGGTGACATGTTATTATCTTTCTTTTATAGGTGAAGAAATTAAGGCCTCAAGAACTTGCTTGCCCAGCCAGGGTAACGTGGCTGATAAATGGCAGATTTAGGATTTAATCCAGGTCTGTATAAATCAGGATATTAGACACTTTGACTCTTTGAGGTCAAAGTTCAGAGAACTGGATGCTTAGTCACAAGCTGGAGTGGGAGGAGGGTCATCTGTGCCAGTTCCAAACATCCCAGGTTAGGGGCCTGATAGGGTTTGGCTGCGTCCCCACCCAAATCTCATCTTGAACTATAGTCCCATAATTCCCACACACTGTGGGAGGGACCTGGTCAGCGATAATTGAATCATGGGGGTGGTCTCTCCCATACTGTCCTCGTGATAGTGAATAAGTCTCATGAGAGCTGATGGTTTTATAAGGGGAAACCCCTTTCGCTTGGTTTTCGTTCTCTCTTGCCTGCCGCCATGTAAGACATATCTTTCACCTTCCGCCATGATTGTGAGGCCTCCCCAGCCATGTGGAACCGTGAGTCCATTAAATCTTTTTTTCTTTATAAATTACCCAGACTTGGGTATGTCTTTAGCAGCAGCGTGAAGACAGACTAATACAGGGCCTGTGGTGTTATTTTATACACACATATATATATATGATTTTGTGCATGGTTCCTGGGTCAAACTCCCATGGCCGTTGTCTTTTGTTAGAACAGTCTTTTATTAGAACAGTCTAGTAAAACAGTTCTAACAGTCTTTTGTTAGAACACTGGGTGTGTTAGGCCTCAGGAAACAGAACCTCTCCAGCCTTCTTCTGCCCTCGTTTCACCTGCCCAAAGGCAGGTCTCTAATCTTCCCCTGCCTTTTTGATTGTGGGTCATAAGACTGTCCCCAGAGGCCGGGCGCGGTGGCTCATGCCTGTAATCCTAGCACTTTGGGAGGCCGAGGCGGGTGGATCATGAGGTCAGGAGTTCGAGACCAGCCTGACAAACATGGTGAAACCCCGTCTCTACTAAAAATAAAAAAATTAACTGGGCGTGGTAGTGTGCGCCTGTAATCTCAGCTACTTGGGAGGCTGAGGCAGGAGCATTGCTTGAATCCAGGAGGCGCAGGTTGTGGTGAGCTGAGATCATGCCATTGCACTCCAGCCTGGGCGATAAGAGCAAAACTCCGTCTCAAAAAAAAAACAACAAAAAAAAAACCACTGTCCCCAGAGAGGGTCCTGCCCGATACCCTGGGGGAAGGAATGCTGATGTCATGAAGCTTCCATAAAAACCCAAGAGGACTGGGTTGGAGGGGCTTCCAGATAGCTGACCCATGGAGGTTTCTGGAGGGTGGTGCCCGGGACGGCATGGAAGCTCCGAAACCCTACATTCCTCCATACCTCACTCAATGTATCCCTTCATCCGTATCCGTGCAATATCCTTGACAATGAACCAGTAAACCTAAATAAGTGTTGTCCTGATTACTGTGAGCCGCTCCAGCAAATTAATCAAACCCAAAGAGCCAGGTACGGTGGCTCACACCTGTAATCCCAGCACTCTGGGAGGCCGAGGCCGGAAGATCACTTGATGTCAGGAGCTCGAGACCAGCCTGGCCAACATGGTGAAACCCTGCCTCTACTAAAAATACAAAAAATTAACCAGGTGTGGTGGCATGCACCTGTAATCTCAGCTACTTGGGAGGCTGAGGCAAGAGAATTGCTTGAACCTCGGAGGTGGAGGTTGCAGTGAGCCGAGATTGCGCCACTGCATTCCAGCCTGGGTGACAGAGTGAGACTCCATCTCGAAAATAAAAATAAAAATAAAAAAGAAATTCTGGAGGCCCAGACTTGTGACTGGTGTCTGAAGAGCAAAGAGCAGTCTTGGGGACTGAGGCCCAACCTGTGAAATCTGACACTATCTCCAGGTAGATGATGCCGGAATTGAATTGGAGGACACCCAGCTGGTGTCCGCTGCTTGGTGTGTGGGAAAAACTGCCCACATTTGGTCACAGAAGTCTTCTTCTGTGTTGACGATTGTTGCATTATTAGGAGAGCAGAGGAAAAACATAGCTTGAGAGAGTTTTTCCCTAAACAGAGCCAGACTCTGGAATTCTAACAATTGAAAAATCTGGATCTGCGTCTTAAAGGAACCTCAACCCCATCTCATCCCAACCTCCCCACTACACAGATGGAGAAGCTGAGGCCCAGAGAACAGTCAGGTTTAAGTCACAGGCCAAGACCCCCTGAGGGACTGAGCACTGGATGCTGAGGGCTCACATGGGTGGGATGGCTTACCGAAAGAGGACTTTGGGGGTGCCGTGTGGCCAGCGGGGTGCTGGGAGTGGCTGCTACTGAAGCCCCATCCAGGATGGGTCCCAGGAGGCGACGGAGGTCAGGGCTGCAGAAACGGCGGGGGTCAGCGGCCAGGGCAGCCTCGCTCAGGGAAGGCGGGTGCAGGAAGGCAAGGATCCGGGGGCCAGGGGTGTCTGCAGGACACATGGAGATGGGGAGGACACGGGCTGGTGACTGAGGGCCAAGGGCCAGAGCCCTCCATACCAACCCCAGGAACACAGTTGACATCTTCAGCAGGTCAGGATGGCCACTGTTCTTAGTGAGAGGGTAAGGAAGGGGCCTGGAGGACCCCTGCTGGGCCAGGTGTGAACTTTATTTTTATTTTTGAGATGGAGTCTAGCTCTGTTGCCCAGAATGGAGTGCAGTGGCACTATCTCAGTTCACTGCAGCCTCTGCCTCCTGGGTTCGAGCAATTCTCCTGCCTCAGTCTCCAGAGTAGCTGGGATTACAGGTGCCCGCCATCACACCCAGCTAAGTTTTGTATTTTTTATAGAGACAGGGTTTCACCATGTTGGCCAGGCTGATCTCAAACTCCTGACCTCAAGTGATCCGCCCACCTCGGCCTCCCAAAGTGCTGGGATTGCAGGCATAAACCACTGCTCCCAGCCCAGGTGTGAACTTCAGTGGCCAGATTGTGGTGAGGCTCTGAAAGGTCCGAGGGGAAGGGATTGGTGGCTCAGAACAGCATTTGGCCATTCAGCTCTGGGGAGCTTTCACCTTAGGAGAAAAGACTGGCCCCAAGCCCTCAAGGAGGCTGTAAGGTCCCCAGAGGTTAAGACAAGGCCCAGAGCCAGCTCTGAGCCAGAAAAGGAAAGGATATTATATCAGCAATCCCACCCCACACCCAGGAGCATGGGTGGCCAGCAACAGCTTGGAGAAGGTGAGGTCTTGAAGGATAGACTGGGAGGGAGGCTCATCCAGGATGGCAGGAGAGTGAAGGAAGAGGGAGAAAGGAGCCAGACTTAGGAGGATCGAGATTACTGGAAGCCAAAGAGCAGCAAAGCCAGAACAGGGAAGAGGCAGAAGCGTGGGGGCAATGTGGAGCCACAGCAGGATTTAGAGCAGAGGCCAGCAAGAGACTGAAGCAACCACCCCATAGCCACAGAAGGGGAGGGAGGACAGGAGAGAGAAGAGCATTCTAGGAAACTGCATGTGCAAAGGCCCTGAGGCACGAGGCTGGAGTGTTCCAAGGGCTCTTAGGAGGCTGTGTGTTTTGGAGGCTGAGTGCGCAGGGAAGGGAGGCAGGAGGCAGGTCCCACAGGGCCTGGTGAGCCATGTTAAGGTGCTTGGGCTTTCTCCCAAGGGCCCTGGGGACACAACCCCTCCCGGCCCCAGCCCTGCCCCATACCAAGGCTGTCCCCAGGGTTAGGGGTGTCCTTCTGAGAGGGGGCGCCCCGCTGAATGGGTCTGCGAGAGTGTTGCTCCGTTTGCTCCAGGGACAGCACCACTCCGGTCTCTTCCACCTGGCTGGGGTACAAGGCAGAAAGGGAGGTGGGAGTCAGGGAGGGTCCTTGGCTCCAGCCCAGAAAGCCTGTTCAGGTGATGTCCTATTACAGAAGGCAATGGCGCCCAGGGGCTTGGAGGGCATTTTGCAGAAAATAATTGCCCACATTTATTTGTCTCCTATAAGGGTTTCATTTCTGTTGACTGCTTTTTATTCTGACAGCATTTTATTTTTTTAAGACAAGGTCTCACTCTGTCGCCCAGGCTGGAGTGCAGTGGCGCGATCTCGGCTCACTGCAACCTCCGCCTCCCAGGTTCAAGCGATTCTCCTGCCTCAGCCTTCCGAGTAGCTGGGATTACAGGTGCAAGCCCCCATACCCAGCTAATTTTTGTATTTTTAGTAGAGACGGGGTTTCACCACGTTGGCCAGGCTGGTCTCGAACTCCTGACCTCAGGTGATCCACCTGCCTCAGCCTCCCAAAGTGCTATGATTACAGGCGTGAGCCACTGTGCCCGGCCTATTCTGACACCATTTTTAAAAGAAAGTTAAGTTTGTCCCTTCCCAAGCTCCTTCTGTAAAAGGAAAGGCAGAAAAAAGAGCTGGCATTTAGCACAGCCTGGGCAGAGAGGAGGAAGACTGAGGGAAGGGGGTGGGGCGGCACTGAAAGACAGAAGCGGGAGGAGACCTAGGAACAGAGAGAGGAGGCCCAGGGGCAAAGAGCGGGGTGAGCGAAAGGCTTCAGAATAACTAAATATTCTCTTTATAGATTTTTACTTATAAACATATTCTTAGAAAGGTATTGATGAAAAAATATATTTTTAACATAGTCTTCATTACATGACCAAATAGGAAGAATTCATAGGGCTGTAATTTTTATGAATAAGATTTTATTTATGCTGTTTCTATTCATAGATGTTTTTCATACTCAAGGGAACAGGTTTAGAAATACATCCTTATGTCCCTGGCACCTCCCTTCACACAGTCTCTGGCTGCAGAGACAATCTAAATGCTCGCTGTGCAAGTTGGCTTTTGGAGAGTTGGGTGGGGCTGAGGATCAGGCCCTCATTTGTATCTCATCTGCATAACCCCCTTCAGGACAGGAGGCAGGTGGGCCTGGTCTTCCCACCAGCTCCTTGAGAAGCTATGACCTCTCCCCACACTCAATAAACCCTCCCTGGGCTGGAAACATCCCAATTTAGGCTGGATCAAAGCCACCCTTATTCCCCTGAAAGATACAAGCACACACAATCGAACTTGTATACACACTCGGTACACACAGGCACAAACAGGAGCGCTCACATACACCTGAGTGCATATAGGGACACATATGCTCACATGCTCCATACACTTGGGCTCGAATATGTGCACGTGTGACACATTCAGTTAACTCATTCATCATTCCACAAATATATCCTCATCAAGCACTGCTGTGTAGTGGTTCACAGCAAGGACTCTGTAGTCAGTGGCCTGGGTTCAAATCCCAGCTCCGCTACTTACACAGTGGTGTGATCTTGAATATGAAAATAAAATGTATTGTTAAAATTAGGCCAGGCGCGGTGGCTCACACCTGTAATCTCAGCACTTTGGGAGGCCAAAGCAGGTGGATCACCTGAGGTCAGGAGTTCAAGATCAGCCTGGCCCACATGGTGAAACCCCATCTCTATTAAAAATACAAAAATTAGCTGAGTGTGGTGGCATGCGCCTGTAGTCCCAGCTACTCAGGAGGTTGAGGCAGGAGAATCACTTGAACCCCAGAGGTGGAAGCTGCAGTGAGCCGAGATCACGCCACTGCACTCCAGCCTGGGTGACAGAGTGAGGCTCTGTCTCAAAATAAATAAATAAATAAATAAAATGAAATTTAAAAAATAAAATTAATTTCACCTGCTTCTGTTTACTTTTTTTTTTTTTTTTTTTTTTGAGACAGGATCTCACTCTCTCGCTCAGGCTGGAGTGCAGTGGTGCGATCTCGGCTCACTGCAGCCTCAATCTCCCAGGCTCAGTGATCCTCCTGCTTCAGCCTCCTGAGTAGCTGGGATTACAGCCATATGCCACCACGCTGGGTTAATTTTTAAATTATTTGTAAAGATGGGGTCTCCCTATGTTGCCAAGACTATTCTCAAACTCCTGGCCTTGGCCTCCCAAAGCGTTGGGATTACAGGTGTGAGTTACCATGCCCAGCATTCCGTTTACCTTTTTAATGTGGTTCCAGCCTGGGTGGCAGAGCAAGGCTCTGTCTCAAAGAAAAAAAAAAAAAATTCCAAATGACATATGTGGCTGGCATCATGCTTTTATTGGACAACGTTGGGTTAGATAGTGGTAATACTAGGGAGGGCCAGGCACAGTGGCTCACGCCTGTAATCCCAGCACTTTGGGAGGCTGAGGTGGGTGGATCACTTGAGCTCAGGAGTTCAAGACCAGCCCGGCCAACATAGTGAAACCCCATCTCTACTAAAAATACAAAAATTAGCCAGGTGTGGTGGCGGGTGCTTGTAATCCCTACTTGGAAGGTTGAGACAGGAGAATCACTTGAACCCGGGAGGCTAAGATTGCAGTGAGCTGAGGTTGTGCCACCGCACTCCAGTCTGGGCAACAGAATGAGACTCTGTCTCAAAAAAAGAAGAAAAAAAAAAGATAGTGGTAAGTACTACAGAGAAAATAAAGCAGTGATGGGAGTTTGCAATTTTGAAAAGGACGATCGAAGAAGGCCTGGCTGAACACACAAGTTAATAGGATAATTACAAATGGTTTTAAGTGCTCTGGTGCAAAAGTACAGGACACCAGGAGAGAAAATGGGCATGGGGGACACCTGAGCTCATGTAGGGGCTCAGGAAAGAGGGTCTCCAGAAGTGATGTCTGAGCTGAGACTGGAAGGATGAGCGGGCATGACTCAGGAGAAAGGAGAGGAGGGAAGAGAAGAGAGCATTCTGGGAAGGAGGAACTGCCTGTGCAAAGGCCCTGAGATTTGGAGGGTAAGTGAGAAGGGGAGGGAGGCAGGAGCTTCACAGGGCCTGGTGAACCACACCAACGCCCTTGGCTTTTCTCCTGAGGATACTGGGGAGCTTCAGAAGGGCTCTGAGAAGGGTAGAGACATGAGGCATAAGTTGATTTGTAGGCCTGGCATGGTGGTTCACATCTGCAATCCCAGCACTTTGGGAGGCTGA
Organism: Homo sapiens; assembly: GCF_000001405.40. Lineage (NCBI taxonomy): Eukaryota > Metazoa > Chordata > Mammalia > Primates > Hominidae > Homo > Homo sapiens. Next base: position 46,317,304 of record NC_000019.10, on the reverse strand, counting down.
GGCGGGAGGGTCACTTGAGCCCAAGAGTTTGAGACCAGCCTGGGCAACACAGTGAGACCCCATCCCTATTTTTAAAAAATTATAGGCTGGGTACCAGGGCTCACACCTGTAATCCCAGCATTTTGGGAAGCCGAGGCGGGTGGGTCGCTTGAACTCAGGAGTTTAAGACCAGCCTGGGCAACATGATGAAACTCCATCTCTACAAAAAATACAAAAAAAAATTAGGCATGGTAGTGCGCACCTATAGTCCCAGCTACTTGGGAGGCTCAGGTGGGTCAGGGCTGCAGCGAGCCCTGTTTGTGCCACGGCTCTCCAGCCTGCATGACAAAGCAAGACTTTATTTCAAAAAAAATTTATATACATATGTATATGTTGATTTGTATTTCAGAACATTCCTCCAGATCTAGAAAAACCCCTAAGGCTTTAGAAAACTGGTGCATGTCCTATAAGATAACCTTCTTCAAAGAAAAGGTATAATTCTTTTTTCTTTTTTTTTTTTTTTGAGATGGAGTCTCACTCTGTCGCCCAGGCTGGAGTGCAGTGGTCTGATCTCCACTCATTGCAACCTCTGCCTCCGGGGTTCAAGTGATTCTCCTGCCTCAGCCTCCCAAGTAGCTCAGATTATAGGCACACGCCACCACATCTGGCTAATTTTTGTATTTTTAGTAAAGACGGGGTTTCACCATGTTGGTCAGCCTGGTCTTGAACTCCTGACCTCAAGTCATCTGCCCACCTCAGCCTCCCAAAGTGCTGGGATTATAGGCATGAGCCACTGCGCACGACCGAAAAGCTGTAATTCTAACTCTGCCTCATAATGTTGTCATGGATACCTCTGCATTTCTAAATGGTGAAAAGCTTCTATGACACATGATGGAAAAAAAAAGCCCCATCGTGATTTTCCCACTGCACATCTATTAGAATGACTAAAAGTAACACCAAACCCAAACACCCAGACAATGCGAAATGCTGGCACAGATGTGGAGCAACTGGAACCCCCATACGTTACTGATGGGAATGCAAAATGATACAGCCACTTTGGAAAAGAGTTTGGCTGTTTCTGTTTTTCTTTTTTTGGAAATGGTGTCTCCTTCTGTCGCCCAGGCTGGAGTGCAGTGGCCTGATCTCAGCTCACTGCAACCTCTGCCTCCCAGGTTCAAGTGATTCTCCTGCCTCAGCCTCCTGAGTAGCTGGCACTACAGGCATGCACCACCACACCAAGCTAATTTTTGTATTTTTAGTAGAGATGGAGTTTCACCATGTTGACCAGGCTGGTCCAGAACTCCTGACCTCAGGTGATCCACCCACCTTGGACTCCCAAAGTGCTGGGATTACAGGCATGAGCCACCGCACCCTGTCCTGGCTGTTTCTTTCTTTCTTTTTTTTAATTTTTTGAGACAGAATCTCACTCTGTCACCCAGGCTAGAGTGCAGCGGTGTGATCTCAGCTCACTGCAACCTCCACCTCCTGGGTTCAAGTGATTCTCATGTCTCGGCCTCCCAAGCAGCTGGGGTCACAAGCATGTGCTACCACACCTGGCTAATTTTTGTATTTTCAGTGGAGACGGTGTTTCGCCATGTTGGCCAGGCTGGTCTCAAACTCCTGGCCTCAACTGATCTGCCCTCCTCGGCCTCCCAAAGTGCTGGGATTACAGGCATCAGCCACTGTGCCCAGCCATGGCAGTTTCTTAGATTAAATATACAGTTACTATATAACCTATCCATTCCAATCCTAGCTGTTTACCCAAGAGAAATGAAAACATGTGATCTCATAAAATCTTGTATGAGAATGTTTACAGTAGCTGTTTTTTTCTAATCACCCAAACTTGGAAACAGCCCAGCGTCTTCCAACTGGTGAATGGATAAAAAAACTGTGCTCTATTCATACCATGGAATACTGTTCACTATTTACAAAGGAACTACTGATATAAACCACAACATGGGCTGGGCGCGGTGGCTCACGCCTGTAATTCCAGCACTTTGGGAGGCTGAGGCAGGAGGATCACCTGAGGTCAGGAGTTCGAGACCAGCCTGGCCAATCTGGTGAAACTCCTTCTCTATTAAAAATATAAAAATTAGCTGGGCGTGTTGGTGCGCGCCTATAATCCCAGCCACTCAGGAGGCTGAGGCAGGAGAATCACTTGAACCTCAGAGGCGGAGGCTGTAGTGAGCCGAGATTGCACCAGTGCACTCCTGGGCAACAGAATGAGACTCTGTCTCAAAAACAAAACAAAAAAACCAAGAAAGAAAAACCACAACATGGAGGAATTTTAAATATATCAAGCTAAGTAAGAGCCAGGCCCAAAAGGCTACATACTGTAGGATTCCCTGTATGTGACCCTCTGGAAAAAGCAAAACTCTGGGGTCTGAGGACAGTGGTTGCCAGGGACATGGGAGTGTGGGAGGGGTTTACTACAAGAGAATATTTTTGTGTAAAAAATCGTGGTAATGGCCGGGTGTGGTGGCTCATGCCTATAATCCCAGCACTTTGGGAGGCTGAGGCGGGTGGATCACCTGAGGTCAGGAGTTCGAGACCAGCCTGGCCAACATGGTGAAACCCCGACTCTACTAAAAATACAAAAATTAGCTGGGCTTGGTGTAATCCCAGCTGTAATCCCAGCTACTCAGGAGGCTGAAGCAGAAGAATTGCTTGAACCCGGGAGGCGGAAGTTGAAGTGAGCCGAGATCGTGCCAGTGCACTCCAGCCTGAGTGACAAGGGCAAAACTCTGTCTCAAAAAAAATAAATAAATAAAAATAAAAATAAATAAATTGTGGTAATTGTGTAACCACACTAATTGGTCAATAGCTGGATTGTGATAGTGGTTACACAATTGCATGCATGTGTCAAAATTCACAGAACTGTGTACCATAAACAGAATTTACTGCATGAAAACCATATATATTTTTGTGTTTGTTTTTTTTTTTTGGTTTGTTTTCAGGTTTTCTGTTTTTCTTTTTTTGCGGTTGAGTCTTAACCACTTTGCCCAGGCTGGTCTTCACCTCAGAGGCTCTAGTCATCCTCCTTCCTTGGCTTCCCAAAGTGCTGGGATTACAGGCGTGAGCCACTGTGCCCAGCCATGGCAGTTTCTTAGATTAAATATACACTTACTATATAACCCATCCATTCCAATCCTAGCTGTTTACCCAAGAGAAATGAAAACATGTGATCTCATAAAATCTTGTATGAGAATGTTTACAGTAGCTGTTTTTTTGTAATCACCCAAACTTGGAAACAGCCCAATGTCTTCTAACTGGTGAATGGATAAAAAAAAAACCTGTGCTCTATTCATACCATGGAATACTGTTCACTATTTACAAAGGAACTACTGATATAAACCACAACATGGGCCGGGTGCAGTGGCTCATGCCTGTAATCCCAACACTTTGGGAGGCTGAGGGGGGTGGATCACCTGAGGTCAGGAGTTCGAGACCAGACCGGCCAACCTGGTGAAACTCCTTCTCTATTAAAAATATAAAAATTAGCTGGGCGTGTTGTTGCGTGTAATCCCAGCTAGTCGGGAGGCTGAAGCAGGAGAATCGCTTGAACCTGGGAGGCAGAGGTTGAAGTGAGCCGAGATCGTGCCAGTGCAATCCAGCCTGAGTGACGAGGGCAAAACTCTGTCTCAAAAAAAAAAAAAAAAAATCGTGGTAATTGTGTAACCACTATTATAATCACACTAATTGGTCAATAGCTGGATTGTGATAGTGGTTACACAACTGCATGCGTGTGTCAAAAATTCACAGAACTGTGTACCATAAAGAGAATTTACCATATGCAAACCATCTATCTTTGCGTGTGTGTGGTTTTTTTTTTTGGTCTGTTTTCAGGTTTTTTTTTTTTTTTTTTTTTGAGAATGGGTCCTAACCACTTTGCCCAGGCTGGTCTTGAACCCCCAGGCTCTAGCAATCCTCCTCCCCTGGCCTCCCAAAGTTCTGGGATTTACAGGTGTGAGCCACATCAAAATTTAAAAAGCAAAAAAGACCCCATGATTCTGTTACACTTCTTATTTTAACTTGAATATAGAGTCCTTTTGTTTGTTTGTTTGTTTGTTTGTTTGAGACAGAGTCTCGCTCTGTTGCCGAGGCCAGAGTGCACTGACGCAATCTCGGCTCACTGCAGCCTCCACCACCTGGGTTCTAATGATTCTCGTGCCTCAGCCTCCCGAGTAGTTGGGATTACAGGCATGTGTCACCACACCCGGCTAATTTTTGGTATTATTAGTAGAAACAGCATTTCGTCATGTTGCCCAGGCTGGTTTCGAACTCCTGAGCTCAGGCAATCCGCCCACCTCAGCCTCCCAAAGTGCTAGGATTACAGGCATGAGCCACCATGCCAGGCCAAATAAAGACCCCTTTCTAATTTGAATTAACAATCCACTTAAGCAGAGGTTCACGCAAAAAAAAAAAAAAAAAAAAAAAAAAAAATTAACAGTCTACACACCCATACACATACCTGTGTCCATGCAGACACACACACCGGCATTTACATGGTGACACACATTCCTCATATGTGTACACGTGCACACTCCCTCACATACACTTATGCATGATACACATGCATGCTCATACGCACACACACACACACACACACACACCTGTCCACACATGCAGATCAGGCCCACACACAGCCACCCCAGCCCCTCCTCCTGCTTACCTGATTAAAAAATGGACACAGACGATACTCTCCGACTGGGGGCCCCGTCCCCCTGACACCACTGTGGCCTGGGTCTGGGTCCACAGGTAGCCACCACTCCGGGCCAGGAAGCGATACTGCCCTGTTACTGCCTGGCCCTTGCTCAGCACTGAGGAGGGGGATCGGGAGGGATCAGGGCCACCAAGGGGGCAAATGGGGAGAGAAATATCTGGGGACTGGGTATGAGGGGGCAAGGAAGGAGACAGTTCCTTGGGGCTTGGGGAGCAGGGAGCTGGTGTTGAGGTGGGGAGGCAGTGCATCCTGGGGTATGGGGAGCTGGGGGGTCCTGGTGTCAGCTGGGGGCCATGTGGCAGCTGGCTTCGCACCTGGGGAAATGGGATACATACAGGTGTGGATGCTCTTGCTGACCGCATCGGAGTCCAGCGCGTGGATGTACTCGTAGGCGGAACAGCCGATCAGGTCATCGGGACTATAGCCAGCCACTTCTGCAATCCTGGGGGTGGGGCGGAGTGGGGTCTGGTCAGGATGCTACTGGGTGAGAGAGAGGGTAGGCAGAGGGAAGTAGCAGCAGAGGACACAGGAACAAAGCCAGCAAGATGTCGAGAAGGATTGTAACCGAGAGAAAAGGAGTAAGAAACAGAACAAGAGGAGTGTGGTGGGTTGAATAATGACCCCCAAAGATGTCCACATCCTAATTCCCGGAATCTGTAGATATGGTCTCTTACGTGGCTAAAGGGACTTTGCAGATATGATGACATTAGAAGTTTTTTGTTTGTTTTGTTGTTTGTTTTTTGAGGCAGGCTCTCGCTCTGTCACGCAGACTAGAGTGCAGTGGTTCAATCATGGCTCACCACAGACTTGACCTCCCAGGCTCAAGCAATCCTCCTGACTCAGCCTCCTGAGTAGCTGGGACTACAGGTGTGTGCCCTGCCTGGCTACTTTTTGCATTTTTTTTGTAGAGATGGGGGTCTCACTATGTTGCCCAGTCTGGTCTTGAACTCCCAGGCTCAATCTTCCTGCTTTAGCCTCCCGAAGTGCTGAGATTACAGGTGTTAGCCACCTCGCCCGGCCTGCCTAACGTTAGTCTTGAGATAGGGAGATGGATGCAGGTGGGCCCAGCTCTAGCAGCTGGAAAAGGCAGGGAAACAGATTCTTTCCTGGAGCCTCCAGAAGGAACACAGCCTTAATTTGGCCTGTAAAACTCATTTCTAATTTCTTTTTCTTTCTTTAAGATGAGGTCTCACTATGCTGTCCAGGCTGATCCGGAACTCCTGGCCTCAAGCCATCCTCCTGCCTTGGCCTCCCAAAGTGCTAGGTTTATAGGCGTGAGCCACAATGCCTGGCCTCATTTCAAATTTCTGACCTCCAGAACGGTAAGACAGTGAGTTTGTGTTGTTTGGAGCCACTGAGTTCGTGGTAATATATTACAGCAGCAACAGGGAACTAATACAAGGGAAGAGAAGGGGTGGAGAGGGGAAGAAGAGCTAAGAAAAGACAGAAAAAGAGACAGCATGCATGACATAGGAGAGAGGAAGAGAGGGGAAGAAAAAAACACAAAAAGAAAGAGAAGAATGAAAATAAATAAAAAGTAATGAGGATGATAGGCCGGGTGCGGTGGCTCACGCCTGTAATCCCAGCACTTTGGGAGGCCGAGGCGGGCCGATCACCTGAGGTCAGGAGTTCAAGACTAGACTGACCAACATGGTAAAACCCCATCTCTACTAAAAATACAAAAAGTAGCCAGGCATGGTGGCAGGCCCCTGTGATCCCAGCTACTCGGGAGGCTGAGGCAGGTGAATCACTTGAACCCGGGAGGTGGACGTTGCAGTGGGCCAAGATCCTGCCACTGCACTCCAGCCTGGGTGACAGAGCAAGACTCCACCTCAACAACAACAACAAAAAGTAATGATGACAATAATGATTTAAAAATTAGATACTTGTGCTTTGCACCGGGAAACTCACTGAGCTGCTCAGAACGACTGTACAAGGCAGGTTCTGTTATGATTCCACAGTATAGGTGAGGAAATTGTGGCACAGAGAGGTGAAGTCATTTGGCTAAGGATACACAGCCAAGACTGACACTCAAGCAGGCTGAATCCAGAGTCACCATTCCTAAGCATGACACCAGGGCGAGGGATAAGACAGAAGAAGGAAGAGAAGGACAGAAGGAAGAGAGGGGGAGAGAAAAAGAGATGAAAGGAAGGATAGAGGGTGAACAAATAATAACAGTTTATTTTATTTATTATTATTATTTTTTGAGAGACAGTGTCTCATTCTGTTGCCCAGGCTGGAGTGCAATGGTGCAATCATGGCTAACTGCAGCCTCAACCTCCTGGGCTCAATTATTCCTCCCACTTCAGCCTCCTGCGTAGCTGGGACTAAAGGAATATGCCACCCGCCTGACAAATTTTTTCTTTTTTTTCTTTTTCGAGACGGAGTCTTGTTCTGTTGCCTAGGCTGGAGTGCAATGGTGCAATCTCGGCTCACTGCAACCTCCGCCTCCCGGGCTCAAGCAATTCTCCAGTCTCAGCCTCTCGAGTAGCTGGGATTTTAGGCATGCGCCACCATGCCCAGCTAATTTTTGTATTTTTAGTAGAGTTGGGGTTTCACCATGTTGGCCAGGCTGGTCTTGAACTCCTGACGTCAGGTGATCCACCCACCTTGGCCTCCCAAAGTGCTGGGATTACAGGTATGAGCCACTGCACCCGGCCCCACTTGGCTAATTTTTTTGTAGAGACGGGGTCTCCCTATGTTGTCCAAGCTGGTCTTGAACTCCTGGTCTCAAGCAATTCTCCCGCATCGGCCTCCCTAAGTGCTGGTACTGCCGGTGTGAGCCACTGTGCCTGGCCTATCGACAATTTATTGAATGCTTCCTGTGTGCTGGGCACCATATTAACTGCTTGACACAAATTGACTCATTTAAGAAAAGGGACAAAGAGAGACAAACACTAAGAGAAAGACTCAGAGACAGAAAGAGAATGAAAGATAAAAGGAGGCCAGGTGCGGTGGCTCACACCTGTAATCCCAACACTTTGGGAGGCCGAAGTGGGAGGATGGCTTGAGCCCAGGAGTTTGAGAGCAGTCTGGGCAAATGGCAAGGCAGCGATTTTACAAAAAAAGAAAAGATATAAAAGGCATGTAGAAAATTCAGAGACAGGCAGGCACACAAAGAGAGAGAGAGATGGATGAAGTGAGAGAGAGAGAGAGAAGGAGAGAGAGAAATGCGGGAGTGTGGAGGTGGGGAGGGAAACAGCACTTGAACTTGGGCAGACGGAAGAGGGGGCCCCTGCCCACCTGTCGTCACAGTAGGTGAACTTCATGTCCAGGCTGTGGCGGCTGAGGAAGGCCCCTCGGCCCAGTGGGGGCTCCAGGCTGCCTGGGTGGGGGATGGCTTCGCAGATGAGCACCAGGCACTGCAGCGGGGGCTCTGAGTCAGGGCTCCCAGCTGGAGAAGTCTGCGCAGGTGGCTTGTAGGCCCTCATATGTCCAGAGCAGTTCAGCACCTGGGGGCCGAGATGAGGGGACAAGGCAGTGGTGCCTCTGGGCCTGAGACCACCCATGGGGTTGGAAGATGCGTCCTGAGGGCCCATCAGGGAGCTGAGATTCCAACCCCATGAAGACTTCAGGTTCAAAGGGACTGAGGATCCCCAGCCCCAGGCCCATAGGAACCCATCCTAAGAGAGCTTACAGGAGCCCCAGGTCCCAACTCCACAGACACCCATGCTCCTCGATGCCCTGAGACCCGCTAGACCTGACCTGAGTGAGCCCCGCAGGGTCCCCAGCCTAGGAGATGCCTGGACTCCAGCACCCTTCAAGATCTTTCAGGGCTCACACCCAGCCCCAGCGTCCCCGCCCTCCTCTGGCCCGGCCCCACGCACCTTCCAGGTGGCCGCCTTGAGGTTGAGGGTGCGCCCGCGGCTGGTGAGTGTACTCTTCATGCGCAAGGAGAAGCACCGCTCCGTGGGGGCCTCCACCTTCCTCCTGGACAGGGCTGGGGAGGCCCGGGGGCAGCGGGGAGGTCACAGGCAGCTACACACAGGCCCAGTGCCCTCCGGCACCCTGGCTGCTCAGGCCTCCCCAGCTCCATCCCAACAATTGGGACCTGGAACCAGAGAGGGTCCCCCAGGGGTAGTATGTGTCCCCTTGGACCCCCCAGGGCAGGGCTGTGTCCCCTCAGACCCCCCCAGGGCAGGGTCTTTGTCCCCATAGACCCCAGGGCAGGGCCATCTCTCCTCTTCCTACTTGTCTTAGTCTGGTGTTCCACAGGAGGTGGGGATATGCTGAGGGAGGGGTGGAGCCTCAGCTTCCTCCTCTGTATGGTGGGGACAGAGGCCTCCAGGGAACTCACTCTGCTGGGGGGTCAGGGCGTCCTGAAGCTCCTCTTGGTCACAGGGGTGGATGAAATCAAAGATGCTGTGTCCAATGAGCTCCAGCTGCCAGGGATGAGAGGGGTGGGGGTCTACCAGGGCTTCTGACCCATCTCCTCCATCCCATCCTCATTCCCCTGCTCCAATTCATGAGCCTGGATGATTTCACCAGTCTCCCCATTCATTTATCCATCCATTTGTCCATCCATCCATCCATCCACCCACTGAGCAAGCATTTATTCAGCGCATACCAAGTGCCAGGCCCTCATCTATCTATCTATCTATCTGTCTGTCTGTCTGTCTGTCTGTCTGTCTGTCTGTCTGTCTACCTATCTGTCTATCTATCTATTTTTTGAGACAGGTCTTGCTCTGTTGCCCAGGCTGGAATGCAGCGGGGCAGTGGCGCGATCATGACTTCCTGCAGCCTCAACCTCCTGGGCTCAAGCGATCTGATCCTCCCACCTCAGCCTCCTCAGTAGCTGGGACTACAGTCACATGCCACTACACCTGGCTATTTTTTTCTTTTCTTTTTTTTTTTTGAGATGGAGTCTCGCTCTGTTGCCCAGGCTGGAGTGTAGTGGTGCGATCTCAGCTCACTGCAACCTCCACCTCCCTGGTTCAAGTGATTCTCCCACCTCAGCCTCCCGAGTAGCTGGGACTACAGACATGTGCCACCACACCCGGCTAATTTTTGTATTTTTAGTAGAGACGGGGTTTCACCATGTTGGCCAGGTTGGTCTCGAACTCCTGACCTCAAGTGATCTGCCTACTTTGGCCTTCCAAAGTGCTGGGATTATAGGTGTGAGCCACCGCATCCAGCTTTTGGCTAATTTTTACAAATTTTTTTGTAGAAATGGGGGTCTCACCATGTTGCCCAGGCTGGTCTCAAACTCCTGAGCTCAAGTGATCCTCCCACCTTGGCCTCCCAAAGTACTGGAATTACAGGTGGGAGCTACTGCACCTGGCTCTTCTAAATGGTATGGACACGGTGACTGCACACACAAATCCCTGCCTTGAAGAGCTTACTGGCCAGTGGGGTGAGACAGACAGTGAATGAAAGAACAAATAACAACAATATAACAAGTAACATGAAGAAAACAAAAGCAGTACAAGGTAACGCAATGATGGGAGGCTGCTTTAGACAGAGTGGTCTAGACAGTTTCTTTGAAGAGGTGACATTTAAAAAGCTGCTGAACAAAGCAAGTGAGGTGGCCTTATGGCCCCCTGGAGTAAGAGTATTCTAGAAAGAGGGGAATAGTAAGCGCAAGGCCCCGAGATGAGACTCCATTCAAATCACACTTTTCTGGCAGGCAGAAAACCCAATTCTTCATTTCAATTTAGGAAATGAGCGTGGTGCTGGGAGGAGGGGACACAGATGAAGGTGGACCCTATTGGCTCACCATGTGAATGGTGCTGGTGCTGGTGAATAGGGAAAGAGGGAGATCTCGCTCCTCTGACAACATCTCTTGTAGCTGGAGTCAAATCCTGGCTGTGCCACTTCCTAGCTTTGGAACCTCGGGACATTCATCTCTCTGGGTCCAAAAAGCTCACTCACACTAACAGAGAAATTGGTACCAGGAGTGGGGTAACGAGGCAGAGAAAAGGAACAGATACCAACTATGGAGCCTATTTATGTGAGATAGAAAAAAGAATGGGAACTTTCTTGTAGGCCTTGCTGTAAGGATGAATTAAAGTTAGTTCTACTTTCTATGCTTGCTTAGGCAGCATGTATGCTAAAAATTGGAATAATACAGAGAAGATTAGCATGGCCTCTGCACAAGGATGATATGCAAATGCATGAAGCCTTCCATGTTAATTAAAAAAGTAAGTTCTACTTTCTAAATGTCTCTTGTTCCTATCTTTCCATCCCCATGGTCCCTGCCCCTATTCCTCTTCTCCCACCTGAGATTGGCATCTACCCATTGCTGATCTTTCAACCTCTGATCTCACTCCCTCCAAATCTACCTCCATGCCGTACCTAGAGGATCTTTCAAAAATGTAAATCTGATTCTACCTTTCTGGCACAACCTCTCCACTGCTTAAAATCCTTCTATAGCTCCCCGGGGCCCTGGAGATAAAGATAATTTGGCCTTAAATTTGGCCACAGTCTACCCTGATGACCTCTCTAGCCTTTTGTCTCTCAGCTTCTCCTATTGCACTCTGCACCTAGGAGGATAAACTTTTTATTATTTTTTTGTTTGTTTGTTTGCGACTGGGTCTTGCTCTGTCACCCAGGCTGGAGTGTACTGGTGCAATCTTGGCTCACTGCAACTTCCACCTCCCAGGCTCACATGATCTTCCCACCTCAGCCTCCCAAGTAGCTGGGACCACAGGCATGTGCCACAACATCTGGCAAATTTTTTGTATTTTTGGTGGAGACAGGGTTTTGCCGTGTTGCCCAGGTGAAACACTGAACTCCTGAACTCAAGCTATCCTCCCATCTTGGCCTCTCAAAGTGCTGGGATTACAGGTGTGAGCCACTGCACGTGGCCAACTTTATTTCCCCAAATTATTCTGTTTTTTTTTCCTCACCTCTTGGCCTTTGCCTCCTCTGTTCCCTCTACCATGTACATTCCTGATCTTCACTGATCCCATCCATTCTCCATACCCTTTGACCGGCTAAGTTCTTCAGATTTCAGCTCAGATATCTTCTCCTCCAGGAAGCCCTCCATTCCCACTCAGGCTGGGTCAGGTACACCCCACCCCTGTGCTCTCACAGCCCCCTAGACTGTCCCATCCCAGCCCTGACCATTCTGGGTCTTCCTGTCTAGTGACATACCTATATCCCCTTTGTATTGTGAGTCCCATAAAGGTAGGGCTATGGCTGTCCTGGTCACCACTGTATCCCCAGCATCACCAGTACAGGGCCAGGCACAGAGCAAGGAGCTCCTCTCACCTGACTGAGGCCCAGGTGTTTGCTGACATTCTCCGACAGGTAAGCCATGTCTCCCTCGGCGGTGAGCACCATGACGAAGCCCTCCAGGGCCTTCAGGTAGCAGGCATCCAGTGGTTCTCCCCCTGCTCCCACCTGGTTCCACTCCCCTGGTGCCCGGGGCAGGGGGATGGGGGCATCTCTAGTCAGTTATGGTCTGAATTATGGACTGACCCTGGGCTAGCCTCCCTCTGCCTTTCCTCATTCAGAGAAACTTACATGCACCCCCAAGGAAGTGGGGGTACATCCTAGTGGCCTGGATTCCCAAGGAAGAAAGCAGGACCAAGAAGCACTGGAATTAGAAGCAGGGCCTCCCAGGGTGGCAGAATTCTAAGGAAGTAGGAGTCTCCCAAGGGAACAGAATTCTAAGGATGTGGGTGGGCCTCCTAGGAGGACAGAATTCTAAGTGGATGGAACTCCCCAGGGTCAAAATATGAAGGGGCCAGGGCCTAAGGGGAATTGTAATATAGAGATGAGGGGGAAGCCTCGAAGGGGTTCAAACTCATGGAGGGCAGGACCTTCCAGAGGGACAGAACTCTAGAGAAGAAGGGACTCCCAGGGAACAGACTTCTAAGGGGGTAAAGCCTCCAAGAAAAGTAAAATTCTATGGGGCAGGGAAGTCAAATGGACAGAGCCTCCCAGAGAATAACGCTACTTCCCCCGCTTTCAGGGTCCTGGGATTCCACGGGGTTTATGTGTGAGTGTATGTGTGTGTGTGCACGCGCGCGTGCACGTGCGTGGCAAAGCCCGCTGCAGGATGCAATTCTAACTGGGTAGAAATTCAAGGAGATGCCTACTAAGAGAACAAGTGATGTAGAACTAGAGGGGTGGGGAAGGGACAAGGGACTCTCAGATACAGTAACGAAAAGTTGGGCGGCGCAGCCTCCCAGTGGATATATTATGAGAGACCAGGGCCTATCCATCTGGGAGAGTCTCCTAGAGGACCAAATCGTAAGAGTTGAAGGGTTAGCGGATTTTCTGAGTCCTAAGGAGGCGGGGCTTCCAAAGGGCGCGTTCCAGGGGCGGGGCCTCACAAGTGATAGACTTCGAGGGGGGCGGGACTCCCAGCAGGCCAGGAACTCAAAGGGGGCGGGGCCTCCCCGGGGAAGTCGATTCCAGGGGGGTGGGGCTCCGCCGAAAAAAACGACACCAGGGGGCGGGGCTTTGTCAGAATAAGGCTTCCCGGAGGAGGGGCCTCCCTGGGATGTAGTTTTTTTCCGTGGGCGGGGCCTGACCAAGACGGGAATTCCCGCGGGCGGGGCTCACCTGCGGCGCAGAGGCGGTGCATGCGCAGGTAGCTGATGGTGAGGCGCATGATAGAGGCCTTGTCCAGGTGGGCGCTGACGCCGCGGGCGAAGGGCAGCGTGTGAGCCAGCTGGTACAGCACCTCGGTCTCCTGGCTGCGCCGGCTGCGGGCCGCATCCCGGGACTTTTCCTTGCGCAGCTCCGTGGTCGACCTGAGGGCATGGGCAGCATTCACTGGTGGTGACTCGGGAAAGAGAAAAGGAGGACGGGACGAGCACGTGGGGAGCTGCCACGTGGGGCCGGGGCTCGTGGAGTGCTGGGCCGCGGCTGCGCAGGCCTCGATGTGTGGCCCTGTCGAGTTCGCGGCGCTCCCTGGGCCTGGAAGGGCTACACTGTGGAGCCCTTCCTAGCCCTGATTTTACCTGTGGTCTTGCCAGTCCATGGTGCCTCTGGCGCCTCGCTCCTCTCTGTGGCGCGCCTAGGGCCGCTCTGTCCCCTCCCTGACTTATCTGCAGTTTATTTCCCAGGCTAGGGACGCCTGGGGGACAGGGAGGGCCCCTGCTGGGAGGGGGCTGGCTGAGCTGGCCAGGGGCCAGAGGAGGGAGGGCCCACGAAGGAGAGGCCTACAGCCTCCCAGGCCCCCTGCCCTGCAGTTTCCCAGAATCACCTCCTCTGCCCTTTTCCCTCAACTGAGCCGTCCTGTGAATCTTGGAACATAGATCTCAAAGTCTAACGATGAACCACCAACAGGGGCCCTAAGAGGGGCAGGGACCCGCCAGGGTGACACAGCAAAGCAACCTGTTCTGTTTACCACTCACCCTGCCCTGTAATCCACTTCAGATACCTACATTTTGCATGTGGGGTTGGAAGAATAAGTGTCGTTTTATCAGAAATATCTGCCACTTATCCAGCTTTTACTATTTTGTCACTCCCAGTGCCAAGTGCGAAACTTATATTAACCCGCCTAATGCTCAGGCCACCCAGAAGGAAGTTGATAACGTCCCATTGAACAGATGAGGACACCGAGGCTCAGAGAGGTGCAGTGCCTGCCCACAAATAGGGAAGCCTGCCTTTAAACAATGGTCTACCTAAATTCTCAAATTTTCTCTATCTCTATGGGCCTGGATTTATGTCCAGAATTTTAGCTCTTCTCCCTGTTTCTGCCACTGTCTTCAAATTCAAACTCCAGGTCTTTCTGAACCCAAAGTTTCTCTTTTCTTTTCTTTCTTTTCTTTTGAGACAGGCTGTCGCTCTGTTGCCCAGGCTGGAGTGCAATGGCATGAATATGGCTCACTGCAGACTCAGTATCCTAGGCTAAAGCCATCCTCCAGCCTCAGCCTCTTATGTAGCTGGGACCACAGGTGCGTATCAGCACGCCCAGCTAATTTTTGTATTTTTTGTAGAGACAGTGTGTCATTTTGTTGCCCAGGCTGGTCTTGAACTCCTGAACTCAAGTGATCCTCCCACCTTGGCCTCCCCAAATTCTGGGATTACAGGTGTAAGCCACCACGCCTGGCCTCTTTCATACAAAATTATAGCCGGAAGCGGCTATAATTTGGGAGGGTGAGACAGAGGATCACTTGAACCCAGGTTTGAGGTTACAGTGAGCCATGATTGTGCCCCTGCACTCCAGCCTGGGTGACACAGCAAGGCTCCGTCTCTAAAAAAAGACAAAAAACAGGCCGGGCGCAGTGGCTCACGCCTGTAATCCCAGCACTTTGGGAGGCCGAGGCGGGCGGATCACGAGGTCAGGAGATCGAGGCCATCCTGGCTAACATGGTGAAACCCTGTCTCTACTAAAAATACAAAAAATTAGCTGGGCGTGGTGGTGGGCACCTTGTAGTCCTAGCTACTTGAAAGGCTGAGGCAGGAGAATCGCTTGAACCTGGGAGGTGGAGGTTGCAGTGAGCCAAGATCGCGCCACTATACTCCAGCCTGGGCGACAGAGTGAGACTCCGTCTCAAAACAAACAAATAAAAAACAAAAAAAAGACAAAAAACAAATTAACAAAAATAGGCAAAATAAAAAATTATTATATGATGTGTTACATCTACTATATTGTATATATAATCTAGTGTAGTATATGGTATATATAGTCTCATCTACATTTATATTGATAAATATTACTATTAGTAATAGGCAGCTGTCATTTGCTAAGCATTTATGTGCTTGCCACTGTACTATATATTCTACATGTATTCATCCAATCCTCAGGGGACCCCTAGGAGGGAGCCATTTCATTTTTTATTTATTTTTTAATTTTTAATTTTTAATTTTTTTTTTTTTTTGAGACGGAGTTTCACTGTGTCAGCCAGGCTGGAGTATAATGGCACGATCTTGGCTCACTGCAGCCTCCGCCTGCCGGGTTCAATTCTCCTGCCTCAGCCTCCCGAGTAGCTGGGATTACAGACATCTGCCACCACGCCCGGCTAATTTTTGTATTTTTAGTAGAGACGGGGTTTCGCTATGTTGGCCAGGCTGCTCTCGAACTCTTGACCTCAAGTGATCTGCCCACCTCAGCCTCCCAAAGTGCTGGGATTACAGGCGTGAGCCACCATGCCCGGCGGAGGGGGGCATTTTAAACTTCCACTTTACAGTGGGGAAACAGCTTCTGAAAGGTGAAGTCCTTGCCCAAGAAGCCCCAAAGCCAACAACTGGCTGAGCTGGGATTTGAATCTGGGCGGTGAGTTTCCAGTCTTCAGGCTTTTTCTCATCCCCTCCTTGGGACCCATCCGAGGGAAGCAGAACCTCTAGGAGGGGACACTGTCCCTTCTTAAATTCAAGAGCAGAGGGTGCTTCTGGGGTGGCATCAACCCCAGCCTCAGGCAAGAGACCTGCGGCCCCACCCCCCAGGGCAAGGGGATATTTTCCTGTCTGGAGACAGAAGGAAAATAAAATCCTCAGTACAGCAGGGAGGGAGGCACAGAAGGGGGCAGTTTGGATGGAGGGTTGGAGCAGGGGAGATACGGCCCCTGTCCCCGTCCCCTCCTTCCTGGCTGGTGGGGGCAGGGGCCTCAGTCCTGCCTGCCTGAGAGGACATTCCGTCCTGTTCTGTTCCAGCCCTGTTTGTCTTCCTGCCCAGAGGGTGGGGGCGAGAGGGCCTCACGGAGCTGGGGGCCCGACAGGGAACAGGGAGTGGGAACTGGCAGGGAGGTGGGGCCAGTGCCCCACCTCCCAGGCAGCTGGGCTCTGTAATCCTCTGTGGCTGGGCTGCTTCTTCCATAGAAGGAGCCAGCTGGTGGCTGCGGAGGGACCCTCCTTCCAGCTCCCAGCCTGCCCTCTGGATGTTCTACTGGGAAGTGTGGGTCTTTCCCATTACACAGACTGGGGGCTAGTTCCTCTGGCTCAGGGTTCCAATCCTGACTCTACTACTTATCAACTCCACTACTTATAAGCTACTACTTACAAGCTCCACTACTTACAAGCTGTGTGACTGCTTATAAGCTGTGTGAACGTAATCTTGCTCTGTTGCCCAGGCTGGAGTGCAGTGGCTTGATCTTGGCTCACTGTCACCTCTGCCTCCCAGTTTCAAGCGATTCTCCTGCCTCAGCTTCCTGAGTAGCTGGGATTACAGGCTCCTGCCACCATGCCTGGGTAATTTTTGTATTTTTAGTAGAGACAGGGTTTCACTATGTTGGCCAGGCTGGTCTCGAACTCCTGACCTCAGGTGATCTGTCTGCCTCGGACTCCCAAAATGTTGGGATTACAGGCATGAGCCACCGCGCCCGGCCAAGGTTAGACTTACTGTTCTCCCTCTGTGCGTATCAGAGATGGAAAGCATGGGCTTAGGAGCTTCTTGGGCTTTACAGTAACCTGTGGATTACTCTACACGCCCCATAGTGTGGTGTGTGCATGCAATTACATACATGGTTTTTACACAAGCATCTTAAAAGGAGGATTAAATAACAGTGATACTGTAATAATGATAGCATTGGTGTGTTGAACACTCACGGAGCTAGAGAACCCATTAAGTCCTTACTACTACCCTATTGAGCAGGAGAAGTGATCTCTCCTTTTAAAGAGGCAGAAACTGAGATTTGGAGCAATGGCATCCCCAGCCCAAGTAACCCAGCGCCCTCCATTGACACTGAACTATGTTCAACCACTTCTCAGTGAATCCGACCATGTTCCTGCAATGACTTTCCCCATTTTCCGGATGAGGAAGCAGGCCCAAAGAGGTGATGAAACTGAAGCCACACAGCTTTTAGTAGCAGAGACAGGATTCAAGCCAGGTCTGTCTACTCTGACTTGAGCTCAGTTTGTGGCACACCTGTTGGGTGTCCCGCCCCCCACCGTCTGCTTCCTCACTACTGGCTCCTCATCTTGATCTGGGGTGGTGGAAAGGGAGTGTGATACCCAGTTTTCTTTTTTTTTTCTATTTTTCTATTTTTTTTTTTTTTGCGACAAGGTCCGGCTGTGTTGTCCAGGCTGGAGTGCAGTGGCCTGATCTTGGCTCATTACAACCTCTGCCTCAGGCTCAAGCCATCCTCCCACCTCAGCCTCCTGAGTAGCTGGGACTACAGACACTCACCACCATGCCTGGCTAATTTGCTTACTTCTAGTATAGATGAGATTTTGCCATGTTGCCCAGGCTGGTCTTGAACTCAAGCAATCCGCCCACCTCAGCCTCCCAAAGTGCTGGAATAACAGGCCTGAGCCACCGCACCCGGCCTGCCCGTATTTCCAGGATCTGAAAGTGAGGCTCAGAGCGGCAGTCACTGACACAATTCCACACCACCAGGAAGTGGGTGAGATGGGATTTGAACCCTGTCTTTGGGCCCTGTGCTCTTGGCAGGTGTGGCCCCCACCCAAGAGGCCCCTGCCCCACCCCTCTTTTGCCTAGCAGCCTCGGTCCCTTCCCCCGTCACACCCCTGCTGCCTCCAGATCGCCCCAGCTGGCCCCATGCCCAGCCCTGGTCCAGCCCCCTGGCACTCTGCCCAGCTTGGGACGTGCAGCTGGAACCCTGCCACCCTTCCTCCGTGTTCCAGCCAAGAACAGGGGGTGGGGCCAGGGCCTGGCGGGCTCAGGGTGAGGCCTGAGAATGGGGGTTGGGGCCCAGTGCCCCCCTCCAACCAGGAAGGAGAGAAGTTCACCTCTTCCCTGCCCTGAAGAATTTGCCACCCATGAGGAAGGCATAATAAAAGCAGGCAGTCCCTGCCCACATTCAGGGCTACTTCTGGGCTTTTCTATTCTGACACCCAGCTGGGTATTGGGGGGGGGCGTCTTACGAAAAGCACAGAGGATTTGGTGGGTGGGGGTTTAGGTTGTAGCTGGGCAAGGATGCCTTTTGGCATTGCAGAGAGGTGTCCTGAGAGACCAGAGGCAGGGTTTGGGTTTGCAAAGGGACTTGGCATGGGGGTCTGGGGGAGTCTCTCTGCCCCCCGACTCTGCCTGTTCTCAAGGACATGGTAATCTGGTAGGGTGCTGGTCCCCAAAATCCTATCTTCTCCGGGAATACTACCTCACTGGGCACTCTGGGCTGCAAGCCGTACCCACCAGGGACTTCCCAAGAGCATCCTTGGCCACAGTGGGATGGCAGCCAGCCCCAGCTAGAGGAAGGGAAGGGGGAAAGGAGGTGTTGGGGGCCCACTCACCATCGCCCAGGCCCCCGTTGGCTGAAGGGCCATCCAGGGGGTGCAGGAGGGGATGCGGTGCAGCCAGGACCCGGGTGCGAGTTACGAGTGGGTGCGCACGGCGGTGAGATGACTCCACAGGAAAGGGCCGGCCTTGGGTGGGGAGGGGGGGCACCCGAGCTCAGCCAAGAGGGGCCCCCACCCAGCCAGGAGGGGGCGCTGAGAGGGGCGGAACGACAGCTGGCCCAAAAGGGGTGGGATAGAGTTCCTTGTTAGGCCCAGAGCCAGGGCCTGGAATAGAGTAGGGGACAGGGGAGAGGATGGGGGCGGTTAGAAACATGGGGTGTGCATGGATCCAATCAGGCCTGAGAAGCCAGGGAGGAGGGAAGGGGGTGAGGCTTACTGGGTGCCTCACATTGGACAGGGAAAGCTGAGGACCTAGAACATTTTCCAGGGTCCCATGGGAACATGGCCAGATAAAACCCCCCGGCAGCGGCCCCAGGGCACAGGTTCCCCTGTGTTCCAGCAGAGCTGCACCTGCTGGGCAAGTGAACCCAGAAACCCACCCTCTGCCCGGGATGACCCCATCTGAGTACTGCGGCAGGGGGCGTTCCCATCACAGCCTGCAGGCTCACAGCACCCTGCCATGGAGTCTCCCCAAAATAAAGCTTGGATGAGGCTCCCCTGTCTCTCAGGATGGGGGTGCAGGGGTGAGATGAGGGGCTGGACTTTGGGAAGTGGGTCCAGCTTGTTTCCCTGTTATTTAAGGGGGTGACTCTGGCTTTTGAAAGGATACAAAAAGTCTCTTGGGAAGGGTCCCAGACGGCTTCTGAAAGGGGCTCCCCTCTGCCCATTTCTAGGGAAACCCAATGTTTAGGAGACTGTGTCAGGAAGCATACTATTAGAGGAGATCTCTCCTCTCTTGAACTCAGGAGCTGAATGCCATTCCAAGGGACTCCCTATATGTGGGAAGGCTCCATTTAGGGGTATCCCATATCACCTAGGATCCCAGGCACCTGGTGGCAAAGAATACCCTCAATTTTGGGGGGTTCAGAGGCCAGAGGGATCAATATGTGGAGGGCGAATATCTCCCGCAGAAGCCTGGGGACTGCTCAAATGCAATCACCCCTAATTTATCAGGAATCCCAAGTTCCACCCCCAACCAGGAGGGTAAATGAGCCTTGGGTAGCGAGAAATCGGGAACCCCGAAGCCGCTCTTGGCCAGAGGGGCGGGGCAGCCAGAGACGTAGGGAATCCCCCACCCCTGCAGTCCCTAAGGGTGGAGAGTGCGGTGGGGATGTGCCTCCAACTGCGCGCCCCGGGGCGTTCTTGGCTCGCACCCGCGAACCCCACCCCCCCCAACAATCCAGCTCAGGGGTCTCCAGGAGGAGAGCCCCCCAATTCCCAGAACTCCTGCCCCCGAACTTCAGTACCTTGCGCGCTGCAGCCCCAGCGCCATGGCTCGCCAGTCGCCGCTCCGGAGCCCTCGGAGGCCCCTAGCCCCCTCCCCGGCCTTGCGAGCCCCCTCCCCAGCTCCTCCCCACGCCGCGCGGTTGGCTGTGCCACGCCAGGCCTGAGGCTCTGATTGGGCAACGGTATGTCACTCCTGAAAAGGAGGCGGAACCAGAGGGAAAGACTTGGAAAGGCAAGGGGGGGATACCGTGTAATACACACCCCCCAACCACGCCCCTCGCCGCGGACTTCCTCGGCAGTGTATCCCGCACCGTCGGCTGAACGCGCCTTCTCTAGTCCAGCCTCTGAAGTGCCAACGCCAGTACTCTTCTGAACCCACTCAGTTCACTCTGCTCTCTGGACCCCAGTCCCCAGCCTCTAACCCCCACCTCTTCTCACCTTTCCATTTCCTAACCCCAGTTGAGCCCCTCTGACCTCCAATCCCACCCCTTCCAAACCCCTAGCCCTGCCTTCTCTATCCCTTCTAAGGTATTCACAGAGTACCCCACATCTCCTCCCCACCCCCCAACTCCCAACCCCACCCCAGTTCCACAATCCTTGGCCCTCTGGCACCTACCCTTCTCTCTCTCTCCCCAGCCCCTCCCTGCCACCCCAGTCCCATACCCCACTTCGCCCCCATTCCTCCAGTCTGCACCCTCTGCACCCCAGCTTACCTTCCCTACCCCCTCTACTCCACCCTAACCTCTTGGCCTCTCTGACTCCCTTTTCAGGTTCCCATTGATGAATAATTAAGCTTATGTCAAGTAAATATGTTTTAACTCAATCACACCTACTTCAAAAAAGAGCCGAGAAATGTATTTTTTTTTAACTAGTCGACTATGAAGGGAGAAGTACAAAGGTACCAAGCAAGGGTGAAAGCATTACAGTTGGATAAGGAACAGAGTGTGTGTGTGTGTGTGTGTGTGTGTGTGTGTTGGACCACTATTCTGGATTTGGTTGGCAGGGAAGAGGATACTACAGCAGAAGTGGCCTTGTTGAACCTTGAACTTGCCAGGCAAGTTGCTCACCTTAGGGCCTTTGCACTTGCTGTTCCCACAGCTTAGCACACTCTTCCTCCAGGAATCCACACGGCTCCCCGGCTCACGCCAGTTCCCCACTCTGTTTTCTTTTGGGAAACCACTTCTCTGTCCTCTTCATCTATTTAATTTGAATAGGGCTTGGCCACTGCTCTGCCTTCACCAGCTCCAGGGATGGACATAGGATCCAAACCTGGCTAATCAGTTGAGTCTGCTTCCCTGGCCACAGTGATTGGTTCAGGGAAGGCATGTTACCTAATTTAGCCCAATGAGAATCAACCCTGAGACATTTGCTGAAACCATTAGGAAAGAGGATTTTCTATGTCTGCTGGAATTGCTGGGCAGATGGAGCAGATGGGGCTCACACTGCCACAAAGAGAGGAGAGGCTTTATGAGATGAGGTTCAGTGCAAAAGAGATTGTGCAGAAATGAACGATTGTGAAAGGCAGTTTTGACACCAGCACTTGAGTGCCTGGATCCAGCCATACCTGAACTCCAGTTTAATTCTTGGATTTTTCAAATGAAACCCACAATGGGCTTTTTTTTTTTTTTTTTTTTTTTTTTGCTGTTGCTTTTGTCAAATATTGCTTCATTCACTATTGCCTTATTTGCTTTGTGCTTAGATTCGTTTGAATGGATTTTAGATACTTGCACCCAAAAGAATCTTGATAGAGAAATCAGCTTTCAACCCTCAGTGTAGAGGCAGGTGGGATGTTAGAAAAGGAGCAGTCTGAATTATAAAGGGGGGCCGGCCATGGTGGCTCACGACTGTAATCCCAGCACTTTGGGAGGCTGAGGCGGGCAGATCACCTGAGGTCAGGAGTTCAAGACCAGCCTGGCCAACATGGTGAAACCCCATCTCTACTAAAAATACAAAAATTAGCCGGGTGTGGTGGCACACCCTTGTAATCCCAGCTACTCGGGAGGCTGAGGCAGGAGAATCGCTTGAACCCAGGAGGCAGAGGTTGCAGTGAGCCAAGATCATGCCATTGCACTCCAGCCTGAGTGACAGAGTAAGACTCTGTCTCTAAATAAATAAATAAATAAATAAATAGTAGAAGGGGCTGCAGAGGAAGCATTGTTCTTAGAGCTTCTTAGGGTTTAGGTAAGGACATGGGGTAGAAGAGATGTTCAAGGGAGAAACTGAGGAAGGGGAGTGGTTGTTAACAAGACAACGAGAGTTCCAGTGGGTGTGTTGGAAGAGTTTGGAGGGGGCAGTAGTTGGATGATAGATTCAGTGGAAGAACTCATTGATTTTGGTATGAGGGAGTCACAGCAGAGAGCCAATCGGAGGGATTTACAGTGCCCAAGAAAAGCTGGCACTATTTCAACAAACATTAAAATAGAACTAACACTTTACACACAGAGATGCAACAGGTGTCTCTCTACGATGTAGGTTAGCGTTAAACTTCGCTCAGAGGTTCCCAGCAGCTAAGGCAATAAGGGAAATGTGTCCGTTAAAATGATTTCCAACTTTTGCTAAAGGATATGTTCTTGTTTGAAGAGACAAGTTTTGTACCTGGAACTGAAGTTAAGTGGGAATTTAAGACCTTTTAATATTAAATTGTAGAGTGGTCTGAACTGCCAGGAACTGTGGGAGCTTGGTGGAAGCACCTTACCCACCCTGTCGGGGCTGTCAGAAAGGTTTATTGTGGAAGGGGCATTTGGATGCAGACTTAAGAAGGAATAACAGTGAGGCAAGCAGAGAGAGGGTTGGGGACAGCCGAGTGCAGTGGCTCTCAACTGTAATCTCAATGACTCAGGAGGCTGAAGGGGGAGGATCGTTTGAGGCCAGGAGTTTGAGACCAGCCTGGGCAACATAGCAAGATCCCATCTCTTAATTTTTATTTTATTTATGTATGTATTTATTTATTTTTTGAGACTGAGTGTTGCTCTTGTCGCCTAGGCTGGAGTTCATTGGTGCGATTTGGCTCACTGCAACCTCTGCCTCCCAGGTTCAAGCAATTCTCCTGCCTTGGCCTCCTTAGTAGCTGGGATTACAGGCATCTGACATCACGCCTGGCTAATTTTTGTATTTTTAGTAGAGATGGGGTTTCACCATGTTGGCCAAAATGGTCTCAAAATCCAGACCTCAGGTGATCCGCCCATCTCAACCTCCCAAAGAGCTGGGATTAGAGGCATGAGCCACTGCACCCGGCCTCTATCTCTTTTTTTTTTTTTTTTTTTTTTTTTTTGAGACGGAGTCTCGCTCTGTCGCCCAGGCTGGACTGCGGACTGCAGTGGCGAAATCTCGGCTCACTGCAAGCTCCGCTTCCCGGGTTCACGCCATTCTCCTGCCTCAGCCTCCCGAGTAGCTGGGACTACAGGCGCCCGCTACCGCGCCCGGCTAATTTTTTGTATTTTTAGTAGAGACGGGGTTTCACCTTGTTAGCCAGGATGGTCTCGATCTCCTGACCTCATGATCCACCTGCCTCGGCCTCCCAAAGTGCTGGGATTACAGGCGTGAGCCACCGCGCCCGGCCCGGCCTCTATCTCTTAATTTTTTTTTTTAACTTTGCCAGGCATGGTGATGTGCACCTATAGTCCCAGTTACTTGGGAGGCTGAGACGGGAGGATTGCTTGAGCCCAGGAGCTGGAGGCTGCAATGAGCTATGATTGTGCCACTGCACTCCAGTCTGGGCAACAGAGTGAGACCTCATCTGTAAAATAAATAAATACATGAATGAGAGGGCTGGGGGAAAAGTATTGTAGGCAAAGGGAAGATAATACAACAGTTTGGAGGCAAAAGAGAGCTTGGCACATTGAGGGAACTGACAGGTAGACAGTGGTTGCAGCCTGGATTATAAAGAGAGGAGATGGGAAGTGATGGTGGAGGGGTGCATCGGGGTGAGATCAAACCAAGTCTGAAAGCCATTAAAGAATCTCGGGCATTCCCCAGGGAGCACTGGGGAGCCATGGCCGAGTTTTGAGCAGGACAGAACACAACATGTGCCTGATAAGGATTCCTCTGGGAGCTGGGTGTGGTAGTTCACACTTGTAATCCCAGGTTTGGGAGGCCAAGGCAGGAGGATTGCTTGAGGCCAGGAGTTTGAGACAAGCCTGAGCAACATAGTGAGAGCCCATCTCTTTAAAAAATTTAAAAATTAGCTGGGCATGGTGGCATGCACCTGTAGTCTCAGCTACTCAGGAGGCTCAGGGAAGAGGATTGATTGAATCCAGGAAGTTGAGGCTGCAGTGAGCTATGATCCTGCCATTTACTCCAGCCTGGGTGACAGAGACCCTGTATTAAAAAACAAAACAAAACGAAACAAAACAAAACAAAATCCTCTGGAAGGTGGATGACAGGGAGTGAGATTAGAGATCAGAGAGCAAGAAGGAGGCTGGGCTGGAGTGGAGACCTGGGTGTAAAGAAGAGATGCCTGGGCCAGGGAAGGGGCCATGGAGATGAAGGAAAGGGGGTGGATTGAAGAGATATTGAGGTTCATCATTAGTAGAATGGATAAGCAAATTGTGGTATGCCCATGCAGTGAATACTATCAGCAACAAAAAAAAAATGAAGTATTGATACACATATATCATGGATGACTCTCAAAAACCTTATGATGAACGAAAGAAGCTAGACACAGTAAAGAATGTATTATGCAATTTCACTTAAATGAAATTCCAGAACAAGTAAGGCTCATGTATAGTGGAAAAAACATCAGGGGAGTGCTTCTTTATCTTGACAGAAGTTTGCGTTATACGGGTATATGAATTTGTCAAAACTCAGTGAATGGCACACTTCAGATTTGCACATCTTGTATGTAAACTTTACTTCAAAATAGAAAATAAAGAATGGTAAACAAATACCGATAGACACTCTGAAGGACTTAGGGGGCAGTGTACTGGTGTCTGCAACTTTCACTGAACTGCATCAAAATTAAGCTGGAGGGATGGATGGATGGATGGATGGATGGATGGATGGATGGATGGATGAATGGATGGAGTAATGGATGGATGGAGAGATGAATGGATGGAGGGATGGATGGAGGGATGGATAAATGGATGGATGGATGGTTGGGTGGATGGATGGTGTGATGGATGGATGGATGGATGGGTGGTGTAATGGATGGAAGGAGAGATGAATGGATGGAGTAATGGATGGATGGATGGAGTAATGGGTGGATGGAAGAATGGAGGGATGGAGGGATGGATGGAGGGATGGATAAATGTATAGAAATATAATTAAGCAAAGACAGTAAAATGTTTAGAGTGGAGTCTAGGTGATTGGGGTAAAGGTGTTCATTGTAAAATCCTTCAACTTTTCTGCATGCCTGCAATTGCTCATAATAAAATGTTGGAAGAAACAAGAAATGTTTAGGAGGCAAGAGGGACATGGTTTGGAGAGTGATTGATTAGTTGGTTGATCATCTGGTTGTGGAGATAAGATTTTTTTTTTTAAGTATCTTCTGCCTTTGGCAAATGGAAGCCTTCATGTTTTTAGGGTGAGTTGGGCTCTTTTCCTGTTACCCTCCTCTTTCCTTTCCCTTGGATCTATTCTTCCAACAATATATGCACCCATTAATCCATTCATTCCTTCCATTTATACCAACAAATATTCACAGAGTGGTGAACATATGCCTGGCACTGTTGTAGGCACTGGGGATACAGCAGTGACCAAGACAGATAGAGATCCCTCACCTGCCCTCATGGAACTTACACTCTAGTTGGGCAGACAGATTATACACAAGAAACATAAGTGAAATATGCAATCCATTAGATTATGCTAAGTGCTCTGCAGAAATGGAACCCAGGGAATAAGGATGGGAGTGATTTATTTTGTGGGGAGGGAGGGGGAGTTGTAATTTTAAATAGTGTGGTCATGGAAGGGCTTATTGAGAAGATGACATTTGAGCAAAGACCTGATCATGAGGTGGGAGCTATATAGAGTTCTGGGGGAAGAGCCTTCTGAGCTGGGAGAACAGCAAGTGCAAAGGCCCTGAGGTGGGACTTGCTTCGTAAGTTTAAGAATCAGCAAGGAGGCCAGTGTGGCTGGAGCAGAGGGGTGGATGGGGAGAGTGGGATAAGAGGTCAGAGAGTCAATGTTGACAGGAAACCGTGGTATTGGCAGATCATGTAGGAAGGATCTTTTAGATTAAGTATAGACTTCGGCTTTTACTCTGAAGGAGATGGGAACATGGGAGGCTTTTAAGCAGGAAAGCAACATCTGAGTTAGGTGTTTTTTGTTTGTTTGTTTGTTTTCTGACAGAGTCTCACTCTGTTGCCCAGGCTGGAGTGCTGTGGTTCAATCTTGGCTCACTGCAACTTCCACCTCCCCGGTTCAAGCAATTCTCCTGTCTCAGCCTCTCGAGTAGCTGGGACTACAGGTGTGCACCATCACACCCAGCTAATTTTTTTGTATTTTTTATAGAGATGGGGTTTTGCCATGTTGGCCAGGCTGGTCTCAAACTCCTGACCTCAAGTGATCCAACTGCCTTGGCCTTGCAAAGTGCTGGGATTACAGGCATGAGCCACTGTGCCCGGCCTGAGTTAGGTTTTAAAGAAGGGAAAAGTCTTCAACTAGGAAAGAGCTGGAACTTCCCTAGTTTACAAACCACCCCAGTGAAAAGATTTGCTTTGCTTACAGATCTGCAATCTGGGCAGGGCTCAGCAGGTATGGCTCATCTTTGCTGCACTTGACACCCCTTGGGGTGGCTTAAAAGGCTGTGGACTGGAATGATCTGAAGCTTTCTCACTCACCTGTCTGGCAGTTGATGCTGCCTATCAGCTGGGACCTCACCTGGGCCCTGTGGCTGGAACTTCTACTTGTGACCTTTCCCTGTGGCTGCTTGGGCTTCCTCATATCATGGCAGCTAGGTCCCAGAGGCCAGTGGTGGGGAAGGGGTAGGGAGAGGGAGGCTGAGAGAGAGAAGGGAAGGGAAGGGAAAGGACAAGAAAAAGCCGTGTCTGCTTTTATGACTTAGCCTTGGAAGTCACACAGGCATATAGTGTCACTTCTGCACCCCCCCAACCCTTTTTTTCCCCTCTGTCAAGGCAATCACAAAGTTCTGCCCAGCTTCAAGAAAAGGAAAATACTCTGCCTTTTGATGGGAGGGGCAAGCTACCACAAGGGAGAGCATGTGAGACTCAAAATATTACTGTGACCATTTCCAGGAAATGTCAACTGCCACACTCTTCATAGCACCGTATCTAGCTATGAAGCACAATATCTAGCTAGGTCCCATAGCCCCTGGGACCTAGCTGCCATGATGTGAGGAAGCCCAAGGAGCCACATGGAAAGGTGATAAGTAGATGTTCCAGCCGCAGGTGCCAGGTGAGCTCCACCTATGAGTGGCAGCCTGGAGGTGGAGTCATAGGCCTTGGGATACTGGGGAATAAATGCTTGTCTTATTGACAGGGAAAGAGGGTTCAGCAACAAAAACTCAGACCTGTGCATGAACCCAGTTCTGATAAGCCAGTGTTGCTGGCCATGGTCTCCTGCACATCTTCATGGATATTCTACTTACCATCAGGTCTGGTTATCTTTATTGGGTATGACTCACATCCTATTGGCCACAGGAAGTCACATGACCAACCCTGACCTCAGTGGGTCAGGGAATGTATTTGACATACTCAAGAAGACATGTAAAGTCACATGGTACAGTCATGGATGTATAATTCTATAACAAGTAGGAAGGGTGAGTTCACTTCTGTTGACTCATCCTCCCTACTGCTCAAGGCTGGGGAGAATTGCTCCTGACCTATTCATAGCTACCTCTTGTGATCGGATTTTATCTCCAGTCTCCCCTTGCCCAACTCTGACTCCTAACAAGGTCCTTGGATTTAAAAAGTCCAGCTGCCACCCCTGGAACACTGCCAGGGGCAGAAAATCCCTCCAAACCCAAGCCAAGGCCAACCCAGAATCAGGTGATGGAAATAAA
Source organism: Homo sapiens (assembly GCF_000001405.40). Taxonomy (NCBI): domain Eukaryota; kingdom Metazoa; phylum Chordata; class Mammalia; order Primates; family Hominidae; genus Homo; species Homo sapiens. The sequence continues at coordinate 46,289,165 of NC_000019.10, read as the reverse complement.
CAGCACCAGTTCCAAGCATGATGCACAGATCCTGTGCCAAGCGCTGTCCTGAGCCCTTGGCATTCCTGTTCACATTGGAATGTCACAGCAGCCCCATTAAGTGGGCTCCAATGTTTTCCTATAGTGGACTCTGGAGCCAGGCTGCCTGCATTCTAATCCCATCATTTACCAGCTGCAGAACCTTGAACAAATTACTTAACCTCTCTGTGACTCATAGAGTTAGTTCCGTCCGTCCGTCTGTCCGTCCCTCCCTCCCTCCCTCCCTCCCTTCCTCTCCTTCTCTCTCTGTCTCTCTTCCTTCCCTTCCCCTTCCCTTCCTTCCTTCCTCCTTCCTTCATTTCTTTTTTTTTTTTTTTTTTGAGATGGAGTCTCACTCTGTTGCCCAGTCTGGAGTGCAATGGCAATCTCAGCTCACTACAACCTCTGCCTCCCATATTCAAGTAATTCTCGTGCCTCAGCCTCCCGAGTAGCCGGGATTACAGGTGTGCGCCACTATGTCCGGCTAATTTTTGTATTTTTAGTAGAGACGGGGTTTCACCATGTTAGCCAGGCTGGTCTCGAACTCCTGACCTCAGGTGATCTGCCTGCCTTGGCCTCCCAAAGTGCTGGGATTACAGGTGTGAGCCACTGCATCTGGCTTATTTCCTTCTTTTGAGAGAGGATCTTGCTCTGTCGCCCAGGCTGGAGTACTGTAGCATGAACACAGCTCACTGCAGCCTTGACCAGGGCTCAAGTGATCCTCCTGCCTCAGCTTCCTGAGTAGCTGGGACCACAGGCGCAGACCACCACACCCAGCTAATTTTTAAAATTATTTGTAGAGACAGGGTCTTGCCATGTTGCCCAGGCTGGTCTGGACCTCCTGGTCTCAAGCGATCCTCCCATCTCAGCTCCCAGAGTGCTAGGATTACAGGCGTAAGTCATTTCTTTTTCTTTTTTTGGAGACAGAGTTTCGCTCTTGTTACCCAGGCTGGAGTGCAGTGCTGTGATCTCGGCTTACTGCAACCTCTGCCTCCTGGGTTCAAGCGATTCTCCTGCCTCAACCTCCCGAGTAGCTGGGATTACAGGCATGCCCCACCATGCCCCGCTAATTTTGTATTTTTAGTAGAGATGGGGTTTCTCCATGTTGGTCAGGCTGGTCTCGAACTCCCAACCTCAGGCGATCCGCCTGCCTCGGCCTCACCAAAGTGCTGGGATCACAGGCGTGAGCCACCGCATCTGACCGAGTCATTTCTGAAAAGTTCATTTGATTAAAAAACAAAACAAAACAAAACAAAAACGCCCTCATGGTAGCTTGAATTATTGTTTCCAAATCTCCACTTCCTCCTTGTTATAGAATTATACATCCATGACTGTACCATGTGACTTTACAGGTCCTCTTGAGTATGTCAAATACATTCCCTGACTCACTGATGTCAGGCTTGGTCATGTGACTTCCTGTGGCCAATAGGATGTGAGTCTCACACAATAAAGACGAGACCTGATGTGTCTGCTGGTGGAAGGATGCAGACCTAGGAAGTATTTTCACCAAAATAATTGAACCTGAAATTATTCGGCTTCCACGTGTAACTACTGGTGTACAGGAAAGGCAGGGAACAGAGGAATATGTTAAACAATGCCATAAAGAAGAATCGATCATATATAGACTGGGGTAGACTATCACGGGTGCCCAAACTTTTGTCTTCCCTGGGCCACATTGGAAGCAGAAGAATTGTCTTGGATCTCACATAAAATACCCTAATGATAGGTGATCGCTTAAAAAAAAAAGGTCCATGGCTGGGCGTGGTGGCTCATGCCTGTAATCCCAGCATTTTGGGAGGCTGAGGCGGGCAGATCACCTGAGGTCAGGAGATGGAGACCATCTTGGCCAACATGGTGAAACCCTGTCTCTACTAAAATACAAAAAATTAGCCAGGCATGGTGGCGTGCACCTGTAGTCCCAGCTACTCGGGAGGTTGAGGGTTGAGGCAGGGGAATTGCTTGAACCCAGGAGATGGAGGTTGCATTGAGCTGAGATCACGGCACTGCACTTCAGCCTGGCGACAGAGCAAGACTCTGTCTCAAAAGGTCTGTGTATAATTTTCGTGATATCTACTACCACAGATAAGCAAAAAAGGAGGTGGTTGTATCACTTGAGACCAAGAGTTTGAGACCAGCCTGGCCAAGATGGAGAAACCCCGTCTCTACCAAAAATGCAAAAATTAGCTGGGTGTGGTGGCGCACGCCTGTGGTGGCAGCTACTCAGGAGGCTGAGCCAGGAGAGTCGCTTGAACCTGGGAGGCGGAGGTTGCAGTGAGCCAAGATCATGCCATTGCACTCCAGCCTGGGCCACAGAGTGAGACCCTGTCTCAAAAAACAGACAAATAAAAAAAAGATAAGCAGAAGAGTCAGTCCATTTAAAGGGTTGGACACCCATGCTAGACCATGCTGTCCAACAGAACTTTCTATGATGATGGAAATGATCTGTATCTAAATTGTTCATGTGGCTACTGAGCACCTGTAATGTGGTGAGTGTGACTGAGGAACTGAATTTTTTATTTTTTCAGGTAGCTCTTTAATATTATCATTTCGAGACAGCATCTCACTCTGTTGCCCAGGCTGGAGTGCAGTGGTGTGATCATGGCTCACTGCAGCCTTCACTGCCCAGGCTCAGGTGATTTTCCCACCTCAGCCTCCCACGTAGGTAGGACTACAGGTGCATGCCACAGGGCCTGGCTAATTTTTTAATTTTTATTTTGTAGAGATGGGGTCTCGCTGTGTTGTCCAGGATGGTCTTCAAATCCTGGCCTCCCACCTTGGTTTTCCAAAGCATTGGGATAACTGGCATGTGCCACCTCACCCAGCCCTGACACAGAACTTCTGAGCTTCGTTGGGTTTAAAGTTTCTCTCTTTTCTCCTCTGTTTTTTTTTTTTTTTTTTTTTTTCAGACGGAGTCTCACTGTATCGCCCAGGCTGGAGTGCAGTGGCGCGATCTTGGCTCACTGCAAGCTCCGCCTCCCGGGTTCACACCATTCTCCTGCCTCAGCCTCCCAAGTAGCTGGGACTACAGGCACCCACCACCATGCCCGGCTAATTTTTTGTATTTTTAGCAGAGACGGGGTTTCACCGTGTTAGCCAGGATGGTCTCAATCTCCTGACCTCGTGATCTGCCCGCCTCGGCCTCCCAAAGTGCTGGGACCACAGGCGTGAGCCACCGCGCCCGGCCTCCTCTGTTTTGATGATGAAAGGCTGTCTTACTTTCTTGTAGCTTGCTGAGCGCCTGCACTGGAAGGAGTTTGGTGGTGTGTCCCAGGAATCCAGGAATTGGGAGAGAGGGTTGTCCCATCATAACGAGGATGGGGCAGTGATTAAGAACATTAGTTTTTGAGTTTGAGAGACCTGGGTCAAATCCAGGCTCTGTCACTTACGTGGCATATGGCTTTGGGAAAGCTACATCCTGTCTTTATGACTCAGTTTTTCCCATCTGTATAGTGGGATCATTAGTTCTTACCCATAGAGACTGTGGTATGGATTAATTAGATCAGGCATGTGAGTGCTTATCACAGTGCCTGGCCCTCGTCTGTTCAAAGTATTTGTTGCCATTTATTCATTCATTCAAGCATTTAATTTTTTTATTAGATAGAGAAGATATCTCAGTATGTTGCCCAGGCTAGTCTCAAACTCCCAGACTTAAGTAATCTTCCCACCTTGGCCTCCCAAAGTGCTGGGATTACAGGTGTGAGACACTGCACACAGCCTCATTCTAGCATTTATTTATTTTTTTAGAGATGAAGTTTTGCTCTTGTTGCCCAGGTTGGAGTGCAATGGCCCTATCTCAGCTCATTGCAACCTCTGCCTCCCAGCTTCAAGGGATTCTCCTGCCTCAGCCTCCTGAGTAGCTGGGATTACAGGTGCCCGTCACCACGCCTGGCTAATTTTTGTATTTTTAGTAGACACGGGGTTTCACCATGTTGGCGAGGCTGGTCTCCAACTCCTGACCTCATGTGATCCACCCACCTCAGCCTTCCAAAATGCTGTGATTACAGGCATGAGCCACCAAGCCTGGCCCTCATTCAAGCGTTTATGATGCGTCTGTTCTCTGCCAGATACCGGGACACAACTTAATCAGAATGGCCTCAGCCCATCGAGGGGCTCCAGCCTGGAGGGTGGATGTATGGGGCTCAGATGGACACTTTCACACCGAGTGTAGATGCGTGTGCCCACATCTATATATGCCCATGCATGTGTCAATGGCACACAGGCAGGTGTCATGTCACTAGCTGCCATCAACACACAAGTCAGTATCCACCCATGTGAATTCTGACAACTACATGTGTCAGTACATGCCATCGTGTTAAGATCTGTGTCTTAGCCTTAGGCGTGCCTTGATAGTAGCATGGTTACCGATGACGGCACGTGGACGCATGTTGGTGCCGATAGTGACTGATACTGACACCTGTACACACTGGGGTTCTTTAAAGAAGAGCAGCTGCCTTTAATAAAATGTGAGTGCTGGGCTGGGTGTGGGCTCATGCCTGTAATCCCAGCACTTTGGGAGGCCGCAGCAGGTGGATCACAAGGTCAGGAGTTTGAGACCAGCCTGGCCAACATGGCGAAACCCTGTCTCTACTAAAAATACAAAAATTAGCCAGGGGTGGTGGTGTACACCTGTAATCCCTGCTACTTAGGAGGCTGAGGCAGGAGAATCACTTGAACCCGGGAGGCGGAGGCTGCAGTGAGCTGAGATCATGCCACTGCACTCCAGCCTGGGTGACAAGAGCAAAGAGCAAGACTCCGTCTCAAAAAACAGACAAACAAACAAACCTTGAATGCTGAACTCATGTTTATGGTCATCACATGCATGTACGCAAAGGTCTCGTATATGTCACGGTTCCCTGTGCAGATGCTGATGTCTACTTGATGCTGATGCAGGTGACTGCCCTGGACAGCGGTGTGACGGAGACTGTGGCCCTAGTCCCCTGCTGGTGGCCTCAGCGTCTCCCAGGAGGAGAAACTCTCTACAGACTCTGGGTGGCCAAGGGGCCCCTCCCAGGCCCTGCACCCTCACCTCTCCTGCAGGCACCTTTTTTAGGGCTCAGTGAGTAGCTCTTGGAAGCTGGGAGGTATTTGCAAACTTATGGAGCTTCCGGTAATTAGTGGCTGAAGCCAGGGACTCCAGGCATTGTGCGATGCACGCATAGCTCTGGCAAGGAGGGGTTTCCTGTATCCTGTTCAAGTCCTCTTGTACAGGAAGAATCTGTTAACAATCATGGCAGGCCATCTTAGATAGAAACAACAAGAACATTGCACCTTTTTTTTTTCCACTCTGTTGCTCAGGCTGGAGTGCAGTGGTGTGATCATGGCTCACTGCAGCCTCAAATTCCGGGGCTCAAGCAATCCTCCTGCCTCAGCCTCCAGAGTAGCTGGGGCCACAGACGCATGCCATCACACCAGGCTAATTTTTAAATTGTTTTTTTGTAAAGATGGGTTCTCACTATGTTGCCAAGGCTGGACTTAAAATTCTAGGCTCTGACTGGGCCTGATGGCTCATACCTGTCATCCCAGCACTTTGAGAGGGCGAAACAGGTGGATCGCTTGAGCCCAGGAGTTGGAGACCAGACTGCGCAACACGGCAAAACCCTGTCTCTACAAAAAATACAAAAATCAGCTGATAGGAAACAAGCATAAGAAGAAGAAGAAGAAAAAAAAATTAGCCAGGCATGGTGGTGCATGCCTGTAGTCCCAGCTACTCGAGAGGCTGAGGCCAGAGAATTGCTTGAACCTGGGAGGTGGAGATTGCAGTGAGCTGAGATCATGCCACTTTACTCCAGCCTGGTGACAGAGTGAGACTCTGTCTCAAAATAAATAAATAAATAAAATAGGCCGGGCGTGGTGACCCACACCTGTCATCTCAGCACTTTGGGAGGCCGAGGGGGGCAGATCACAAGGTCAGGAGTTTGAGACCAGACTGACCAACATAGTGAAACCCCATCTCTACTAAAAATACAAAAAATTAGCCTGGCGTGGTGCTGCGCTCCTGTAGTCTGCACCTGTAGTTCTCAAATAAATAAATAGAAATAAATAAATCACCTTTTCTGCTGTCTTAAGGAAAGAAAATAAACAAAGCTACTAGGTTTAAGCAACCCTCCTGCCTCAGCCTTCCAAATGCTGGGATTACCAGGTGTGAGCTACTGTGCCTGGCTGCAGCATTTTATTTTATTTTATTTTACTTTATTTGATTTTATTTAGATTAGAGATGGAGTCTTGCTCTGTTGCCCAGGCTGGAGTGCAGTGGCGCGATATGGGCTCACTGCAACCTCTGCCTCCTGGGTTCCAGTGATTGTTGTGCCTCAGCCTCCTCAGTAGCCGGGATTACAGGCGCCCGCCACCATGCCCGGCTAATTTTTTTTTTTTTTTAAGTAGAGATGGGGTTTCACCATGTTGGCCAGGCTGGTCTCGAACTCCTGACCCCAAGTGATCCGCCTGCCTCGGCCTCCCAAAATGCCGGGATTACAGGCGTGAGCCACTGCGCCTGGCCTGTAGCATTTTAACTCACTCTGACTTTTCTGGGAAAGCAACTGTTACACATGGATCAAAGGAACGTAGCACCCTCTTTCGGGCAGAAGCTGATATTGGGAAAGTTCTCCACTTCAGAGAATTGTATGGCCCACGTCTACCCCTCTCATGGTATTTGAATCTCAGATGATCTATGCTGATCACTCAGCCTTGGCTTCTGCCGTAGTCTACATAGACATAGGAACGCTCTTATTTAGTTCTTATTTCAAAATGTTGACTCTAAAGAAAAACAGACTTTTGACTGAATATTGTCTTATTCACCTTAAATACAAACTTTTAATTCATCAAAAGAAGGGATATCTGACTCTGTATGTCTGTGAGCAGAATTGCATTCAAGCTTTGACCTGGCAGGACACCTCTTATCTATGAGAAATGAGAGGCTCACCCTTCATCAGCCACAATTCCGGCCAGGTGTGATGGCTCACGCTTGTAATCCCAGCACTATGGGAGGCTAAGGTGGGTGAATCAACTGAAGTTGGGAGTTTGAGACCAGCCTGGCCAACGTGGTGAAACCCTGTCTCTACTAATAATATGACATTTAGCCGGGTACGGTGGTGCGTGCCTGTAGTCTCAGCTACTCAGGAGGCTGAGGCAAGAGAATCGCTTGAGCCTGGGAGGTGGAGGTTGCAGTGAGCCAAGATCACGCCACTGCACTCCAGGCTGGGCGACAGAGCGAGACTCCGTCTTAACAAAACAAAACAAACACCCCCCCATCCACACACAATTCCAACTTCCAAATAACTCTGAAAAGGTAGAGATTGTTGTATAACTTATTTGGTGGCAAAACTTGACCTGAACTAACACAAGGCTATTTTGGCAATCTTCTATATTTACTCCACGTTTCTGTGAATAGCCCTCATTTCATTGCATAAATGTTGATGTGTTTGATTCCAGGAACTATCCTGAACCCAGTTGGGGCGTTACATTATATGTGCCATAGACATGTGGTACTTTTTTTTTTTTTTTTTTTAATGGAGTCTCACTCTCTCGCCCAGGCTGGAGTGCAGTGGCGCAGTGTGATCATGGCTCATTGCAGCCTCAACCTCCTGGGTCAAGTGATCCTCTTACCTCAGCCTCCTCCGTAGCTGGGACTACAGGTGCACGCCACGACGTCCAGCTAATTTTTAAAATTGTTTGTAGACACAGGGTCTTGCTCTGTTACCCAGCCTGGTCTCCAACTCCTGAGCTCAAGCAATCTTCCCACTTCAGCGTCCCAAAGTGGTGGGATTACAGGTGTGAGCCACTGTGCCCGGCCGATATGTCACTTAAAAAATCCAAACATGACTGGGGGCGGTGGCTCACACCTGTAATCCCAGCACTTTGGGACACTAAAGTGGAAAGACTGCTTGAGGCCAAGGGTTCAGGACCAGCCTGGGCAACATAGTGAGACCCCCATCTCTATCAAGGATGAAAAAATTAGCCGGTGTGGTGGCCTACACAGCATAGTCCAGCTGCTCGGGAGGCTGAGGTGGGAGGATCGTTTGAGTCCAGGAGTTTGAGGCTGCAGTGAGCCACAATTGCACCACTGCACTCCAGTTTGAGCAACAGAGTGTGGACCTGCCTCAAAATAATACTAATAATAGTAATCATAATAATAAAATTAAGGAGTTCTGAGACCATCATTTGGGAGCTGCTGGCAGCTAAGCCCTAACTAAGCCTGACACGCCCTCTCGTGGCAGAAATTAGGATGACTCTGATACTATACTTACATATGAGGGTCACATTGGCTACATATTTTAGTAGCCTGATTTCTTTTTCTTTCTCCTTTTTTTTTTTTGAGACGGAGTCTCGCTCTGTTGCCCAGGCTGGAGTGCAGTGGCGCGATCTTGGCTCACGGCAGCCTCTGCCTCCCAGTTTCAAGTGATTCTCCTGCCTCAGTCTCCAAAGTAGCTGGGACTACAGGCGGGTGCCACCACACCCAGCAAATTTTTTTTTTTTTTTGAGACAGAGGTTCGTTCTTTGTTGCCCAGGCTGGAGTGCAATGATGCCATCTCGGCTCACCGCAACCTCCGCCTCCTGGGTTCAAGTGATTCTCCTGCCTCAACCTCCCGAATAGCTGGGATTACAGACATGCGCCACCATGCCCGGCTAATTTTGTATTTTTAATGGAGACGGGGTTTCTCCATGTTGGTCAGGCTGGTCTCGAACTCCTGACCTCAAGTGATCCGCCCACCTTGGCCTCCCAAAGTGCTGAGATTACAGGTGTGAGCCACCACACCCAGCACCAGTAGCTAGATTTTACATACTAATATCTCCAATTCATTGAAAGATTATGTGCCAGAAACTGTTTTAAACATTTCACATCACATAATTTAAAGTTCTTTTAGACAAGGTCTCACTCTGTCTCCCAGGATGGAGGGCAGTGATGCAATTTCGGCTCACTGCAGCCTTGATCTCCTGGGCTCAAACAATCCTCCTGCCTCAGCCTCCTGAGTAGCTGGGACCACAGGCATATGCCACCACACCTGGCTAATTTTTACTTTGTCTTTTTGTAGAGACAGGGTCTCACTATGTTGCCCAGGCTGGTCTCGAACTCCTGGGCTCAAGTGATACTCTTGCCTCAGCCTACCAAAGTGCTACAGGTGTGAGCTACTGCACCTGGCCTGGCCTTTATGGTTTTAACCCGGGTTTCCGTTATCCTCAATATGATTACTTATTGGATCAATCTCTTGGATCAGCTTGGCTCCTACAGGGAGCAGATGCTGAGAGAAAGGTGGGAGTTGTCTCAGTTCTTCTCATGAGATGTATTTATTTATTTATTTTGACACGGAGTCTAGCTCCAGGCTGAGTGCAGTGGCATGATCTCAGCTCACTGCAACCTCTGTCTCCTGGGTTCAAGCGATTTTCCTGCCTGAGCATCCCGAGCGGCTGGGATTACAGGTGCGTGCCACCACGCCTGGATAATTTTTGTATTTTTAGTAGCGACGGGGCTTTGCCATGTTGGCCAGGCTGGTCTCGAACTCCTGACCTCAGGAGTGATCCACCCACCTCGGCCTCCCAAAGTGCTGGGATTACAGACATAAGCCACTGCACCCGGCCTTTATGAGATTTAATCTTCTGGAAGTGACTGAGTGACAACATGAAGTTGATGCCTTTGAAAGAATTGATTACCTACACTTCCTGAGAGACGGGCGCATGCCATGCCATGCAGGGGAAAGCACCAGGTTCGGTCAGCAGGTGGGAGAGAGAGGGAAAGCCTAGGCCAGGGCCTTTATTGCGGTTTCCATGGGAAAGGCAAGGCAGGGAAGGGGAAACAGCTCAGGATTGGCCGCTTTGAATGATGTCAGAGACTCAAGAATGCGCGGCTGGTCTTCAGTGGTCCAGTACCTGGCCCTGAGTGATTCAGGCAGATTGATGTGTGAGGGTCAGATAGAGGAGGTGGCTGGGGTATGAACTGGGGATGGAATGGAGGGTTTGTAATATGATTTTTGTATGCCTGTAAAGGATTTCGGGGGAGATGTTAACCACTTTGGCTGTGTAGGGGCAAAGAGGGAACACATCCTCAGTCACCCTCTGAAGGTTCACTGAAAATGAAGTGACAAAAGGCAGACTAGTAGAAGAAGGCAGCATATAAATGTATTTTTAACATGCATTGCCCAGGGGACTCACAGGAGACTGATTACCCAATAACCCAATGGGGTACAGATACTTCTTAGCCTTTTTCATAGGGGAAGGGGACATGGGGGAAATATGGCAATTTGCGTGATATTCAGTGATTTTTAGGGGGAAATGAATGGCCCTAATGCTCAGACAATGGTTAGTGTCAGGCCTCTGAGCCCAAGCTAAGCCATCATATCCCCTGTGACCTGCACGTACACATCCAGATGGCGGGTTCCTGCCTTAACTGATGACATTCCACCACAAAAGAAGTGAAAATGGCCTGTTTCTGCCTTAACTGATGACATTATCTTGGGAAATTCCTTCTCTTGGCTCATCCTGGCTCAAAAGCTCCCCTACTGAGCACCTTGTGACCCCCACCCCTGCCAGCCAGAGAACAACCTCCCCCTTTGACTGTAATTTTCCTTTACATACCCAAATCTTGTAAAACGGCCCCACCCCTATCTCCGTTCCCTGACTCTCTTTTCCGACTCAGCCCGCCTGCACCCAGGTGAAGTAAACAGCCCTGTTGCTCACACAAAGCCTGTTTGGTGGTCTCTTCACACGGACGCGAGTGAAATATTTTGGTGCCATGACTCCGATCGGGGGACCTCCCTTGGGAGATCAATCCCCTGTCCTCCTGCTCTTTGTCCCGCGAGAAAGATCCACCTATGACCTCAGGTCCTCAGACTGACCAGCCCAAGGAACATCTCATCAATTTTAAATCAGGTAAGCGGTCTCTTTTTACTCTCTTCTCCAACCCCTCTCACTATCCCTCAACCTCTTTCTCCTTTCAATCTTGGCTTCACACTTCAATCTCTCCCTTCTCTTAATTTCAGTTCCTTTCCTTTTCTGGTAGAGACAAAGGAGACGCGTTTTATCCGTGAACCCAAAACTCCGGCACCAGTCACAGACTCGGGAAGACAGTCTTCCCTTGGTGTTTAATTGTGTGGGGACGCCTGCCTGATTATTCACCCACATTTCAGAGGTGTCTGACCATGTGGGGATGCCTGCCTTGGTCCTTCACCCTTAGCAGCAAGTACCACTTTTTTGGGGGGCAAGAACCCCCCAACCCCTTCTCTCCATGTCTCTACCCCTTCTCCACTTTCCTGGGGGGTAATCACCCCCCACCCCTTCTGTGTCTCTACTCTCTCTTTTCTCTGGGCTTGCCTCCTTCACTATGGGCTACCTTCCACCCTCCATTCCTCCCTCTTCTCCCTGAGCCTGTGTTCTCAAAAACTTAAAACCTCTTCAACTCACACCTGACCTAAAACCTAAACCCCTTGTTTTCTTCTGCAACACCACTTGGCCCCAATACCAACTTGACAATGGCTCTAAATGGCCAGAAAACAGCACTTTCGATTTTTCCATCCTACAAGATCTAAATAATTCTTGCCGTAAAATGGGCAAACGGTCTGAGGTGCCTGATGTCCAGGCATTCTTTTACACATCGGTCCCTCCCTAGTCTCTGTTCCCAATGCAACTCGTCCTAAATCTTCCTTCTTTCCCTGCTGCCTGTCCCTCAGTCCCAACCCCAAGCATTGCTGAGTCTTTCCTCTTTCCAATCTTCCTTTTCTACAGACCCATCTGACCTCTCCCCTTCTCCCCAAGGCTGCTCCTCACCAGGCTGAGCTAGGTCCCAATTCTTCCTCAGCCTCTGCTCCCCTACCCTACAATCCTTTTATCACCTCCCCTCCTCACACCTGGTCCGGCTTACAGTTTTGTTCTGTGACTAGCCCTCCCCCACCTGCCCAGCAATTTCCTCTTAAAAAGGTGGCTGGAGCTAAAGGCATAGTCCAGGTTAATGTTCCTTTTTCTTTATCCCAAATTGGATAGCGTTTAGGCTCTTTTTCATGAAATATAAAAACCCAGCCCAGTTCATGGCTCGTTTGACAGCAACCCTGAGATGCTTTACAGCCCTAGACCCTAGAAGGTCAAGAGGCCGTCTTATTCTCAATATACATTTTATTACCCAGTCTGCTCCTGACATTAAATAAAACTCCAAAAATTAAATTCCGGCCCTCAAACCCCGCAACAGGACTTAATTAGCCTCGCCTTCAATGTGTACAATAATAAAGTATAGGCAGCTAAGTAACAATATATTTCTGAGTTGCAATTCCTTACCTCCACTGTGAGAGAAACCCCAGCCACATCTCCAGCACGCAAGAACTCCAAATGCCTGAACCGCAGCAGCCAGGGGTTCCTCCAGAACCTCCTCCCCCAGGAACTTGCTACAAGTGCTGGAAATTTGGCCACTGGGCAAAGGAATGCCCACAGCCTGGGATTCCTCCCAAGCTCTGTTCCATCTGTGTGGGACCCCACTGAAAATCGGACTGTTCAACTCACCTGGCAGCCACTTCCAGAGCCCCTAGAACTCTGGCCCAAGGATCTCTGACTGACTCCTTCCCAGATCTTCTCGGCTTAGCAGCTGAAGACTGACACTGCCCGATCATCTCAGAAGCCTCCTGGACCGTCACAGATGCTCTAGGTAACTCTCACAGTGCACCGTAAGTCCGTCCCCTTCTTAATCAATACAGAGGCCACCCACTCCACATTACCTTCTTTCCAAGGGCCTGTTTCCCTTGCTTCCATAACTGTTGTGGGTATTGACAGCCAGGCTTCTAAACCTCTTAAAACTCCCCAACTCTGGTGCCAACTTAGACGATACTCTTTAAAGCACTCCTTTTAGTTATCTCCACCTGCCCAGTTCCCTTATTAGGCCGAGACACTTTAACTAAATTATCTGCTTCCCTGACTATTCCTGGGCTACAGCCACACCTCATTGCTGCCCTTTTCCCCAGTTCAAAGCCTCCTTCACATCCTCCCCTTGTATCCCCCCACCTTAACCCACAAGTATAGGACACCTCTCCTCCCTCCTTAGCGACCCATCATGCACCCCTTACCATCCCATTAAAACCTAATCACCCTTACCCCACTTAATGCCAATATCCCATCCCACAGCACGCTTTGAAAGGATTAAAGCCTGTTATCACTCTCCTGCTACAGCATGGCCTTTTAAAGCCTATAAACTCCCCTTACAATTCCCCCATTTCACCTGTCCTAAAACCAGACAAGGCTTACAGGTTAGTTCAGGATCTGTGCTTTATCAACCAAATTGTTTTGCCTATCCACCCCATGGTGCCAAACCCATATACTCTCCTATCCTCAATACCTCCCTCCACAACCCATTATTCTGGATCTCAAACATGCTTTCTTTACTCTTCCTTTGCACCCTTCATCCCAGCCTCTCTTCGCTTTCACTTGGACTGACCCTGACACCCATCAGGCTCAGCAAATTACCTGGGCTGTACTGCCGCAAGGCTTCACAGACAGCCCCCATTACTTCAGTTAAGCCCAAATTTCTTCCTCATCTGTTACCTATCTTGGCATAATTCTCATAAAAACACCCATGCTCTCCCTGCCAATCGTGTCCGACTGATCTCTCAAACCCCAACACCTTCTACAAAACAACTCCTTTCCTTCCTAGGCATGGTTGGATACTTTTGACTTTAGATACCTGGTTTTGCCATCCTAACAAAACCATTATATAAACTCACAAAAGGAAACCTAGCTGACCCCATAGATCCTAAATCCTTTCCCCACTCCTCTTTCCGTTCCTTGAAGACAGCTTTAGAGACTGCTCCTACCCTAGCTCTCCCTGACTCATCCCAACCCTTTTCATTACACACAGCCGAAGTACAGGGCTGTGCAGTCGGAATTCTTACACGAGAATTGGGACCGCGTCCTGTACCCTTTTTATCCAAACAACTTGACCTTACTGTTTTGCCTAGCCCTCATGTCTGCATGTGGCGGCCACTGCCACCCTAATACTTTTAGAGACCCTCAAAATCACAAACTCTGCTCATCTCACTCTCTATGGTTCTCATAATTTCCAAAATCTATTTTCTTCCTCACACCTGACACATATACTTTCTGCTCCCCGGCTCCTTCAGCTGTACTCACTCTTTGTTGAGTCTCCCACAATTACCGTTGTTCCTGGCCCGGACTTCAATCCGGCCTCCCACATTATTCCTGATACCACACCTGACCCCCATGACTGCATCTCTCTGATCCACCTGACATTCACCCCATTTCCCCATATTTCTTCTTTCCTGTTCCTCACCCTGGTCACACTTGGTTTATTGATGGCAGTTCCACCAGGCCTAATCGCCACACACCGGCAAAGGCAGGCTATGCTATAGTACAAGCCACTAGCCTGCCTCTTAGAACCTCTCATTTCCTTTCCATCGTGGAAATCTATCCTCAAGGAAATCACTTCTCAGTGTTCCATCTGCTGTTCTACTACTCCTCAGGGATTATTCAGGCCCCCTCCCTTCCCTACACATCAAGCTTGAGGATTTGCCCCCACCCAGGACTGGCAAATTAGCTTTACTCAACATGCCCCGAGTCAGGAAACTAAAATACGTCTTGGTCTGGGTAGACACTTTCACTGGATGGGTAGATGCCTTTACCACAGGGTCTGAGAAGGCCACCACGGTCATTTCTTCCCTTCTGTCAGACATAATTCCTTGGTTTGGCCTTCCCACCTCTATACAGTCCTATAACAGACCGGCCTTTATTAGTCAAATCACCCAAGGAGTTTCTCAGGCTCTTAGTATTCAGTGAACTGATGGTCTTTTAAAAACACACCTCACCAAACTCAGTCACCAACTTAAAAAGGACTGGACAGTACTTTTATCACTTTCCCTTCTCAGAATTCGGGCCTGTCTTCGAAATGCTGCAGGTTACAGCCCATTTGAACTCCTGTATGGACAATCCTTTTTATTAGGCCCCAGTCTCATTCCAGACACCAGACCAACTTGGACTGCGCCCCAAAAAACTTGTCATCCTTACTATCTTCTGTCTAGTCAACTCCTACTCACCGTTCTCAACTACTCATAAATGCCCTGCTCTTGTTTACACTGCTGGTTTACACTGTTTCTCCAAACCATCGCAGCGGATATCTCCTGGTGCTATCCCCAAACTGCCACTCTTAACTCCCTCTTAAAGTAAACAAATAATCTTTGCTGGCAGGGCTATGCTGAACCTCCTTAGGCACTCTCTAATTGGATGTCCTAGGTCCTCCCAATTCTTAGTCCTTTAATACCTGTTTTTCTCCTTGTCTTATTCCGTTCTTTTTTCAATTCATACAAAACCGTACCCAGGCCATCACCAATAATTCTATATGACAAATGTTTCTTCTAACAACCCCACAATATCAACTGTTACCACAAAAATCTTCCTTCAGCTTAATCTCTCCCACTCTAGGTTCCCATGCCACCCCAATCCTGCTCAAAGCAGCCCTGAGAAACATCGCCCATTATCTCTCCATACCACCCCCCAAAATTTTCACTGCCCCAACACTTCAACCCTATTTCGTTTTATTTTTCTTATTAATATAAGAAGACAGAAATGTCATGCCTCTGAGCCCAAGCTAAGCCATCATATCCCCTGTGACCTGCACGTACACATCCAGATGGCCGGTTCCTGCCTTAACTGATGACATTCCACCACAAAAGAAATGAAAATGGCCTGTTCCTGCCTTAACTGATGACATTATCTTGTGAAACTCCTTCTCCTGGCTCATCCTGGCTCAAAAGCTCCCCTATTGAGCACCTTGTGACCCCCAACTCCTGCCAGCCAGAGAACAACCTCCCCCTTTGACTGTAATTTTCCTTTACATACCCAAATCTTATAAAACAGCCCCACTCCTATCTGCATTCGCTGACTCTCTTTTCAGACTCAGCCCGCCTGCACCCAGGTGAAATAAACAGCCTTGTTGCTCACACAAAGCCTGTTTGGTGGTGTCTTCACACGGATGCGAGTGAAAGTTAGTAAATAATTTTCTTTGCCAGTTGAATAAGATGGAGAGCAGACAGTGGTTTGGGATGCAGTTTGCCTGGCTTTCAGTTGTGGTGTTTTATTTTCAGCCTTTTTCTCTGTGATGTAAGTTTTTCTTTCTCTTTTTTTTTTTTTTGAGACAGAGTTTTGTTCTTGTTGCCAAAGCTGGAGTCCAATCTCCAGTGCGATCTCAGCTCACTGCAGCCTCCGCCTCCTGGGTTCAAGTGATTCTCCTGCCTCAGCCTCCCGAGTAGCTGGGACTACAGGCGCATGCCACCACGCCTGGCTAATTTTTGTATTTTTAGTAGACACGGGGTTTCACCATGTTGGCCAGGCTAGTCTTGAACTCCTGACCTCAGGCGATCCACCCACCTCGGCCTTCCAAAGTGTGGGATTACCAGCATGAGCCACCGCACCCGGCCTTGTGATGTGAATTTTAATCTTCTAGGGTTAAGGAAATTTCAGGGAAGGCAACTGTGTTACTCTTTGGCAGGTCCAGTTTCTTGATAGATGAGGGAACTTTCTTCTTCTCCCTCCCCTCCCCTCCCCTCTCCTTCTCTCTTTCTCTCTTTCTTTCTTTCCTTCTTTCTTTCTTTCTCTCTTCTTCCTCTTCCTCTTCTTTTTTTTTGAGACAGGGTCTTGCTCTGTCACCCAGGTTGGAGCTCAGTGGTGCAATCTTGGCTCTATGCAGCCTTGATCTCCCAGGCTCAAGCGATTCTCCAACCTCAGCCTCCCAAGTAGCTGAGACTACAGGTGTGTGCCACTACACCCAACTTATTTTGTTTGTTGTGGAGACAGGGTCTCGCTGTTTCCCAGGCTGGGCTGGTCCTCAACTCCCAGGCTCAAGCGATCCTCCCACCTCAGCCTCCCAAGCAGCTGGGACCACAGGCACACTTGACCACGCCTGGTTAACTTTTAACATTTTTTGTAGAGATAGGGTCTTCCTGTGTTGCCCAGGGTCGTCTCAAACCCTGGGACTCAAATGATCCTCTGGCCTTGGCCTTCCAAAGTGCTGAGATTACAGGCATGGGCCACTGCATGTGGCCTGGTTTATTTTCTTACTTTCCAGATATGTCAGTTTTGCTTGACAGAGAGAAGCTGAGGTGGGCAGAAAAATACTCAGACTATGATTCAGAGCTGAAAGAAAATCTTGGCAAACCTCAAAGGGTGCTTCACAACAAAGATTTTCCACTTGAGGAGTCCTGCGTTTGGAAGAAATGTCCAGGTCATTGGCCAGGAAGTGCACGATCTGGTCTCCCAGGCTATGACAGATCCTGAAGGCATTACAGCTAAAGTAAAGCTAACTATGCTCTGTGGCTGACCCGTGGGTGACATGGTTTGGCTCTGTCCCCTCACCCAAATCTCATCTTGAATTGTAATCTCCAGGTGAGGAGGGAGGGACCTGGTGGGAGGGGACTGGATCAAGGGGGCAGTTTCCCCCATGCTGTTCTCATGACAGTGAGTGAGTTCTGATGAGATCTGGTTGTTTCATCAGTGTCTGGGAGTTTCCCCTCCTCACTCTCTCCTGCCACCACGTAAGTAAGATGTGCCTTGCTTCCCACTTCATCTTTCGTCACGATTGTAAGTTTCCTGAGGCCTCCCAGCCATGCAGAACTGTCAGTCAATTAAAACCTCTTTCGTTTATAAATTACCCAGCCTCAGGTAGTATCTTTATAGCGTGTGAGAACAGACTCATACAGTGGGCTTCCTTTCTTTCTTTCTTTCTTTTTTTTTTTTTTTTTTGAGATGGAGTCCTGCTCTGTCCCCCAGGCTGGAGTGCAATGGTGCGATCTCAGCTCACTGCAACCTCTGCCTCCTGGGTTCAAGCGATTCTGTTGCCTCAGCCTCCCGAGTAGCTGGGACTACAGGCGCGTGACACCACACCCGGCTGATTTTTTGTATTTTTAGTAGAGAGGGGGTTTCACCATGTTGGCCAGGATGGTTTCGATCTCCTGACCTTGTGGTCTGACCACCTTGGCCTCCCAAAGTGCTGGGATAACAGGCAGGCGTGAGCCACTGCGCCCGGCCAGTGGGCTTCCTTTCTTACAGGAAGATCTGAGCAGCGTACATCCGTGGTTGCCCATCTCCGAACAGAACCAGTTTCCATTTGTTGCCAAAGCCCTGCAGAGATAAACTCCTCACACTGCCATACAGCACTTAGAAAATCTCTTTCTGTCTCTCTCCCTGAGCCATAGTTTTCTTACGAGACTGACATCTTAAGGTGATTTTGTGATTTAATTAACTAATCCATGGAAATACAGAACTTGAATAGTATTTATTCAATAAAAGAATGCTTTCATGTTATTGCTGTTGTCCTGGTGTAATACCTAACCTTGTTTTAATATGAATAGACTCTCCCTTAGCTGAGAAAACCGGACGGACTCCATTTGGCTCCTTCATTTGCAAGACATCCAGGACTCCTTACCGACCCCCTTCCTCAAGGAGTTAACTCGTGTAAGCTGACTCTCAGCATATCAGAGAGTCCAATTAACTGATAAGGTACTGTGGCAATCAATGTCCGTAGTTCCCAGGAATTCGCTCAGGAGATAGTGCCATAAAGCCCCCGTGTTTGTGTCCGGCAGAGCCCTCACGCCTATCACCTTATGATGAATTTAAAGCCCCTGCACCTGGAATACTTTGTTCTCCTGTAACCATTTGTCTTTTTAATTTTTTATCTGTTTTACTTCTGAAAGATTGTTACAGCTAGATTCCCCCCCTCCCCTCTCTAAACCAACGTATAAAAGAAAATCAAGCCCCTTCTTCGGGGCCGAGAGAATTTCGAGCGTTAGCCGTCTCTCGGTCGCCAGCTAATAAAGGATTCCTGAATTTGTCTCCAAGTGTAGCGTTTCTCTAACTCGCTTGGGTACAAAACTGGTAAATGTTTTCTTGTTGTTTTATCTTGTTGTTGTTGTTTTTGGAGACAGGATCTCTTTCTGCCACCCAGACTGCTGAGCAGTGGCGTGATCATGGCTCACTGAAACTTGGAACTCCCAGGCCCAAGCGATCCTCGCACCTCAGCCTCCCAAGTAGCTGGGACCACATGTGCATGCCATCATTCCTGGCTAATTTATTAAAAAAAAATTTTTTTTTAAAATAGAGATTGGGTCTCCCTCTGTTGCCCAGGCTGGTCCCCAACTCCTGAGCTCAAGTGATCCTCCTGTCTCATATCTAAGAGTCTTTTAATAAATCCTGACAGAAGATGGAAAGCTGAAGACTAATACTTATAAAAACAAGAAGGCCGGGCGCGTCGGCTTATGCCTGTAATCCCAGCACTTTGGGAGGCCGAGGTGGGCAGATCACTTGAGGTCAGGAGTTCGAGACCAGCCTGGGCAACATGGCGAAACCCTGTCTCTACTAAAAATATAAAAATTAGCTGGGTGTGGTGGTGTACTCCCAGCTATTCAGGAGGCTGAGGCAGGAGGATCTCTGGAACCTGGGAGATGGAAGTTGCAGTGAGCCATGATTGTGCCACTGCACTCCAGTCTGGGTTGACAGAGTGAGACTTAGTCTCAAAACAAAACAAAAAAATAAAATACAGTATTCTTAGATACGATACCAAAAACATGAACAACAAAAGAAAAAAATAGATAATTTGCATTTCGTCAGAATTAACACTTGTGCTTCAAGGGATACAGTCAAAAAAGTGAAAATAACACACAGAATGGGAAAACCTATTTGCAAATCATGTATCTCCTAAAGGACTTGTACCTAGAATATAGAAAAAAACTCCTGCACTTCAATAATAAGACTGATAAATCAACTAAAAATGGTCAAAGGATCTGAATTGACATTTCTTCAAGAAAGATATACAAATAGCCAATATGCAATGAAAATATACTTGACATCATTAGTCTCCAAGGAAATGCAAATCAAAACCACAATGAGATGCCTCTTCACACCCACAAGGCTGGCTAGAATTAAAAAGTGAGAATGATAACAAGTGTGATGAGGATGTAGATAAATTAGAGCCTTCTGGCCGGGCGTGGCGGCTCACGCCTGTAATCCCAGCACTTTGGAAGGCCGAGGCAGGCGGATCATGAGGTCAGGAGATCGAGACCACCCTGGCTAAACAGTGAAACCCTGTCTCTACTAAAAATACAAAAAAAAAATTAGCTGGGTGTGGTGGCACGCACCTGTAGTCCCAGCTACTTGGGAGGCTGAGGCAGGAGAATTGCTTGAACCCGGGATGTGGAGGTTGCAGTGAGCCAAGATTGTGCCACTGTACTCCAGCCTGGGTGACAAAGCGAGACTCCATCTCAATTAAAAAAAAAAAAATTAGAGCCTTCATACATTGCCTGCGGAATGCGAAACGTTTCAGCTACCACTTTGGAAAACAGTCTGGTGGTTTCTCAAACAATTAAGCATAGAGTTACCATATGACTAAAAATCACAGGGATTGGAAAGGAAGAAATAAAATTGTCCTTATTTGCAATGACATGATTGTCTACATAGAGAATCCCAAGGAATCTACCAAAAAACAAAAAATAAAACCAAAACCTCAAGACAGAAAAACCACAAAACCTCCTACAGCTAACAAGCAAGCTCACCATGGTTGAGATAGACAAGATAAACATACAAAATCAATTGCATTGGTATAGATCAGTGATAAACAGCTAAATTAAAGATAAAATCAATACCAAATACAACTGCTTAACAATGAAATATTTAGGTGTAAATCCAATATTATATGTACCAAGCGTGGGCAACATAGTGAGACCCTATCTCTATAAAAAAAAAATTTAGCCAGGTGTGGTGGCATGCACCTGTGGTCCCAGCTACTCAGGAGGCTCAGGTGGGAGAATTCCTTGAGTTTGGGAGGTGAAGGCTGTAATGAGCCATGATGGCACCACTGCCCTCCAGTCTGGGTTACAGAGTGAGACCCTGTCAAAAAAAAATGAAGAAAAAGAAAGGAAGGAAGGAAGGAAGAGAGAGAGAGAGAGAGAAAGAAAGAAAGAAAGAAAGAAAGAAAGAAAGAAAGAAAGAAAGAAAGAAAGAAGGAAAGGAAAGAAAAAATCAAAATGAAACAAAAAAAAAGTACCAGACTTGTATCCTGAAAAGTAAAAGCCTCTGATAAAATAAATCAAATACTCTCTAAAAGAATGAAAAGGTATAGTATGTACATGGACTAGAAAGCTTAGCATAGTAAACATGTCAATTTCCCCCTAAATAAATACACAGGTTGAACACAATTCCTTTTTTAGATATCGACTAGATTATCCTAAATTTTTTTATGGAATGGCAAAGCAACTAGAAAGTGTAAAACAATTTGAAAGAAGAAGAATTGGCTGGGTGCCATGGCTCATGCCTGTAATCCCAGCACTTTGGGAGGCGGAGGCTGGTGGATCACTTGAGGTCAGGAGTTTGAGACCAGCCTGACCAACATGGAGAATCCCCATCTCTACTAAAACTACAAAAATTAGCTGAGTGTGGTCATGCACGCTTGTAATCCCAGCTACTTGGGAGGCTGACACGGGAGGATTGCTTGAACTTGGGAGGCGGAGGTTGCTGTGAGCCGAGATCACACCACTGCACTCCAGCCTGGGTGACAGAGCGAGACCCTGTCTCAAATAAATAAATAAATAAATAAATAACCCAGAATAAAGTGACAAGAGTCAGTCTACCCAATTTAAAGACATCTAGCTGCAGTAATCAAGACTGTGTGGTATTACTGGCAGAGGAATAGAGAAAATAATAGAATAGGAACAGAATAGAGAACTCAGAAATAGACCCACACAAATATGTGCAACTTTTTTTCTTTTTGAGACAGGATTGCCCAGGCCGGAGGGCAGTGGAGTGATCATGACTTACTGCAGCCTCGAACTCCTGGCCTCAGGTGATCCTCCCATCTCAGCCTCCCAAAGTGTTGGGATTACAGGCGTGAGCCACTCTGCCTGGGCCCGGCTGATTTTTGACAAAAGCGCAAAGGGAAATCAATGGAGGGAAGAGAGCTTATTAACAAATGGTGCCGAGCAATTGGACATCCATAGGAATAACAAAACAAAACAAAACAAATCAACCTCTCTCCTCTCTCACACCTTATATAAAAACTAACTCAAAATGGATCACAGATTTAAATGTAAGACATAAAACTACAAAAATTTTAGAAACGAACATACAAGAACATCTTTAGGATCTAGGGCCAGGCAAACAGTTCTTAGATTTGACATCTGAAGCACAGTCCATAAAAAGAAAAATTGATAGTTTGGATGTTATGAAAAGGAAAAACTTTTGCTCTAAGAAAAACCCAGTTAGGCCAGGCGCAGTGGCTCACATCTGTAATCCCAGCACTTTGGGAGGCTGAGGTGGGCAGATCACAAGGTCAGGAGATCAAGACCATCCTCGCCAACGTGGTGAAACCCCTTCTCTACTAAAAATACAAAAATTAGCTGGGTGTGGTGGTGCACGCCTGTAGTTCCAGCTACTTGGGAGGCTGAGGCAGGAGAATTGCTTGAACCCTGGAGGTGGAGGTTGCAGTGGGTCGAGATCACGCCACTGCAGTCCAGCCTGGGCAACAGAGCTAGACTCCGTCTCAAAAAAACCCCCCAAAAAACAAAAAACAAAAAACAAACCCAGTTAGAAGGACAGATAGGGCTATAGTCTGGGAGAAAATATTTGCAAAGCACATACCTGACAAAGGACAATTATCTAGAAAATGTAAAGAACTGTGAAAACTCAATAGTGAAAAAAAAATCCATTAAAAAAATGGGCAAAAGACCTGAAGAGGATCTGGCATGGTGGCTCATACCTGTCATCTCAGCAGTTTGTGGAACCAAGGTGGGAGGATTGCTTGAGCCCAGGAGTTCGAGACCAGCCTGGGCAACATAGTGAGACCTTGTCTCTATGAAAAAATCAAATGAAAATAAAAACTTTTTAAAGACATGAAGAGACATCTCAATGAGGAAGAGATACAGATGACATGTAAGCAGATAAAAAGATGTTCAACATCATTAGCCATTAGGGAAACGCAAATTAAATTAAAATGGCTAAAAATTTTGAAAACCGCAACGCCATTGAAAGCTGGCAAGGGTGGAGATAAATTGGATCATTTATACATTGCTCTGAAAAACAGTTTGGCAGTTTCTTAAAAAAAAAAAACTCAACATCCAGGTTGGGCGCAATGGCTCATGCCTATAATCCCAGCATTTTGAGAGGCTGAGGTGGGAGGATTGCTTGAGCCTGGAGTTGGAGACTAGCTTGCACAACATAGTGAGACCCCCATCTCTATGAAAAAGAAAAGAAAAGAAAAAAATTAGGCAGGCGCGGGGGTGCGGGCCTATAGTTCTAGCTACTTGGGGGGGTGAGGCAAGAGGATCATTTGAGCCCAGAAGATTGAGGCTGCAGTGAGCTGAGATCACACCACTGCACTCCAGCCTGGGCGACAGAGCAAGACCGAGAGTCACAGATGGCCTGTTCATTCCCTGCCTGTCTGGGGATGGGACCAAAGGCATATTATTTGGGACAGGTAAAAATCCTGTCAGTATATATGCTCATGTACAAGGACGATTAGCAGAAAAAGTAGTTGGAATCCCCTCGTGTCAAGGACAGGGAGAGAAATAGGAAGAACTTCATTGTTTTGTTTTGTTTTAAATAGAGACGGGCTTTCACCATGTTGCCCAGGCTGGTCTCAAACTCCTGGGCTCGAGCGATCGCTGGGTCTTCCAAAGGTCTGGGATTACAGGTGTGAGCCACCCTGCTGGGCTGAAATAGGAACTTAAAAAATGAATATGCCCCCCTCCACCACATGGGGGAGCCATAACCACGTTAATAACTCAGAAGCAGGCCCCACAAGTGAGTCAAATCAGCTCTGATGTCCCTCCAGGCTGAGGATGTAATTTAGAGGCATTTAGAAAATTCAGCTGAAACTCATACAGTTGCCTAAATGAACAGGTTTCCGAAGGATTTTCTTTCTCCAGTGTGGTTTGCCTAATTTTGTGGCCTCAGACAGCTGCTAACATTGTCCAAGTTTGGAGGTCCCAAATTTTCTGGCATCTTCAAAAAGATGCCACCTGCCCCCTTCACACTGCCTGGGTCAAAATATTGTGTTTTGCTTTTTGTTTTGAGATGGGGACTTGCTATGTTGGCTAGGCCGGTTTCAAACTCCTGGCCTCAAGTGATCCTCCTGCCTTGGCCTCCAGGCTGGAGTGCAGTGATGCAATCTCAGCTCACTGCAACCTCTGTCCCTCCGGTTCAAGAGATTCTCCTGCCTCAGGCTCCTGAGTAGCTGGGATTACAGGCACCGGCCACCATGTCCAGCTAATTTTTGTATTTTTTTTTAGTAGAGACCAGGTTTCACCATGTTGGCCAGGCTGGCCTCAAACTCTTGACCTCAAGTGAACTGCCCGAATGGGCCTCCCAAAGTGCTGGGATTACAGGCGTGAGTCACCGTGCCAGGCTTTGTTTCCCACCTTCTAAAATCCCATACAGGGTTAGATTATATGTGGGAACTGGCCATGGGACCAGTCCCTGGTGGGCACCACCCCTTATAACAGAGAAAGTTCCTAGTAGGTGTAGCTAACTGATTAACCTTTAACCTCTGCATTCCAATTTATTGGAGCTCCCATACAGATATGTGACTTTGCACTAGAGGATCTGAGATATATATGTGTGTGTGTATACATATATGTTGAGATGGAGTCTCACTCTGTCTCTGTCGCCCAGGCTGGAGTGCAGTGGTGCCATCACGGCTCACTGCAAACTCCACCTCCTGGGTTCAAGCAATTCTCCTGCCTCAGCCTCCCAAGTAGCTGGGATTACAGGTGTACACCACCACGCCTGGCTAAATTTCGTGTTTTTAGTAGAGATGGGGTTTCACTGCATTGGCTGGGCTGGTCTCGAACTCCTGACCTCAGGTGATCCACCCACCTTGGCCTCCCAAAGTGCTAGGATTACAGACGTGAGCCACTGCGCCCGGCCGAATCTGAATGATATCAATTGAGGTATTGGAAAGCACTAGAAAATTCTATGAGGTATCACCTGTTCTATGAGGACCCCAACTAAAGCAATAGTGTTACTCTCAGCGCTTCTGTAAGGGACACTGCAATATTGATGCGCCTGTGTTTTCTCACAGAATTACCCCATTAACCAGGGCAATCTAGTGGAGTTAGGACGAGGATTGTGTCGTAATTCGAGAGAGCTGGGAAGATGGTCCTTGGGCTCCCTGGATCAAAATATTATAGAGTTTTATTTTTCCAGAAGAATCAACCAATGCAGGCAGAGCAAGCAGCCCTGGAGTTGGGCATTAAACCATCAAGGATGTGGCAACTTAATAGCACGAGGCAGTGACAGCTGAGCATCGAGGATGGGGTCTCCAGCCCTGTGTGGCAGAGCTGCTCCCTCCTGCCTGGCATTGTGGATCCTGAAAGTCCTCAACTTGCTCCTCCACAATTGTCAGGGGAGATGGGTTCCTGGCCGGTCCTTTGTTTCTGGCTTCCAGAACAGCCAATTGCAGAGATAGTTTCCTACCTCTAGGAATGGTGTCTGCTCTGATTCTGTAAGAAAATTCCAGGAGCAGGGCCGGGCATGGTGGCTCACACCTGTAATCACTTTGAGAGGCTGAGGGGGTTTGGATCACTTGAGGTCAGGAGCTCAAGACCAGCCTGGCCAACATGGTGAAACCCCGCCTCTACTAAAAATACAAAAATTAGCTGGGTGTGGTGGTGCACACTTGTAAACCCAGGTACTCGGGAGGCCAAGGCACGAGGATCCTGGGAGGAAGGGGTTACAGTGAGCTGAGATCACGCCACTGCACTCCAGCCTGGACGACAGTGACACTCTGTCTCAAAAAAAAAAAAATTTAAAATTAAAATTAAAAAAAAGAGAAAATTTTAGGATAAGGTGCTATGGAGAAACCTCAGAAAAACAGCCAAAGGTGACAGAATTCTTGAATAAAAATGGGTCATAGGGATTTGTATCAAAATAAGTTGACGGTGTTTCCAGTTTGTTGAGCAGAGCAGCCACGTGAGGGTTTTGGGTTCCTGCTCTCCTCCTCCCATCCTCCCCCTCCAAACGCTCTGCTTCATGAAGTGGGGTTAACCAGGGTAGGGATGTGGTCTGACCACTGTGAAAATCAATATTATTTAAAAGCCACTTGAACCATAACAGCACTTTAAGTGATATGACTGTGATCTGAGTCACATATGATTACAACTTCCGTTTCTCACATTACAGGTCAACTCACTTTCTTCTTCTTTTTCTTTTGTTGTTGTTGTTTGCTTTTGAGATGGAGTCTCGTTCTGTCACCCAGGCTGGAGTGCAGTGGTGTGTTCTCAGCTCACAGTAACCTCCACATCCCGGATTCAAGCAATTCTCCTGCCTCAGTAGCTACCCAGATCTCGAGTAGCTGGGATCACACCTGGCTAATTTTTGTATTTTTAGTGGAGACGGGGTTTCACCATGTTGGCCAGGCTGGTCTTGAACTCCTGACCTCAAGTGATCCACCCGCCTCGGCCTCCCAAAGTGTTGGGATTACAGGTGTGAGCCACTGCGCCCAGACTAATTCATGTTCTTATTTTTCTTGTTCTGTATAATGACTAGGGAGAGTTAAATCACTTTGGGGCAAAAATCACTGCCTTCTGGTGTTTGTTTGTTTTTAGACACAGTCTGGCTCTGTCACCCAAGCTGGCAGGTAGTGGCGCGATCTCAGCTCGACTCTGCCTCCCGGGTTCAAGTCATCCTCTTACCTCAGCCTCCTGAGTAGTTGGGACTACAGGTGTGTGCGACTGTGCCCAGTTCATTTTTGTATGTTTTGGTAGAGGTGGAGTTTTGCCACGTTGCCCAGGCTGGTCTTGAGCTCCTATATATAAAATGTCATATATATATGACACATATATATGACATTTTATATATGTATATCATATATATATCATATATATAATATGTATATCTCATATATGTCATATATGTATATATATGACAAAGACAGAGGAGTCTAAGTAAATGTATGTACTTCTTCAGAGACAGGGTCTTACTCGGTTGCCCAGATAGGAGTGCCGTCTACTCCACTTCCACCCCCAGGGCCGGGCAGGTGACGCTTTGGCCTCTACCTGGGAGACACTAGAGCTCACACTGTGGGCACCTCTGGAGCTGACTGGGGAGATTTTCCTGAATCCTCGGCTCCCGCTGGGTCTGGACACCCTGTGGCTCCCTTGTCACAGGATGGCCTCACACCTCTTCTGCTGTCCTGGGCCCTCGCACTGATTCACGTCTAGAAGGGGACCAGGTCATACAGCAACCTTCGGTGCATGTCTCAGCTCTAGACTCACAGGGTCAGCTGTAAGACTGTGGCTGTGTGAGTGTGGGAGGGTGAGGACAACCCCAGGAGTGTCCTGCAATTTCCTATTTGCCAAAGAAGCCTCCATTCTGGAGGAGAGAGGGACCGAGGGTGGAGGGAGCATCGGTCCTCTCCTGGCTCTCAAAGGATCTGGCATCAAATCCACCATGACACATACCCTGTCTGGGACCTGTCTCGATCCAGGGCCCAGCATGTCTCTGCAGGAAGGCAGGGCATCCCACGGTATCACCAGCTCCTCTAGGAGTATAGGAGCCAAGGAGCTGCTGAGACCTGCTGATCACCCACTCACTCCCCTCCAGCCACCCCGGAGCCATGGCTCCCGAGGCCATGTCCTGGGTAAGGAGGACAGGACCCCATTCCCACCCGAGCCCATCTCCCATCTCAGCCACCACCGAGGCTCACTCCCCACCCCAAACTACACCTCATCCCTGTCCCCATGCCCGGCCTCCTCCTCAGACATGGCTCCATCACAGCAATTCCCCATCCATAGCCCCCGGGCCAGCCCCATCCACAGCCATTTCAGTCCCCAAACTACTCCCCAAAGTCTTGCCTAGCGCTAGTTCCAATCCCAGCCCCATCTTTTTCTAAATGTTGGTGCCAGTCACACCCATAGCACAACACCAGTCTCAGCGCAGCCCCTTCCCTCCCTGACCCCAGCTGAGCCCCAGCTCTGAGCTCCTCCAAAACCAGGAAACAACCACATTGCCCTGAACCCTAGGCCCATTTCTTCCGAGAGTCCTGCCTGCACCCCTTGACCACAGAGAGATTGAGGGTGGAGGGAGCATCGGTCCTCTCCTGGCTCTCAAAGGACCTGGCATCAAATCCACCACGACACATCCCCTGTCTGGGACCTCTCTCACCCCAGGGCCCAGCGTGTGTCTGCAGGAAGGCAGGGCAAGGTCAGCTTCTAGCCCTTCCCTGAGTCTCAGTCAGGGCAGAAACTCCCTCGGAGCCCCCCTTCCCCAAGCTGGGCTTCCAAGGATCGCCTGTGGTTTCCCGATCACCCCCTCTTCCCCTTCCCTCTCCCACAGCAGTCTTGGCCTCTCTCTGCATCCTCAGGCTCCTCTGCTCACACGGAGCCCCAGGTGAGCCCAGGAGGGACTGGGAAACTGGGGGATGAGTGTGGCCCCCAGGGGACCCCCGGCTGGGACCCATCTACCAACCATCTGACCTCACCAGCTCTGTCTCCTCCAGTGGCCCCATAAGTGCTTACCTCATGCTCTGCCAGCGGCATTTGGGAAGTGGGGACAAGCTCTACGACCCCTTGCGGCACTGTTGCTATGACAGTGCTGTCGTGCCCTTGGGCAGGACCCAGAAGTGTGGAAACTGCACCTTCAGTGTCGCTTCGAGCAGTGCTGCCCCGGTCCCTCAGCTCCCAGGCGTCCCTCATGGTGAAGACGAAAGGCCAGAAGTGCTCCTCAGCCCTGACCTCGGGTGACAGGCTTTCTCGTAGGTGAGATCCGGTCCTCTCCATGGCATTGTGGGTGCAGGGGAGCGGGGCGCTGCATACTTGTTCTGCACTGGGTGGAGTCCCCATTCTCCGTGTCTGTCTGTCTCTGCCCTCCCACCTCTAGGTAGTGTCATCTTCATTTATAATGGCGTTGTTTCAAATTTTAATAATAGACAAAAAAGGCCGGGCGCGGTAGCTCACGCCTGTAATCCCAGCACTTTGGAAGGCTGAGGCGGGCGGATCACGAGGTCAGGAGATCGAGACCGTCCTGGCTAACACGGTGAAACCCCGTCTCTACTAAAAATACAAAAAATTAGCCGGGCTTGATTGCAGCCGCCTGTAGTCCCAGCTACTCGGGAGGCTGAGGCAGGAGAATGGCCTGAACCCAGGAGGCGGAGCTTGCAGTGAGCCGAGATCTCGCCAATGCACTCCAGCCTGGGCGACAGAGCGAGACTCCGTCTCAAAATAATAATAATAATAAGAGACAAAAAAATCTTCTCTCCCTATTACACTCTATCAAGTTTTACTTGACAATATTTGTGCAGTTAGCTTTAACATCTCCAAAGTAATTTTCTAAAGCTTCCTCCTGAAAAATAGCAAAATTTAGAAGTGCAGATTGAGATGAAAATTTTTTGTAAATATTGTTTGGCTTTGGGAACAATGACCAAAATGTTTAATACTTCCCGTCCCAGAGGTTTATTTACTTTTTTTTTTTTTTTTGCCTCTATTCAATCCACCTCTCCTTTTCCCTCCACTTGTTTCTCTTCCTCCATCTGTTTTGATTTCCCTCTCAGAACCTCGCTCTTTCAGCATCGTTGTCACGAGGCAGTGGCAGCTGAGCACCGAGGGCGGGGTCTCCAGCCCGTGCGGCAGAGCTGCTCACTCCTGCCTGGCAGGAGTCCATCAACAGATAAAGCTAATAATGGCAAACTGATATATGAGAAAGGTGACATTATACATTAGAAGAAAAGGGATGAAACTAGTCAACAAGTAATTTTAGATTCAATAGGCCACATAAGGATGCAGAATTTACTTTTTTTCTGGTGACTCAAAGCCAACAAGAATGAAGAAGTGGCCAGGTGGCCGGGCACGGTGACTCACGCCTGTGATCCCAGCACTTTGGGAGGCCGAGGCGGGCGGATCACGAGGTCAGGAGATCGTGACCATCCTGGCTAACACGGTGAAACCCCGTCTCTACTAAAAAATACAAAAAATTAGCCAGGCGTGGTGCGGGTGCCTGTAGTCCCAGCTACTCGGGAGGCTGAGGCAGGAGAACGGTGTGAACCTGGGAGGTGGAGCTTGTAGTGTGCGAGATCGCGCCACTGCATTCCAGCCTGGGCGACAGAGGGACACTCCGTCTCAAAAAAAAAAAAAAAAAAAAAAGTGGCCAGGTGCAGTGGCTCACGCCCGTAATACCAGAACTTTGGGAGGCTGAGGCAGGCAGATCAGCTGAGCTCAGGAGTTTGAAACCAGCCTGGGCAACATAGTGAAACCCTATCTCTACAAAAACTACAAAAATTAGCAGGGCATGATGTGAGCCTGTAATCCCAGCTCTGGGGAGACTGAGGCCCAAGAATCGCTTCAGCCTGGAGTTGGAGGTTTCAGTGAGCCAAGATCCCACCATTACACTCCAGCCTGGGTGCCACCCTGCCTGGCCCAGGTTTATTTACTTTTTAAAATTAGATCTAGTTTTATGTTCTTAAGTATCACTTTATGGTTTCCTTACCACAAATCTTACATATTTCTTGATACAATTAATTCCTGTGTAACATAACCTTTTGCAATACTCTACTTTTTTACATTTCAATTCCCCTGGTTATTGCTAGTATAACATTATCTGTTGATGTATGTACATTTAATTTATATTCAGTCAAAATATTAAATATTCCTAATCCATTTATCTTCTTTTAAGGCAAATCTTTTGGGTTTTCTGGATATACAAACATATTGTCTAAAAATAATAATATCTTTTCTTCCAGTGCTCATTTCTTTTCTTTTCCTTTTTTTTTTTTTGAGGTGGAGTTTTGCTCTTGTCACCCAGGCTGGAGTGCAATGGTACAATCTCGGCTCACTGCAACTTCTGCCTTTCAGGTTCAAGAGACTCGCCTTTCTCAGCCTCCCGAGTAGCTGGGATTACAGGGATCCACCACCATGCCTAGCTAATTTTTGCATTTTTAGTAGAGATGGGGTTTTGCCATGTTGGCCAGGCTGGTCTTGAACTCCTGACCTCAGGTAATCTGCCCACCTCAGCCTTCCAAAGTGCTGGGATTACAGGCGTGAGCCACCACACCCGGCTCTAACTCATTTCTACATGTTACTGTATTGCGATAGTTAGCAACACCAAAGTAATACTGAATAATAGAGATTGAAGAAGACATATCTGTCTTATGTGGATATTAAGGAGAATAATATGATGATTTCTGGTGGTTTATAATAAACATCTTCAAATGTATAAAGGTTTTAAAAATCCTATTTTACTTAGTCATACTTTCATATTAGAAATTTCTGCTGAAGGTATTTCATCAAATTCTTTATTCATAATTATATATGTATAAAATCATATGACTTTCCTCCTTTAATTAGTTTGGTTAATTAAGTTAGTAGCCATTTGCTGAGAAAGTACGGTGTGCCTGCTGCTATTTGGGATCTGAGGACCCAGCACTGAACCAAGATGTTAATTCCATCATCTCAAATTCTATTGGTCATTTCAAAAATTAAAAAGATAAAAGGCCAGGCATGGTGGCCCATACCTGCAATCTCAGGATTTGGGGAGGCCAAGATGGGAGGATTGTTTGAGGCCAGGAGTTTGACACCAGCCTGGGAAACAGAGTGAGACCCCATCTCTACAAAAAATTAAAAAGTTAGCTAGGTGTGGTGGCACCTGCCTAGGTACTCAGGAGGCTGAGGCAGGAGGATCACCTAAGCCCAAGCATGGAGGCTGCAGCAAGCCATGATTGTACCATTGCACTCCAGCCTTGGTGATGGAGTGAGCTTCTAGCTCAAAAAAGAAACCACCAAAAATGAAAGAAATAGGGATAGTTCCAGTGGCAATAGTTCTATGACGAAGAAACATATTATGAAGGCATAGGGTGATGGCTGATGCTATTTTAGAGAGAATGGTATGTGAGGCTGCCCTAAGAAGGTGATATCTCAGTAGAGCTCTGAAGGGAGTTGGGTTAGAACACTGTGAAGAACGCAGAGGGCGGTAAGGTGGGCAGTGCTGTGTGAAGACGAGTTAGGGCAAAGCTGGTACTGCCTTATGTCCAGAATGGCATTTTTTTTTGAGGTAAAATTCACATAATGTCAAATTAAGTTTCTAAAAATGTACAAGTCAGAGGCAGTGAGTGCTTTCACAATGTTGTGCAACCATTACCACTATTTCCAAACAATCGCATCACCCTAAAGGAACCGTGTATCCATGAAGGAGTCACGCCTCTTTTTCTCCTTCTCTCAGCCTCCAGCAACCACTAGTCTTCTATCTCTACGAATTTGTCTCTTCTGGATATTTTGTATAAATGGATTCATGCAGTATGTGAGATGACAGGCTGGATGGGGCTCGTATGTGAGCCCTTAGTTGACAACACTGAGGAGCGCTAGCTGTCACAGGGACAATGTTTATTATAGAAAGGATTTATGTAAAAAAAAAAAAAAAAAAAAAAAAAACAGCTGGCTATGGTGGTGGTGCATGCCTGTAGTCCCAGCTACTCTGGAGGCAGAGGCCAGATGATTGCTTGAGCCCAAGTTCATCCAGCCTGGGGAACATAGTTGAGACCTTGTCTCTGGAAAAAAAAAACACCCAAAACCAAAACCCCAAAAAACCCTGTTCTCTTTTATCTCCATGGAAGAAATGAGCCCAAGGAGGGCACCTGGAGAATCCTCAACGTGAGAAGTCCAGCATTCGCTGATGCATCCAAACTAGTGCCAGCATTAGTTTTGCCCAAAGTGTCACAAAGTCCCTCATGGAGGTATCTCTTTCTGCTTTTAGAGAGGTGTTAAAGGAGAGTGGTAAATAATAGGTTTTGGTTTTATTTATCCACTTAATGAAAACTAAAATGTTTACTCAGTACCTCTGTGTACCTGGCCCTGTGACACAGGGTGAGGTCACTGTGTTGCCCATGGTTTGTTAGTGTGTAGAAATGCAATAGAGTTTTGAGTGTCAATTTCACACTTTGCAACTTTGCTGAATTTTTTGTTAATTCTTTTTTTTTCTGAGACAGACCCTCACTCTGTCGCCCAGGCTGGAGTGCAGTGGTGCAATCTCGGCTCACTGCAACCTCTGTCTCCCAGGTTCAAGCGATCCTCCTGCCTTCATCTCCTGAGTAGCTTTGATTACAGGTGCGTACCACCACACCCCGCTAATTTTTTGTATATAGTAGAGACGGGGTTTTGCCATGTTGGCCAGACTGGTCTTGAACTCCTGACCTCAGGTGATTCACTCACCTCGACCTCTCAAAGTGCTGGGATTACAGGCGTGAGCCACTGCGCCCGGCCTTGTTTGTTAATTCTAACAGGTGTTTTATTTGGGGTGTGTGTGTGTGGAAGGTTTAGTGTTTTCTATAAATAAGATTATGTTTCTGTGAATAGAGATGCTTTTACCTCTTCCTTTCCAATTTGGATGCTTTTAATTGTTTTAACCACCAAAACAATTCTCTATTATTTTTTTGGTCATGAAGTCCTTGTAATGATAGTAGGGCTGGGTACCATATTGGTGTCACACTCTGCCAGTCATCCAAAGAATATGCCAGACTTTTTTTTGTTTCAACTCCTGTGTGTACTAGTACGTCACTGGGCCCATCAGGTGGCTCACCAAGAGAATTTCAGTAATGGATTTCGGCTCTCTGTGCATAATAGATGACAGTCCTTACGAAGGATTCCGTTTGTCTTATAGCTTAGATTTGAACCTGCTGCAGATGTCACATTTACATTCTTGGATGGGTTTTTATCATCAGTTTCACCTCCTCCTCCTCTTCTTCCTCCTCCTTTTCTCTCTGGATGCTTTTAATTCTTTTCTTTTCTTTTTTTTTTTCTAAAGGTTCTGGCTAGCACCTCCAGTACAATGTTAAATAGCAGTGGTAGAAGCAGGTCTCTTTGTCTTGTTCCTGATCTTGGAGGAAGAGCCTTCAGTCTTTCACCCTGGAGCTCACGGCCTAGAGAAGAAGGCACAGAAATGAGCAAATTATGCAAATTAATGTATCATTTCAATTAGTGATATGTGCAACAGCAAGTAGCATAAGACATATTAATGTGTAAAATTTTGTCTCGGAAGGAGGAGAAACTTTCTCAAAGAATCTGCGTCCTGAGTAATTGGTAGGAGTAGGAAATCTATTAAGGTGATAGATACTCTAGCAGGGATTGCCCTAATTTCTTTTTGGCATTGGCCCCACTTAACAACGGAATAGGAAAACCTCCAGGAAGGAAGGAAGCTAAAGAAACCGGACTGGTTAACCAAGGAACCAGATCTGTTGCCTAAAAGTGAATCATCAAGTTTGTGGCTATTCCTGTAGGGCATGGTAAATGCCCACAACACATGGCCCTGAAGTTTGTTCTTCTTTCTGACTTTGATGGAGTTCAATTTATTGGTGTTTACTATTTTGCCTGGACTTTTGGTGTCACATCCAAGAAATCTGCCAAGTCCAATGTCAGGAAGCTTTCTCCCTATGTATTCTTCTAAGAGCTTTATAGTTTTAACTTTTGCATTTAGGCCTTGGATCTCATTAGTTTTTTGAACTAATTCTTGTGTATGGTTAGAGATAAGGGTCCAACTTCATTTTTTTTTTTTTTTTTTTGAGATGGAGTCTCGCTCTGTTGCCCAGGTTGGAGTGCAGTGGCGCGATCTCGGCTCACTGCAAGCTCCGCCTTCCAGGTTCACACCATTCTCCTGCCTCAGCCTCCCAAGTAGCTGGGACTACATGTGGCCACCACCATGCCCAGCTAATTTTTTGTATTTTTTTTAGTAAAGACAGGGTTTCGCTGTGTTAGCCAGGATGGTCTCGATCTCCTGACCTTGTGATCCGCCTGCCTTGGCCTCCCAAAGTGTTGGGATTACAGGCGTGAGCCACCGCGCCTGGCCTGTTCTTTATTTTTCAAAATTATTTTGTCTATTCAGGGTCCCTTAAGAGTCCATGCGAATTTTAGGATTTTTTCTGCTTCTGCAAAATTGTCATTGAGATTTTGATAGAGATTGCTTTGAAGCTGTAGATCACTTTGGGTAGTATGGACATTGTTACAATATTAAATCTTCCAACCCATGAACACAGACTGTCTTTCCATTTATTTGTGTCTTCATTACTTTTTTTCAACAATGTTTTGTAGTTTGCACTATACAAGTCATTTGCTCTCTTGGTTAAGTTTATTCTGAATTATTTTATTCTTTTTTTATTTTTATTTTTTGAGACAGAGTCTTGCTCTGTGGCCCAGGCTGGAGTGCAGTGGCATGATCTTGGCACACTGTAACCTCCCCCTCCTGGGTTCAAGCAATTCTCTTGCCTCAGCCTCTGGAGTAGCTAGGATTACAGGCGAGCGTCACCATGCCCGGCTAATTTTCATATTTTTAGTAGAGACGGGGTTTCACCATGTTGACCAGGCTGGTCTTGAACTCCTGACCTCAAGTGATCCACCTGCCTCAGCCTGCCAAAGTGCTGGGATTACAGGCGTGAGCCACCATGCCTGGCCTGAAGCACTTTATTCTTTTTGATGGTATTATAAATGAGGTAGTTTTCTTAATTTCCTTTTTGGCTTGTTCATTGTTAGTGTATAGAAATGCAAGAAATTTTTTTTTTTTTTAAGTTGAAGTCTCGCTCAATATCCCAGGCCGGAGTGCAGTGGCACCGTCTCAGCTCACTGCAGCCTCTGCCTTCCAGGTTCAAGTGATTCTTCTGCCTCAGCCTCCCGAGCATCTGGGATTACAGGTGCCCACCACCACACCCAGCTAATTTTTGTATTTTTAGTAAAGACTGGGTTTCACCATATTGGCCAGGCTGGTCTTGAACACCTGACCTCAGGTGATCTGCCCACCTCGGACTCCCAAAGTGCTGGGATTACAGGTGTGAGCCAACACACCTGGCCTAATTTTATATATGCAAATATATAAATATCTCTCTCTCATCAGTGGTAGAACATACATTTTTTTCAAGTCTATGTTAAACATTTATGCTAAATTGATCATATGATGGGTCATAAAGAAAGTCTCAGCTTCCAAAGGATGATTATTATTAAAAGTAGGTTTTTGAGCTGGGTGCTATGGCAGATGCCTATAATCCCAGATACTCAGGAGGCTGATGTGGGAGGATCACTTGAGCCTGAGAGTTCAAGTCTAACCTGGGCAACATAGTGATACCTCATCTCTAAAGAAATGTTCTCTGGGACTCCCAGCTTCCAGTCAAGCATGTAAGAGGCTTGGAACTCATCACTGCATCTTAACAGAAAGTGAATACTGAACAAAGAGAAAATTAACAATTCTTACATCCATTAGAGGAGTGGGATCACAGAGCAAACCACTGCCCTTAAGATTTCGAGAGACAGGCAGGTGGATACAGAGAATCAAAACTACTGCAACAGAAACCCATGACCAGAAACCCCTGTGGGAACCAGTACCAGGACAGGAAAACATGAAGTCTAATGAATGAATTCCTGGAGGCTCACGGCGGAGCAGTCTGAGAATTAAAAACTCCAGGGGGCCCAGTCTAAGGGGAGCCTCTGCATTTTTCTAAGAGTTTTACCTCCAGGAACCCTATCAGGTTCTCACAGTGAATATGGGAGAAAAATCTCCTTCATGGTCTGGCATGAAGTGGGAAGGGGGAAAGTAACCGCTGTGAAACACACCAGAGTATTCTGTTCTTCTTAACAAGCTCTGCCATTAAGAGAAAGCATTTTACCAGAATCTAAATTATTAGGGTTTTATCAGAGCCTAAATGACCTGGAGGAAGAGAGTATTATTTTTATACAGGACAGTAAACAAGTATTCTTTGCTCTAAAGGGAAACCTTACCTCTGTCTTCCAAGGCAGTACACTACACAAACATCCTTGAAAAGAGTGTGGAACAAAAGGACAGTCAATGCCTCACTGCCAGGCCAGCAAAAAAGCAAGAGATCCATGGGGAATTGTCTCTGACACTAACAAACCAATATTTTTGCAAAGTAAATAAACACATGAGCAAGGTGATAATAGTGTGCTGGAAAACGCTGCCCTGCTGCAGTGGTGACTGTGATAGTCCCGGGTGTCTGGGAAGACACGCCAGGATCACAGAGTGGGGCCTGGTTTTAGAAGAATGCAAATCTGGTCATGAGTTTCACTGCTTAAAATTATTGAGTGATGGCCAGTCGCGGTGGCTCACACCTGTAATCCCAGCACTTTGGGAGGCCGAAGGAGGGTGGATCACCTGAGGTTGGGAGTTCAAGACCAGCCTGATCAACATGGAGAAACTCCATCTCTACTAAAAATACAAAAAATAAAAATTAAAAAAAATTAGCTGGGTGTGGTGGTGCATGTCTGTAATCCCGGCTACTTGGGAGACTGACGCAGGAGAATTGCTTGAGCCTTGGAGGCAGAGGTTGTGATAAGCCGAGATGGCGCCATTGCACTCCAGCCTGGGCAACAAGAGCAAAACTCTGTCTCAAAAAAAAAAAAAAGAAAAGAAAAGAAAAGAAAAAACCAAAAAAATTATTGAACGACTCCCCACCACCGCTAGGATGAAACCCAGGCTCCCAGCTTGTCCCACAAGGCCCTTTGCTACCTGGGCCTGCCTTCCCCTCCAGCACCTTCTCTACCTACACCCACGGCGTCCCTTTTTCATCCAACCAAAGAGTCACTCCTTGAAACAGTGCAAACAGGCTTCCACAGCATGACTCACCTACCAGCACCTGCTCCCAGTAACTTAGTTCCCTTCAGGGTTTCTCTTTCTCCCAACCTTCCCACCCTGCTTCCAACTTCCCTCACTGATAGAGAATTAAGGACTCACTCTATGCATCCCATAGGACTCACGCTTACCTCTCTCATTGTCTTGTCTTGCCATTGGTCACTCTCCTGGGTATTTGCCCAACCCAAATTCACCCTAAATTATTAGAGATATGCATGCAAAGCATAAAACTTTCAGCACATGGTTTTTGAAAATTAAAAATAAAAATCTCCTTCCCCTCCTTTTACCTCCCCCCTCATTTGCTCGTTTGCACTCCTCAGAGACCAATGCTGTTAGCAGTTTCTGCCTTCGGTACCTTTGAAGTTTCCTATCATACTCTCATAATTCTCTCTCGTGACTTTAGGGACCCAGGTTTACCATTACTAGTTGTGGCATTTCAAAACGTACTTAACCTCTCTGAGCTACAGTTTCCTCTTTAAGCACAATGAAATGAGGACGTATAAGCATCCAGTAAAGTCAACGTGTTTGTAAATATCATGTAAACTGGGAACCCCACACATATGTTGGGTCATAAAGAAAGTCTCAGCTTGCAGAGGATGAACATTATTAAAAGTAGGTTTTTGAGCCGGTGCTATGGCACATGCTTATAATCCCAGATACTCAGGAGGCTGATGTGGGAGGATCACTTGAGCCCAAGAGTTCAAGTCTAACCTGGGCAACATAGTGAGACCTCATCTCTAAAGAAATGTTCTCTGGGACTTCCAGTTTCCAGTCAAGCATGTAAGAAACTTGGAACTCATCACTCCATCTTAACAGAAAGTGAATACTGAACAAAGAAACAATTAACACTTCTTCTTATATCCATTAGAGGAGTGGGGTCACAGGGCAAACCACTGCCCTAAGATTTGTTGACACAGGCAGGTGGATACAGAGAATCAAAACTACTGCAACAGAAACCCATGACCAGAAACCCCTGTGGGAACCAGTACCAGGATAGGAAAACATGAAGTCTAACGAATGAATTCCTGGAGGCTCAGGGTGGAGCAATCTGAGAATTAAAAATTCCAGGGGGCCCAGTCTAAGGGGAGCCTCTGCACTTTTCTAAGAGTTTTACCTCCAGGAACCCTATGAGGTTCTCACAGTGAATACCGGAGAAAATGTCCTTCATGCCCTGAGTTTTGAGCTGTCTGAGAACATGACAGCCCTGGAACAGGTCCAGTAGCATCCTACTAATGTGTCAATGCTTTTATTTTGTTATGCTTTCTGTGGCTTTTCATGCCCCACCCTTTTTAAGAAACCACTCCTTCTGCACACCTCCCTAAATATGGGTAAGTTCATACCCTATAATAATCTCCTGTGTAAAGTCACTGACCCATTTCCACTGCTGCTCTCTCATCTGCTGCTCTGAAGCCTAAACCATGGTGCCCAGAATCTTCGGTAAGTCATCCCCAGCCCCAAGCTGAGCTAATGCCTAATGTTATCCCTAAGGTACCTCTGAACTTCAAACTTAATTTTCTCTTTTCTGTTTAATTCTCGGTTTCCCACCTCATAATCACCCGTGTCCTCTCTGACTGCATTGCAATCTCTCTCCCCACCTGCAAATTCCAGAAGCTTAACCCTTTCCAGAGCCCTCCCTGCATTTCCTCACCTGCCAAGCCCAGTCCCCAGGACCTACATCCAGAGTCAGTCCCAAAATCCACTGTGAGCTGTTACAGCAACCAAAGAAACTCAGAGACATCATCTTGTGCCCCAATGATCATGATCCGGTGACCCCAGAAACATTGTCATTCTCCTTCTGCTCTCAGCTGATCTTTGTTTTTGAACTCCTGGGCTCAGACTCAGAAGGGACCACAGATGAGAAGGGGTGTGGTGAGCGGAGGGAGAAGAGAGGAGGGAGGATTATAGCACTGTGGATAGGGTTGGGGGCTCCCAGAGGTCCCCTGTCAGCTCATCAGCTCTGACTCTTCCAGATATTGGACTGTGGTTGTGCCAGTTGACACTCCAGAGTGGAGACCAGATCTGCAATCTCTTGGGGCTGTAATAAGGGGATCATCCTGTCCTTGAACAAGACCCAGCTCTGTGGTCCTAACTGCACTTCTGGCCCTGCTTCCAGCACTGCTGACTGGAGCCCCTGGGCTCTCAGCACCAGGCAGTAGTGAGGCTCCATGTCCCAGGAGTGAGGCCTGACTACCCCAGGAGTGTGCTCAAGTAAGGGCAGCCCAGGCGGTGGACAGAGTTTTGTTGTGTGTATTCCATCAAGGTGAGCAATGCCTGCTGTGTTCACTAGCTTCTTTTTGCGCAACCATCAATCTCTCTCTCTCTCTCTCTCCCCCTCCACTGCCCCACTCTCCTCTCTTCCCCTCCCTGTCTTTTCCCTCCTCTCCTTCCTTCTCTTCCTCTCTCAAGTTGAAAGAAGAGTAGCTCAGTCATCTTCCAGAATTGCTTTTTAGCTCCGAGTCACCTGGCTCCACAGCCCCCGACCACTGTATGCCTACTTAGCTGTTCCTCCCCTTCCCCTCTACCCTCACCCTTGGCAACTACCAGTCGGCTTTCCATCTGTATGGATTTACCTATCTGGGACATTTCATATAAATGGAATCACACCATATGTGAACTTTTGTGTCACCTTCTTTTTTTTTACTTTGTTTATTGTTTTCATTGTTACAATTTCTACAATTGTATCCCCATTGTAGAATTTATTAGTATTTCATTCCTTTTTATAACTGAATAAATTCAATTGTATCCATGTATCAGCATTCATTTATCCATTCATCTGTTGATGGACACTTGGGCTGTTGTGAATAGTGCTGTTATGAACATACATATACATGTATTTGCTTGAGAACCTGTTTTCAATTATTTTGGGGTGTACATGTAGGAGTGGAATTGCTGCGCCACATGGTAATTCTGTTTAAGTTTTTGAGGAATTGGCAAACTGTTTTCCACAGAGCCGCATCAATTACATTCCCATCAGCAGTGTATGAGGGCTCACATTTCTCTCCAGATTCTTCAACCTTTGTTATTTTCTATTTTCCTGTTTATTACAGTCATCTGGGTGGGTGCGTATGATATCCTGTGTAGTTTTAATTTGCATTTCCTTAATGAATAATGACGCTGAATATCTTTTCCATGTGCTTATTGGCCATTTGTATTCCTTTTTGAAAAAAGTTTATTCAGATTTTTTCCATGTTTTAATTGGGTTGCTTATTTTATTATTATATAGTTGTAAGAGTTTTAAAATATATTCTGGATACTCATCCCTTATCAAATACATGATTTGCAAACACTTCTCTCATTATGTGGATTGTCTTCATTTCCTTGATGCTTGCAGTGCATAGGTTTTTAATTTTTGATGAGGTCTATTCTTCCTTTTGTCTCTTGTGTTTTTGGTGTAATATCTAAGAAAATATTACCTAACTTGAGGTCATCAAGATTTACTTCCACGTTTTCTGCTAGGAATTTTTTTAGGAAATTGACAAAGAATAATTGTTTATTCACATTGGGTAAAATGTGATGATTTAATGTAGGCTTAACTTGTTGAATGATTAAATCCAGTTAATTACGCTATCTATCACCTCAGGTACTTATAATTTTTTAATTTTGTTTATTTTTTGTTTTTGTAGAGACAGGGTTTCATTGTGTTGACCAGGGTGGCTTGAAACTCCTGGCCTCAAGTGATTCTCCCCACTTGGCCTCCCAAAATGCTGGGATTACAGGCATGAGCTACAGTACCTGGCCCTAAGGATTTTTAACATACAAGATCATGTCATTTGCAAATAGAAACCATTTTACTTCATCTTGCTCAATCTGAATGCATTTTCTCTTCTTGCCTAACTTTCCTGGCTTGAACCTCCAGAGCTATGTTGAATAGAGTGGTAAGAGTGAATATACTTATCCTGTTCCTGATGTTAGGGGGAGAGCATTCAATCTTTCACAATTAAGTATGATGTTAGCTATGAGTTTATTGTAGATGCTCTTTAACAGGTTGAGGAAGCTCTCTTCTGTTCCTAGTTTGTTCTTTGTACTTTATCATGAAAGAGTGTAGATTTTGTCAAATGCTCTTTCAATATCATTTGAGAGAATTACGTGACTTCCTCTATAGTCTAGTAATATGGTATATTATATTGATTGATTTTCTTATGTTGAACCAACTGCATCCCCGGGATAAATCCCACTTGGTCATGATGTATCATTGTTTTTTTTTTTTTTTTTTTTTCGGAGTCTCGCTCTGTCACCCAGACTGGAGTGCAGTGGTACGATCTTGGCTCACTGCAATCTCCACCTCCCGGGTTCAAGCAATTCTCCTGCCTCAGCCTCCCAAGTAGCTGGGACTACAGGAGCGTGCCACCATGCCGGGCTAATTTTTTGTATTTTTAGTAGAGACGAGGTTTCACCATGTTAGCCAGGATGGTCTCGATCTCCCGACCCCGTGATCCACCCACCTTGGCCTCCCAAAGTGCTGGGATTACAGGTGTGAGCCACTGTGCCCGGCTGATATATCATTCTTTATATATGCTGCTGGATTTGGTTTGCTATATTTTGTTGAGGATTTTTGAATTTATATTCATAAGAGATGTTGGTCTGTAGTTTTTTCTTTTTAATTTCTTGTGATATCTTTGATTTTGGTGTTAGGGTAATACAGACCTCAGAGTAAATTGGAAAGTTCTGTTTGACTTTTTTGAAAAGTTTGTGAATGATTGGTATTAATTCTTCTCTAAATGTTTTGTAAATTTTACTGTCTGGGTCTGGAGGGGCATTTCCAGTATATGAGCATTCCCCTTTCTCTGCATCCTTGCCAGCATCTGTTATTCTTTGTCTTTTTGATAAAAGCCATTTTAACCGAAGTGGGACATCTCAGTGTGGTTTTGATTTGCATTTCCCTGATGATAAGTGTTGTTGAACATTTTTTCATATATCCGTTGACTATTTGTATGTCTTCCTTTAATACATGGCTATTCAGACCTCTTGCCCATTTAAAAATCAGATTCTTTATTTTTCCCAGCAATACAATTACATACATATTGTTTCATGCCATGACTTTTAAAACCAGTTAAGGGGAGAAAGGGTAAGAAATAAGCGATTATGCTGTTTTTATAAGTAATTACACAATTACATATAAGCAATAATTATATAACATGCATACAAGTAATAATTACATAATTACATATGAACAATTATACCTTTCTTAGTGCTCTCCAGAGGGTGCAGCCCTAAGCATACGCACTGTCTCTCTAACTACTCCAGATAGTTATGGCATAAGCTGGCCTCTTTTTGACTGTCCTTTCCTTGATGTTTCTGTTAAGCTTCTGGCTTGTCTGCCTCTGTTGGTATCACTTGCATCTGTTAGACTCCTCTTATTGTTAATTGATTGCTCTATTCTTTTTAATAGGCCTATAGCACAATGCATAAATCATTTTGTGGGCTGATTAAAGTCTAGCTTCTTTGCCAAGTCAGAGTGTTGCCAGGGTTTGAGGCTGTCTCTCACTCCAGGAGGGCCCTTCTTAGTTATCTCTTTTTCTGATTATCTCTGTTAAGCTTCTGCCTTGTCTTTTTGTTTGTTGTTGCTACTGCAAGCCCTTTTTTGGTTTTTCAGCACCAAAATTTCCTTTTTTATTTTT
The DNA here is from genome assembly GCF_000001405.40 of Homo sapiens. Lineage (NCBI taxonomy): Eukaryota > Metazoa > Chordata > Mammalia > Primates > Hominidae > Homo > Homo sapiens. Next base: position 46,245,963 of record NC_000019.10, on the reverse strand, counting down.
TCAATGTCATTAAGCATCAACTTCTCCACACTCTTATTTCAAGTAAAGCCAGTTTTAGGGATACTTGTGGAGCTCTCTGTTCTGATGGCCTCCCTCTCCCCCGGGCAGAACCACTGAGCCGCTGGACTGGAGCTGGTGTCAGGGACAGCAGCTAGCTTCTCCTGCGGTGATGTCTTTCCTCTACAGCTAGAACACTGGGAGGGGGTGGTAGCTGTTCGTCTTCTCGGTTTGCCCTTTCTTGTGTGGAACCTCTGCCCCATGAGTGAACTCAGGCAGGATCAGTGAAGCCCAGTGTGCTTGACCTGCTAAACCTGGCGTGGAACTTCCACGCTAGGAGGAGGGGCTGGATGGGAGAAGGAGCCCCGGTGCTGCAAGCCACAATTTCTAACTAATATAGCACATCCGCAACATGGAGACAGCAGGATAAAAGATGCTGGTGCACTGCCCTTTCTGAACTGAAACTGTAGCCCTAGGCTGGGAGCTGGGGAGAGGTGGAGTCCCATTTTCTTGACTGTGACTGACCATAATAGAGCTTCAATTACAGAGTTGGCTGGGGATGTGGGGAATAGGAGTAATGTGTGGCTTAAATGCCCTCAGACTCTTGCTGCTGTTTACAGATTGAGTATAATGTCTTTTTCTTTTTCTTTCTTTCTTTTTTTTTTTTTTTTTTTTTGAGACAGAGTCTTGCTCTGTCATCAGGCTGGAGTGCTGTGGCGTGATCTTGGCTCACTGCAACCTCTGCCTCCAAGGTTCAAGGGATTCTCCTGCCTCAGCCTCCGAAGTAGCTGGGATTACAGGCATGCGCCACCACACCCGGCTAATTTTGTATTTTTAGTAGAAACGGGGTTTCTCCATGTTGGTCAGGCTGGTCTCGAACTCCCGACCTCAGGTGATCTGCTCTCCTCAGCCTCCCAAAGTGTTGGGATTACAGGTGTGAGCCACCGCACCTGGCTAACAGAATTTCTTGAATAAACATTTCTTCGTTTGCGATATGCCCTAAGGACAATTTCCAGAGACTTAATTAGTTGTTTTTATTAAAAATTTTTTTTCACCAGTTAAATGGTTGTTTTGCTGGGAGGAGGGCGCCCATGCTCTTCACACTGGCTTTTGGAAATCCTGCTTTATAGTTTGAAATCTTTTGCTTTTAAGTCTATGATCCATTTCAAATTAATTTTCACATTTGGTGTGACATAAGGGTCAAGATACATTCCCCCCATATAGATATCTATTAAAAGGACTAATGTCTGCCTGGTGAGTTGTAGTGGTACATTTGTCACAAATCACTGATTGTCTATGTGTGGATCTGTGTCTGAACTCTGTTTTTTTCCATTGATAAATTTGTTTACCTTATACAATACCACACCCTAAATTATTATAATTTCATAAAAATTCCTGATCTGTTAGTGTAAGTCCTATAACTTTGTTTAGTTTCTTCAATATTGTATTGTCATTTTCATTTTCTGTCATTTTCATTTTCTGATCCTTTTTTTTTAAATTTGTGCAAGTAGAGTCAGGGTGTCACTGTGTTGCCCAGGCTAGTCTTGAACTCCTGGGCTCAAGTGATCCTCCTGCCATGGCCTCCCAAAGTGCTAGGATTACATGTGTGAGCCACCACACCTGGCCATCATTTTCTGATAAATTTTAGAATCAGTTTGTTAACTTATACAAAATCTTGCTGTAATATTTGTTGAGTTTGCCTTGAATATATAGATCAATTTGGGGAACATTGACATCTTTATTACATTGAGTCTTCCAAAGCATAAATATGGTTTATTTCCCATTTGTTTAGGTCTTCTCTAACATCTTTCAGCAGAGTTTTGTAGAGGTCTCTCACCTTTCTTTAGATTTAATTCTAGGTATTTGTTATTTTTGATGTCATTGTAAATGGTAATGGAGAATTGACTTCTATCTAGAGCCATAAAACAAACCTCAACAAGTTCTAAAATTTTGAAATTTAACAGAGTGTGTTCTCTGACCATAATTTGATCAAACTAACGATTACAGAAAGATCTCCAAGCACTTGGAAGCTAAGCAACACAACTCTAAATAACTCATGGTTTAAAGATGAGTCTCAAAGATTTTTAAAAGTATATTTAACTTAATGAAATGAAAATACAATATATCAAAATTTGTGGAACATATATAAAGCAGTGCTAAGTGTGAAACTTATTGCACTAAATAGTTGTATTAGAAAAAAGGAACAATCAGGTAAGGCACAGTGGCTCAAGACTGTAATCCCTGCACTTTGGGAGGCCAAGGCAGGTGGATCACCTGGGATCAGGAGTTCAAGACCAGCCTGGCCAACATGGTGAAACCCCATCTCTACCAAAAATACAAAAATTAGCCGGGCATGGTGGCGGGTGCTTGTAGTCCCAGGTACTCGGGAGGCTGAGGCAGGAGAATTGCTGGAACCCAAGAGGCGGAGGTTGCATCGTGCCACTACACTCCAGAATGGGCGACAAGAGTGAAACTCCAAGAAAAAAAGAAAAGAAGAGAAAAGAAAAGACAAGACAAGGAAAGGAAAGAAAAGGAAAGGAAAGGAAAGGAAAGGAAAGGAAAGGAAAGGAAAGGAAAGGAAAGGAAAGGAAAGAAAAGGAAAGGAAAGGAAAGGAAAGGAAAGGAAAGAAAAGGAAAGGAAAGGAAAGGAAAGAAAAGGAAAGAAAGGAAAGAAGGAAGGAAGGAAAGGAAAAATCAATAATCTAAGCTCCCACAGCAAGAACCTAGAAAAAAATAAGAGAGCAAAATAAACCAAAGCAAGGAGAAGGAAGGAAATAATAAAGAGGAAAGCAGGGGTCATGAAAATTGAAAACAGAAAAACAGTATAGAAAATCAATGAAATAAAGAGTTAATTCTTTCAAAATATCAATAATGTATAAATTTTTGGCAAAACTATCAAAAACAGAAGACACAAATTATCAATATCAATAATGAGACAGGAGATAGCACTATAGGTTTTGCAGACACTAAAAGATTAATAATGGAAAACTAGGAATAACTCTACACAATTGGACAACTTAGATTAAATGGACCACCCACTTAAAAGCACAAATGAGCACAACACACCCAATATGAAATATATCATTTTAGTAGCCTTATAACTATTAAGGAAATTGAATTTAGAATTTAAAATATTTCCTAAAAAAGAAATCTCCAAGCCCAGATGGTCGACTTGAGGATCTACCAAATGTTTAAAGGGAAATTAACACCAGTTCTGTACCATCTCATCCAGAGAATAGAATAGGAAGGAATACTTCCCAATTTATTTTGTGAAATCAAATTACTCTGTTACCAAAACCATAAAAAGACAAAGAACAATGACAACAACCAAGCAATAAAACTATAGATGAGTATCCCTCATACAAAAATCCTTGGTTGGGCACGGTGGCTCACGCCTGTAATCCCAGCACTTTGGGAGGCCAAGGCGGGCAGATCACCTGAGGTCAGGAGTTTGAGACCAGCCTGGCCAACATGGTGAAACCTCATCTCTACTGAAAATACAAAAAATTAGCTGGGTGTGGTGGTGCACGCCTGTAATCCCAGCTACTCACGAGGCTGAGGCAGGAGAATCGCTTGAACTCAAGAGGCGGAAGTTGCAGTGAGCCGAGATCACATCACTGCACTCCAGCCTGGGCGAGAGGGAGACTCCATTTTTAAAAAAAAGAAAAATAAATTCTTGACAAAATATTTGTAAATGAAATTCAGCAATATAAAAAATAATTACACACCATGACTATTAGGCTTTATTCTAGAATGTAGGCCTGGCAGAATATTTCAAAAATCACTATCAATGGAATGCACCGTATTAACACGCAAAAGAAGAAAAATAACATGACCACATCAATTGATGCTGAAGAAGCATCTGACAAAATTTAACACCCATTCATGATAAAAACTCTCAGAAAAATAGGAATGGGGGGAACGTCGTTTAGGATTCTAAGAATGTGGTGAAGTTTACCGGTTGGGAAAAGGATGGAGCAGCTGTTAAAGATTAACCATGATTAAGATTAAGGTGATTAGGAAGGAGGAAGGAAGATAAGGAAGACTGGCAAGGAGAGAATAGGGGCACAGAATTGTTTTAGAGATAGGATTGGGCTTGAGTAGGTCTTGTTTTGTTTGCTTGCTTTGTTTTTTGAGACACGGTCTTGCTCTGTTGCCCAGGCAACAGATTTGGCCATTCAGGCAATTGTTTTTTATTGAAATAGCCTGCCTTGTTAACCACATTATTCCTTTATTTAGATGAGTTCATTAGTACATTTTATGTTTCTAGCCCTCTTTCTTAATAACCCAGTTCCATTTAAGCTATTTGGAATGTGAATTCTAAGATGTTTTGAATTCTTATCTCTTCATATGTGACTTCTGATTGAAGACGGCTTTTTTTTTTTTTTTTTTTTTTTTGATGGAGTCTTGCTCTGTCACCAGGCTGGAGTGCTATGGCGCAATCTCAGCTCACTGCAACCTCCACCTCCTGGGTTCAAGCGATTCTCCTGCCTCAGCCTCCCGAGCAGCTGGGACTACAAGCATGCGCCACCACGCCCAGCTAATTTTTTGTATTTCAGTAGAGACAGGGTTTTACCATGTTGGCCAAGATGATCTCGATCTCCTGACCTCGTGATCCACCCGCCTCAGCCTCCCAAAGTGCTGGGATTACAGGCGTGAGCCACTGCGCCCGGCCATTTTTTTTTTTTTTTTTTTTTTGAGATGGAGTCTGGGTCCCTTGCCCAGGCTGGAGTTCAGTGGTTCCATCCCGGCTCACTGCAACCTCTACCTCCTGGGTTCAAGTGATTCTCCTGCCTCATCCTCCCAAGTAGCTGTGATTACAGGCACATGTCACCATGCCCAGCTAGTTTTTGTATTTTTGTAGAGACGGGGTTTCACCATGTCGGCCAGGCTGGTCTCAAACTCCTGACCTCAAGTAATCCACCTGCCTTGGCCTCCCAAAGTGCTGGGATTATAAGCATGAGCCACCGCGACCAGCCTGACTTCTGATTCAAGACGGCTTTCATAACACTTGTTTATCTACCTTAGATTCCTTGCTTAATCATTATAATTACAGCCTGCTGATTTCCATTGTCCTTTGTCTCCCCACTGTTTGGTAAGACTCATTTAGGAAAACCACAGCCTTATCTAAATCCAGTTCTCCACCTATACTCTTCCTACATCTTTGAAACCATATATGGCTAGAGAAAAATACAAAACACATTGACTTGTAGTGAGCCAAGGTGTAGCCTGCCAGTGGTAGAAAAATCTGGCTGCAATGGGCCAGATGGGGAATCAACAGGTATACAGCTTCACTGTAGCGAAAATAGTGTGTAGTAAGAACACAGAACACCTGCTTAGAGCTATATCATTGTTAGATAAATGCCGATAGCAATATTACACGTATTAGTCTGTTCCCATGCTGCTAATAAAGACATAGCTGAGACCAGGGTAATTTATAAAGGAAAGGGGTTTAATGGACTCACAGTTCCACATGGCTGGGGAGGCCGCACAGTCATGGTGGAAGACGAAGGAAGAGCAAAGGTATGTCTTAGGTGGTGGCAGGCAAAGAGAGAAAGAGCCGAGAGAAAGGGGAAACCACGTATAAAGCCATCAGATCTCGCGAGACTTATTCACTACCGCAAGAATAAGTCTTATATGGGGAAACTGCCCCAAGGATTCAATGATCTCCCACCGGGTCCCTCCTACAACATGTGGGAGTTATTGGAGCTACAATTCAAGATGAGATTTTGGTGGGGACACAGTGAAACCATATCATTACACAATGCATAATAATGTTCATGCGCTTCTTAACTGATAACACAGAGTCGGGGAAGCCAGAGGGGATTCCCCTGAGTGTCTCCCTGAGATGCTCGGGGAAGGTGTAATTTACTTATACCTTCCCCAAGTAAAGAGAAGCAGCTGTAAAATGGAGACGACTCCCCAGAATTGCCAGAATTGAATCTTTTCAAATATTTGTATGATGGCTTTCTAATAAAGGGCACCTAGCTGAGATCTTTGCTAACGTCTTGCAATACTTGGTGGAGCAAAAAACATTCCAAATTGATTTCAAGAGTTGTCTGTTTAAGTAGTAGAAATCAAGTGATTAAGCTCATTGTCTGAACATTCTGTGTGGCCACAAGGGAGACACAAGGACTCCATGGCACTGTATGGGAGGTATGAAAACGAAATAGAGATAGCTAAACGACATGCCCAGGGCAGCTCGCCAAGTAGATGCAACCAGAGAGAGCAAGAATCAGAATTTGTACTGAGAAAATGACTGAACTTAGTTAGACTGTACCATTCATGAGAATGACATGGAAATGCACATTCCAGAGTACTGTATCTTGATTTTCCCTGCCTCTATTTTCTGTCGGGGCAAATTAATTCTGAACACAGTTCATGGCTGTCTTCTTTTCCTTAGGCTCAGCATAGCTGTCAACAGTCTCCCACCTTGTAGGGACAGCCTGCTGTTTCTCATATTCCATAGGTCTAATCTATTGTTGACTTACCCAGCCTCTCAAGGAGAAAATGCCAGTGCACTTACTTTATCTTTCGATAACTCCCTTCCTGAACTCCTTATCAATATGAAACTCACCCTGTTGAAAGACCTAGATGGAAGATATTACAAGGAACCAACAGGAAATTCAGGAAAAGTGAGAATTTTTTTTTACCAAATGATAAGTTTTATAAGATAAGAATGAAAAGTAGTTGCTATACAGGTAAAATTGGTGCAAATAATATATTGTTACACCAGAAGGAATTTGATGCTCTGAAAAAATTTAACCAGGAATCTGCTTTGCAAAAAAAACTCAACATTGCATATGATGAAGATTAATGATATAAACACCCTTAATTCAAAAGGTCTTATTTTTGCTTTGGGTTAAGCATGCAGAAATCTGGAGTAGTCCTTGGCAGGGAATGTTCTTGCTGTTGACTCCAGAGATGTGGACTTTGGAAGTAGAAGGCATTAACCTGGCTCTAATTGAATGGTTATATAGTCTAAGGTAGAAGAAATTGTGTAAAGCCTAATGGCCAAAAGTGGCAAATTGTCCTGATTATCAAGGGGGGAATTGGGTAGCTACCACACAATGGGCAGAAGAGAGTATAACTATACCACTCACACAAGGCATTCTGTGGGATGCCTCTTAGAACTCCCACGTCCCATAGTAAAACATGGGAAAACTATAACAATTCATTACAGAAAAGACTCCTAATGGCATATATACTTCAAGAATGAAGACGTGGGTAATTTCACCAGGTTAAAAATCACAACCAGAGCAAAGCAAAGTCCTCTGTGAATATACAAGGAGGCCACAAGAATAAATAAAGAATAGCATGGCTGGAGGGAATAGACACAGAGAAGGGGTTGGACTACCAATCTGGGAAGTGGCAAGGGAAACTGAGTTGCTCACAATATCCTCTATTCACCTTATCTTTTTCATATATGGAGTTGTAGAGAAATCATATCTACAACAAGAGAGGGATGTAAAACAATTCTATTAAAGAGAGAACTAGGCTGCAGTTGGGACAAGAAAATGTTGGGAATTACTAGGGAGATACTTAGACAATGCATGGGAGGCCTACTTAAGATGGAAATGAGGTTTCAGGTGATAAAGTGGAAAAAAATTCAAAAAATGGCAGCACTCTAAGCAAGTTAAGGAGAACATCTGATGCAAGAGGTTGGTTTGTGGAAGGAGACAGAAAGACAGTGAATCAACTGAACTTAAACTAATGGTACTGCATGTAAAACTTGAAGACTGAGTTCAAGGTCCCAATGAATATACATTTTTTTTTTTTTGAGATGGAGTCTCGCTCTGTCACCCAGGCTGGAGAGCAGTGGCTCGATCTCGGCTCACTGCAACCTCCGCCTCCCAGGTTCAAGCGATTCTCCTGCCTCAGCCTCCCGAATAGCTGGGACTACAGGCACGTGCCACCATGCCCAGCTAATTTTTGTATTTTTAGTAGAGATGGGGTTTCACCATGTTGGCCAAGATGGTCTCGATCTCATGACCTCGTGATCCGCCCACCTCGGCCTCCCAAAGTGCAAATATAAATTTTAATTATGTACTGAGTTTGGAGTTTATAGACCCTAAACTGCATTCTAACAATGGAATGATTGATTTTTTCGGGGAGAGAGGGAGAGGGTGATTCATGTAAGGATGAAGAGAAGACAATATAGTCATTAAAAAACAAAAAAAAAAAATCACAATCAGATGAGGTGGTTGCTGAGAGCAAAGAGATTATAGAATGGAGTGAAAAACATTTTTTTTTCGGGTGGAGTTTTGCTATGTTGCCCAGGCTGGTCTTGAAATCCTGAACTCAAGTGAGCCTCCTACCTCAGCCACCTGAGTCGTGGGAATTACAAGCATGTGCCACTGTGTCTGGCTTGAAAGAGGAAATTTTTAAATGCCAGCTTTAGCCTCTAGGCCAGCTGCTGAAACAAGGACTAAGTTGGACTTTTATATAATCTTCCTCACTTTGAGGTGAACATATTTTATTTATTTTTTTCTTTTTTTCAGACAGGGTCTCACTCTGTCATGCAGACAGGAGTGCAGAGGCGTGATCTCGGCTCACTGCAACCTTTACCTTCGAGGCTCAAGTGATCCACCCGCCTCAGCCCCCTGAGTAGCTGGGACTACAGGCGTGTACCACCATGCCTGGCTAATTTCTTTTTTTATTTTTTGGAGAGATGGGGTTTCACCGTGTTGCCCAGGTTGGTCTCGAACTCCTGGACTCAAGCGATCCTTCTGCCTTGGCCTCCCAAAGTGCTGGGATTACAGACATGAGCCAACATGCCTGGCCTATGTGAATATTTTCTATGTTAACTGATTCCGTTGCTGTTTGTCTCAATGCCTTCATACTCCTCTATCAAGTATTGGTTTATATTGTTTGATTCTTGGTATTTACAGTATGAAATAGTAAGAGAGGTTGTTAATCATCTGGGAGATGGACAATGCATTTTCAAACCCCTCTTCTCTAGAGAAGATTAAAAGTCTTTGGGTGGTAAAACTGATAGTTGCATCACATTACTTGGAAAATGGTATTGTTGCTGCCTTTATTTTGAAGTTGAAAATGGCTATAATGGGTGTCAATACATGCTTATCTTTGAATGGGGTGGACTGTGCTAGACTTTCTATTATCACCTTGTCCCCAACACCCACTCCCTTCTGAGATGGGAACCACATTTTCCAGAATCACTTCCCCTATATGGGGCCCAGAAGGTGAATTGCATGATGTGAAAAATTCAGGGATAATGGGCACTATCATCATGTCCTCATGCAATTCACGTTCTGACCCCTCATAAAGCGACTACATTAGTCCATTTGCATTGCTAGAAAGAAATACCAAGGCTGGGTAATTTATAAAGAAAAGAGATTTAATTGGCTCGTGGTTCTATAAGCTGTATACAGGAAGCATGGTGCCTGCATCTGCTTCTAGTGAGGGCCTCAGGAAGCTTACAATTATGGCAGAAGGCAAAGGAAGAGCAGGCATGTCACATGGCAAGACAGGGAGCAAGAGAAATGTCAGACTCTTGTTACCAGCTCTTGCACAAACCAACAGGGTGAGAACTCACTTATTACTATGGGGAGGGCACCAAGCCATTTGTGAGGAATCTCCTCCCATGACCAAAACACCTCCCCAGGCCTCACCTCCAACATTGGAGATCACATTTTAACATGAGAGTTGGAGGGGACAAACATCCAAACTGTATCACAGACAAGGGCAGGTATTTGTAAGTTTTCAAAACCAGAGCTAGACTGTGCCCCAACCACAGATGCTGTGCCAGATGTTGTATCTTTATTGGGGCAAATCAAAACAGTGTTTGATCCTTGGTAGGCAATTATTGATCTGGCAAATGTGTTCTTACCAAAACCCTTCAGTAGGAGTGGAATTCTGCTTCCAGAAAGACGAGGTAGGCATATGTTTCCATATCTCTCCTGCTCAGTACAGCTATAAAACAAGCATAAGAAGACTCAGAAAGGTAGGGTAAGAAGGCAGACGAAGGGAGGACCTTGGGACCACAGAAATGGCAGAGCAGGGAGTTTCCCTGAGTTTTCTTTTTTGCCTCATATATCCTAGATGCAACTCATGAGAAGCTGGAGGACCTGGAGAAGCTGGCAACTCAAAAAGGCCAAAGGGTGCAGACAATAAAAGCCCCAGACAAGCGTATAGAACCACACGCCGTCTTTTTACTTGCCGTAAGTGTCATATTTTTCTTCTTTAATGTCACATAAGAGCAATATTTCCTTCAGGTATCTAATCACAAGAACCACTGCAAATTCTAGATCCATGAGATCAGTCTTTCTGTGGAGAATTCATGTAGAGATCCCTGATCACACACTTGTCAAATAGAAAGTTTCCCAGAAAATCAGATACCATGTGTTATGAAAGAAAAGAAAGTATCTAGTCACTAAACACCTAGTTTAGAATAAAACGCCAAACACCCAGTTTAGAATAATTTCCCAAAAAGTGTTTTCCTAAAGTAACTGAAATTTTGAAAATTGTATGAGGAGAAAGTACATTTGATTTCTTCCTTTCTCTGACTCTTGCATCCTTCATTTTCCTTCTGCCTGTGTTAATCCCCCAGGACTGCCATAATCAAGGGCACCAGAGGGGTGGCTTGAACAGGAGAAATTCAGTTCCTCACAGTTCTGGAAGCCAGAAGTATGAGATCAAGGTGTTGGCAGGATGGTTTCTTCTGAGGGTCTATCTCTTGGCTTATCCATGGCCAACTCCTCCCTGTGTCTTCACATGGCCTCTGTGTGTGTGTCTGTGCCCTAATATCCTCTTCTTATAGGGACACCAGTCAGCTTGGATTAGGTCCTGCTCATATGACCTCATTTTACCGTAATCGCCTTTTCAAAGACCTTATCTCCAAATACAGTTATATTCAGAGATACTGGGGTTAGGACTTCAACACATGAATTTTGCGGGAGACATAGGTCATCCCATATTAATGCCCAAACAAAATTTATTACTTCACATAGTCATGCCCCAAATGAAAATTAAACAACCCAAAATTAAATAGAATTTTTAAATTTCATCATTTCTTTATTATTATTATTATTATTTTTTGAGATGGAGTCTCACTCTGTTGCCCAGGCTGGAGGACAGTGGCATGATCTCAGCTCACTACCAGCGCCACCTCCTGGGTTCATGCCATTCTCCTGCCTCAGCTCCTGAGTAGCTGGGACTACAGGCGCCCGCCACCACACCCGGCTCCTTTTTTGTATTTTTAGTAGAGACGGGGTTTCACCATGTTAGCCAGAATGGTCTTGATCTCCTGACCTCGTGATCTGCCTGCCTCAGCCTCCCAAAGTACTGGGATTACAGGCATGAGCCACCATGCCCAGCCGATTTCTTTGTTTCTTTTTTTTTTTTTTACTATTAATGTTATTTTTTATGAGAGAGAGCACGCCAAGTATTGCTATAAATATTAGGATTAATTCTATTGATGTGCTTCATGATCATGTATATTTTATGAAGATTTATTAGATCAAAAATTACAAGATTTATCTTAAAGTAATCACTCTTATATTAACTGTATATTTTAGCACTGTTTTTATCTATTGGAATATTTTCATAGCTATAGTTATTAAAATTCACCATAATCATTAATTAGAGCCATAATTACACTTTTATAATAAATATACATTTATACTTTAACCGATGGATAAAACATCAACCTAAATATCCAAAAGGAAATTTTTAATCAAGTGACTTCTAGGAGGGTGTCTGTTCTGACGGTGGCTATTCAGGAACAAAGAGCAAATCTGAAGAAAAGGCCTGGTTCCCACTCTGGCCACACCTGTTGCCACACTGATGGGATGTGCTGATCACAGCAAGATCACAGTCAGGATAAGTGTGGGGCCAGCAATGGCCTTGCTCAAGGCACTTTGTGCTTAGGACACGTGACAGCCTGTGTGGTGTGTGTGTGTGTGTGTGTGCGTGTGTGTGTGTGTGTGTTTGCTTCTGTTTTTCTGTGGGTAAATACATGACCCAGAAATTTCTCAAAATAAGTTTATTCTTACTACATAAGATCCACTCCATCACAGCTCTTTGTGTTCTGCTTTCTTGTTTATTGGATACCTCTTCAGGCCCAGGGCGGCTCATGGAGGAGACAGGGACTCTCCCCAGGTCGAAGGCCCAAGGCCTGGATGATGGGGTGGGGCCCAGGATGGGTGCCAGGGGTCTGGAGGACATGAGTGGATGAAGGCCCCGGGCTTCAGCTTCCTCTTGGTGGAATGTGGGTGATGAGGTCCGACCATGCAGCGCTGCTGTGAGGACCGGATGAGAGGATCCCTGGGAGGTGGCCGGTGACTTGGTACCGTCACCTCAGTGACTGTTCTTCGTCCTCATGGATGTTCAGAGAAGACTTGCCCACTCTCTCCACCAGATACAACCAATAAAACCTCTGAAAATTTCAGCCGAACTTTATAGCACTTTCATTCTTTTCCAATTTATTTGACGCTATTTAAATCAGACCTAGTGATTCTGGGATGCCTGAGATTCCTGTCCCTTAGAAGGGACGTCAGGTGCCTTCTGTGCGCACACGTGGCATTTGGGCGGGAACCCAGAGCCCCGACTCTGGGCTTGTTGGACTGAGATCCAAGGAGGGATTCACTACATTGGTGTAAGGTGCGGTCTGTGTTTCAGATTCTTGTGCCAGATGAGGTGATGCTTTGATGTCAATACCTCGTGTTGGGGGAAGGTTGGGGATCTGGACCAGTGGTCTAGGGGGCCTGTATGGGGCAGGACCCAGACACCTGAGGATTCCAGGTTTAAGAAGGGCGGGGCTGAGCGAGGCCTCTCGGCGCGTGTAGGTGCCTTGGGCACCTACATCCTGCTGTGCGGCTTCAGTGGGGGCGTCCAGGGCGGGGTCTGAGCTGGGAGACCCGCCTCTCTCCTGCTCTCACGGAGTCACTTAAAACTTTTTAGTTTTCCACTTAAATGACCAAATGAGATCATTTCATGGGGTGGTGGGGGGAGTGCAGGCAAGGAGAGTCACATGTGGACAGGGTGAAGGTTTAGGACGCTCACTGTGGAGGATGAGGAAGCAGCCACCCCGTGGGTGGGGTGGGTCTGTCGCTTTCTAGGCGCCAGCACAGCTCTCACGCCCTGCAGAATCCTAGCATGGGGAGGCAGAGCTCACCCAGCATTGGGTGTGCTCCCACTGATAGGCCCTGAGCTAGGGTTAGGCCTGTGAGACAGGGCATTTGCCCTGTGATGCCAGATTGCTGCCATGGTGATGTGCCGGGTCCAGAGTTCCCGCACGTGCAGACACCTGGCCACCGGGCCCGTCTGGGGCCACTGAGGCGAGGCTGCCAACTGTGGGGCGATGATGGAACCCTTTGAGTCAGAATCTGCCCAGGGAAGCCATCGGGCAGTCCGGGAGCCTGGGTTGGCCTCGGATGACTGAGGCCCAGGGACGCAGGCCCTGTGCAGACCCCCTGGCCCTGAGAAACAGGACCCAGAAAGGTGGTGGCTTCTTTGACTTTGGGGAATCCAGGTTGGTGGAGACCCTAGGGCTGAACGCTCCCTAAGGAACCTGCTTCTGGGTTGGGTAAGCAGCAGCGTGGCCCCCTCCCTGCGATCTATTCCACATCAGCACTGGCCACGAGGGTTTGTCCCTGGCACAGGGCCTGAAGAATGTGCTTCAGGTGCCTTGGCCAGCCTTTGCTTCCTCCTTCCAAACCCGAGGGCTCCTCCATAGCCCACATCCTCCACACCCCGCCCCACCCACTCCCTCTCAGGCTCCAGCTTTGGCCCAAAGTCAGACTAAGTGTGGCATCTCTGGGCGTTGGACCTGCCCAGTGGGTTTTCCACGATCCCAGGGGACGCGTGCCTGGGATGGGTGTGTGGCAGATCAGGTTTCTGTTAGCGACCAGAAGAGTCAGTTTCCACTAAACTTTATTTTTGATGAATGCATACCTTAAACATTATAGAACTGGATAAACTAGTGCCTGGGGATGAGGGCGGGAATGAGAAAACAAGCCCATTAAAACCCCAGCTGGGTTTTCTCAGACCCTAAAATCTGATCAAATAATAATAGCATTCTTCCACATATTCCTCATACTGGGGTCCATTTAAGATTAAGAAACTTTCCAAGACTCTGGAGAAAGCTTTCCAGACCCTGGACACTAGTTAAAGATTAGATATTGATAAGAATGAAACACGCTGTCTTGCAGGTGCACTCCGCACATAGGCGTGGAGCTTAGAATGCATATAAGCACTAGAAAAAGAAGTTTGTAGCTTTGAGTTGGTCTGGTAAGCTACTCTGACCTTCTCCCCATAGCCAGTTGGAGAAAGAACCTCCGTTCTTTCCCAGTCTGTCTGCATCTCCTTAACGTACATCAAGAACAAACAGCCGGGTCCTGTTCTGTCCCAGAACTGGTGGGAGAGGGAGTGCCTCTCCGAAGCCCTCTCGCGATCCCCACCTCCTCCCCACCCCACCTGGGCTGCTCCCGATGTTGTGACTGGGTTCAGGGAGCCATGGGGTGGTGGAGGCTGGTGTAGGAGGGTGGCCCCTGTCCCAGGTGCGGCCAGGGTCCTAGTCACCGAGCACAAATAACAAAATAATAAATTTAAAAATAAATGGAAAAAGAGAAAATAAGTGTGTGCACGAACAGAACAAATGGAAAGGCCCAGATGCCTCAGGGTGACAGAGAGAAGGGGCCCCACGTCACCCTCTGTGACCCCTTTCAACAGTCCAAGCTCTCTAATTCATGAATTCTACAGCATTCATTTATAAAGTACATAAATTTATTATGATCCTGTGCTTTGCTCCTGGATAGAAGAGAACTTGAGATGATGGAAAATCTCACAGAAGGGTGAAGGGTTCCCCAGCCAGCCTTGGGGTGGTGCCGGGTTGATGTTGGCCATAGGGGTCATCAGGAGGGTTCAGAGTCCCTGGGCCCCCATCAGCACACGCATCTCATGCTGTCCAGAATTCTAGAAGGGGACCTGTGGGCCTCCTCAGGGCAGCTGCAGGGTGGGCCTCAGACAGGTCACAGAATGAAGTGGGCAGTTGAGTGTGTGTTTCTCTGGCCCCCAAACAGCCACTCAGCATCCCAGATCTCAGGTAACACCAGCCTCTTTCTCCAGGCCCACCCAGGAAGGAGAATCCAGGAGTCATCGTTCCCCTGATGTTCCATTAGCTGACACTGGAGATAGTGACAGAGAGAGACACTGAGCGGGACAGAGATGGCCAGAGATGGGGGCGAGACTGAACATGGGCAGAAATGAGGACAGGAGAGCCAGGAGGAGAGGACAGCGGGGTAGAGAGAGTGAGATTCTGAGAGGGAAATAAAAATGGATGGAGACACAGGTGTAGGGAAAGGGAGAGGTGGATTGAATAGAAGCAGGGGGCAGAGACAGGGAGACAAGGAGAATGGGGGCTCCACCCAGGGCAGAACAGGCATGCAGCTACCCTGCACCCACAATCCCACGGAGGGGACAGGACTCACCTGCGACAAAGCCTGTCATCCGAGGTCCGGGCTGAGTCGCAGTTCTGGTTTATCAGCTTCACCATGAAGGTCCAGGGGCAGCACTGCTCAAAGCAGACTCTGAAGGTGCAGTTTCCACACGTCTGGGTCCTGGCCAAGGGCACGACGGCATCATCATAGCAACAGTGCTGCAGGGGGTCGTAGAACTTGTCCCCACATCTCTTGTGTGGCTGGCACAGCATCAGGTAAGGAGTCATGGGGGCCACTGGAGGAGACAGAGCTGGTGAGATCCAGGAGGTAGTGGCAGGTGGGTCCCAGCCTGGGGTCCCCTGGAAGGTGTACCCCTCCTCCAGCTTCCCAAACACTCCTGGGCTCACCTGGGGCTCCGTGTGAGCAGAGGAGCCTGGAGATGCAGAAAATGGCAAAGACAGCTGTGGGAAAGGGAAAGGGAAGATGGGGTGAGTGGACAGCCACAGATATGACTGGCACTGACATTTAGAAGAAGACTGGGTGGAACCAGGGCTCGGTATGGCTTTGAGCAGCTCAGGGACTGAAACAGGGCTGTGGATGGGGCTGATCTGGGCACTATGGATGGGGAATTGCTGTGAGCAATTCACGCCTGGAGATTTGGCTGGGCATGGGAACAGGGATGAGGTGTAGTTTGGGGTAGGGAGAGAGCCCTGGTGGTGGCTGAGATTGGAGATGGGCTCAGGTGGGAATGGGGTCCTGTCCTCCTTACCTACGATGCAGCCTCGGGGAGCCATGGCTCTGGGTGGTTGCAGTGGAGTGAGGAGGGGATCAGCAGATCTCAGCCACTCCTTTTATCCCATATTTCTAGTGGAGCTGGTGATGTCATGGCATTTCCTGCCCTCCTGCAAGTCCTGCAGAGACAGGCTGGGTCCTTGGGCAGGAGAGGTGCCAGGCAGGGTACGTGTCATTGTAGCTTTGATCTCACCTTTGTAATCAGGAGAGAAGCGGTACACCCTCCACCTTCTCTGTGCTATGTGCCCCAATCGTCCCCCACACTGAGTCCTCTGGAAAATAGGAAGGTTCAGGATGCTCCTGGCATTAACACTCTCCGACACTCACATGTCCACACAGCGATTCCACAGGATCCTACTGAGCTATGACTTTCCTCAGTTTCCTTGGGACATTGCTAACCCATGACATCATTTCAAAGGGTCCCATTAGGTCCCAACCTCACAACCGAAACACATGGTCAAGAATCCAGTAACTTCTCAGTCACCTGCAGCTCATGGCATTCAGGTGGGAGAGACTGTGTGACTCAGGCACCTGACTTTCACAGGTTTGGAAGGTGGGAGTGGAGCTGGCGGGACCCCTGGGACTCAACACTCCTCTGGGGGCTCTTCATCTCCTTCTCTGTCTCATTAATGGTCATTTACCCAGGACAGGTCCACTTGGGAGCCTACATGTCCCAGGCTTCGTGTCAGACACCAGTGATGCAGTGCTGAGTAGAAAACGCAAAGTCAGTGTCTTCGTGACGTTCATGACAGTGAGAGGAGAGAGAGAGAGAGAGAAGGTAGGAGAATAAAACTCCTGATTTTGGTTATTGTCGTTCTTGTGTTTGGTGTCATTATCACTGTGAAGTTCTGGTGGAGAAATTCCACATCCCCCCCTGAGATTCTCAAAGGTGTTTTTCCTTAATGTGCTTTTTCAGAGGGTTGGGTTGTGATTTTCCCTGAGAAGAGCCATCTTGGGGTCAGGATGTGAGGACAGAGGGGAAGGAGCTGTTTTGGGTCAGTTCTGTGCCCCCCTACCCCTGCCCAGCTTCTGCAGGAATTCCTCCGCTCAAGCTCACAGGCCACACATGGCATGGACAAGCCGTTCTCCTCCGGGCCAGGCAAGGTGACCTGTCACCCTCTAGGCACCATGGCTGGCTCCTAGCAGGGCATGGATGTGGTTAGATTTGTGTGTGTGGAAGATCCTGCATCTGTGTTCCTGGGGAGCACGGATAGGGGCTTCTCTCTGGAGGCAGGAGACACAGGAAGAGGCTGCAGAGAAATGACTTCAATAAATACCAGAGTGCTCAGCACCCACCTTCTCCCTCGACAGAGCAGACCCTGCTTCCAGCACCATCTCCCTGTCTGCTCCCTTGGCCTCTGTTCCTTGCTGCTGTGGGGTACAGCAGTGTTTTCTAGGACACAGATTAGGATGTGCTAGTAGCATGGAAAATCAATTTACTTGGGCATAAACAATGTTATTTTTAAGTGAAGAAATGGGTTAGAAAATGGGACAGTGTGCATTCAACAGAATGCTGTGCTCAACTGTTTATGACACTTTAAAAAAAATTATTTATTTTTTTGAGATGAAGCCTTGTTCAGTTGCCCAGGCTGGAGTGCAGTTGCACGATCTTGGCTCACTGCAACCTCTGCCTGCCAGGTTCAAGTGATTCTCCTGCCTCAGTCTCTGAGTAGCTGGGATTACAGATGCCCGCCAACACACCCGGCTAATTTGTGTATTCTCCATAGAGATGGGGTTTTACCGTATTTGCCAGGCTGGTCTTGAACTTCTGACCGCAAGTGATCTGCTCACCTCAGCCTCCCAAAGTGCTGTGATTACAGGTGTGAGCCACTGCGCCCAGCCTGTTTAGGACCCTCTTATTGGGACTGTGTATATTCCAAGTAATGATAGAATATTATTATATTGTTCTATCGTATGATATTATTATATGATAGCATAGCACATATCTAGAACTAGATATCTAGTTTCTGGAGGGAGTCACAGCCAAATGGTGAGGACACTTGGGAGCACAGAAGCCTCCAGGATCATCTCCTTCTTCTCTAAGAGCCACTGACATGTCTCCCCTTTGATGTCTTCCATAAAGGGGTAGAGTTCTCAGGTCCTTGGTTCC
Organism: Homo sapiens; assembly: GCF_000001405.40. Lineage (NCBI taxonomy): Eukaryota > Metazoa > Chordata > Mammalia > Primates > Hominidae > Homo > Homo sapiens. The sequence goes on along the minus strand of NC_000019.10, from coordinate 46,227,666 downwards.
AGGCATTTTCTGGGAGGCTGCAGTGGAGCCCTGCACTGGTCTTACTGTCTCTACCAAGAAGAGGCAAGGCTGCCTGCATATGAGCCAGAGTGAGAGAGTGGAGCACCTTCCCCAGGGCAGGGGCAAGGTGGGCACCTCTGAGGAGGGAGGAGTCCAGCTGCTCCTTCCTGGCCTCTCAGAGCAGCTGAGTCAATGCAGCATCTGGAAGGTAGAGGGAGATTTTAGCAGATCATGGAGGCCTCGGAGGCTGGGACAGTGTGAGGCCAGTGGGCACCCGTCCAGGGCTCCCTGGACACTAAGAGCCCCCAATTAGACATGAGGAGGCTTTAGGGTCAGTCAGCCCTGCGTTCAAACCCTGTCCCTGCACCTTCCTAAGGTGTCAGAAGAGTCTGTGCACACAGCCATGTCCAATCCCGCCACCAATCCCTCGGAGTCCCCCTTCCTAACATGCCCACTCTGGAGCGTCCACGTCTGGGCATGGGTCTGTCTTCTGCCTGGGGACCCAGATGTGTGAGGTGGGACCAGGATTTCCCAGTGGAAGCCTGTCCTCAAGTGTCTGGAGAAGATCCCAGGTGTCTGGACAGTAAATGTAAACCCTGACCTCAAACGACCATCACCATCATTCTCTCACCCACTTCCTGGATCCAAGCAGGACACGGGCTGAGGTTCTGCTGCTGGTTGTCAGTGACACAGGCTGGGCCAGGACCCAGGTCTCCTGACCTCCTACCCAAGGGCTGCCAAACTCCCTAGGCCTGGCCCCTCTGGGAAGGGCAGGAAGGCTCTGTTCACAGACACTCCTGGAAGACACCCAGGTCTGATGTTCCCAGGGCTCCCGGGCAGGGCTGGCAGATCTTGGCTTCTGGAATGTGAAACCCCGGAGGACGCTGGCATTTCCCGCTGTCAGCAGCTCCCCCACTGCTTGCCCTTTTACGCCAGGAAAAAATAGGAATCTCCCTCCTGGCAGCTTTGGAGTGGCCTTTCCATCTGCCCTCAGGGAAGCCCTGCTAGGAAACAGGTGGGAATGAGGTGGAATTTCAGGTGTGCAGGTATGTAGAAGGAAGGCCGGGTTTCCCCAGGCCGGAGGCCCCTCTGCTGCTGGCTGACAAGGACGGGTCTGTGTGAGTCATTTTCTCCAAACACAATGTTGGGATTTCAGAAGCTCCCTGCAAGGGGGGTTTCTGTTGACCAAAGCCTGATCCCTGCTCTGGCAGGATCCTTCGTATGATGCAGACCAGTGAATTAAGAGCCTCCATGTCATAGGAGGGGCTGGAGGAGAGGCCCCAGGGTTTGCCACCAGGAATGAAGCTAGAACAATTAAGATCCGGATGCCAGTTCTGTGGCTAGAATAGTGTCTCAGCAATTCAGGGCCATCACCTGGACATGAGATGTTCCTGTGGCTACACCGAGAGACACAATGGCTGCGCTGCCCAGAGATTCAAATGCATCCAGAACCCCAGCTACAAGGTCCTCTGGGAAGGAAAGTGTGAAGCTTCCAGCCTCTGCAGGCAGAAGGTCCTGAAGATGTAGGCTGGATTCCAAGTGTCCACACCCACATCCTGCACACCCTCCCTGGTTCTCACTGCCCTTGGCTTAACACAGCTAATTGGGAGAGCCACAGCGTCACCCCTGCTTCTGCACCCAATACCCCATCCTTCTTCATTCTTCTTCTTTTACTTAAATGTCACCCATCCTCTGAAATCTTCTCGAGCATCAAGGCTGAGGTCAGTCACCTGTTACCTCCTGATAGCACTGTGGTTGTCATCTGCCATGCCCTCACCACAGTTCTTTGTGGCTTTTCTGTTAAGGCAGACACCCAAAAATCAGGTCTCTGCTGTGGTTTCTGATCATCAGCAGGAAGTGAACAAGTCTTTTCAGTGACCAAATTGATCGAAGGCTTTATTTTTAGTTGAACCAGAGCAGACCATTCAGCACCAGAGGTCTGGACAGTTCTTTTTGTTCTCCCGCCAACACTCTCCACCAGTTAAATACACATTTTTGCTTAACTTTTCATGTGTGTATGTGTGTGTGTTTTCAAGTGTGCAATTCAGTGGCATTTCACAATATTTCGCAATTGTCCGTGATAATCTGAGCAAAAAACTTTATAATTATTTCCAGACTCTCAAATACATTATGACCCCAGGACAGTTAAGACCACAGAACCTCCTCTGTGAAAAGGTTTTTCCTCCTCTGCTCTACAGGAATTTAATCTCCTTCCTGTGTGAATGAATGTGCTTGTTCTGAGGAGAAGGAAGGAGGGTTCCTCTGAAAAAAGTCATTTGGGATCCAAATTTGGAGATGTTCCCTTTAGGGAGGCTGACACACTCTTGTCAATTTTTGCTTTCCCTTTTCTTTGTGATTGTGTGTAACCCACGTGATGAAGTCACAACTATTTTTCCTAGTAGTTTCAGCCAAGGGATTTATAAACGTAGTAAGCTGGAAGGCTCTGAGTCTCACCCGTCCCTACCCTCTCCTAGCAGGTGGTTGATGCTGTTGGCAGCCTGGGCTCCTGCAGCCCTGCATGTGGCTGTGTCCTGTGTTAGGAGGGCTAAGCGGGGAAAAGGTGGGCTGTGGAGTCCAGCTTTAGAGCGTCCCCCATGCATCTGACTCTGTAGGGCACAGCTGAGAAGCAGCTTCACAGGGAAGCCCTGGGGCTGTCTGGAAGACAGGGAGGTTTGGAGACCTGCAGGCAACAAGTCTCACCAAGTCACCATGACAGGACAGACAGGTTGAGTGAGACACACCCTGAACATAGGGCTTTCATCGTCAATTCACTTTTTTCATTCATTCATTTAATACACCCTGTGCACTTCCTCTGTGCTAGTGGATTCTATGGCCACAGTTGTGACTTAGTTCCAGGTCCTGCCCTCCTGGTTTTCATAGTCCAGGGAGGACAGAGACACCTCTCCAAACAGTGATGACCCAGGATGAGCAAGGCTGGGAGCAGTGCCCAGGGCACCAGAAATGGCTTCCTGGAGGAGGGCACCAGGAGACAATCATTGGATGGCTCTGGCTTTCCCACCTTTCTTCTTGCCCAGAGTTCCCAGAATCACTGTAGAATGCACTAGAAGTGCGTGTTAGTTCATTTTCATGGTGCTATAAAGAATGACCTGAAACTGGATAATTTATAGAGGAATGAGGTTTAATTGATTCAGTTTTTCATGACTAAGGAGGTCTCAGGAAATGTACAATCATGGCAGAGGGTGAAGGGAAGGCAAGGCACATCTTCCATGATGGCAGGAGAGAAAGAGAGGGAGCAGGGAACTGCCACACACTTTTAAGCCATCAGATCTCGTGAGAACTCGACCACTATCATGAGAACAACAATAGAGAAATTGCCCCCATGATCCAGTCACCTCCCACCAGGCCCCTTCCCTGACACATGGGGATTACAATTTGAGAGAAGAGTTGTGTGGGGACACAGAGCCAAACTATATCAGAATGCACCATCCTAAGAAAGGAGGAACTGCCTGAAAGTGCCCGGGCTTCGTTTCTATTCTTCCCAGAGAATGCAACAACTTGAGCTACAGAGAAACTGCCCAGGACAGCCCTGGCCTCATTCCCATCCCTTCCAGAGGGGGTCTCCTGTAACACTAGCCCAGGACGTGTCCACCACATATAAAACCCAGAGCTCACTGCTGAGTCCTCAGCTGTGGTGCAAGTGGGGCAAGCACGGGAGACTCTATCTGCCCTGGGCCGTGCTCCTGAGCCTCGGGGGACCAGTGAGTCATGCAGCCTAGGCTTCCGCTGTCCCTCGCTGCCTGTCTGTAAGTAATTAACCTGCTTTGTCGAACTGGCTGTGGCTGTGGGTGTTCTGTTCACCACGCTCAGTGTAGTCAGAGTGCAGCCCAAGATGCGGTGGCTGAAGTGTTCAGACCCCTATTCCGGGTGGTTAGCGCAGTGGTGACCTTTGCCATCCTCCCTGCAGTGGGAGTCCTCCCTTGGGATTGGTAACTCATGAGTGCTGCAAATTTGGCAGAGTAAGGGGGGTCCAGTCTGATGAACCCATGGCTTACCAGGTGTGCTGTAATATGAAAATGTGTGTTCTTTGGCCCTCTTCCTATTATGATGCTGAACTTGGAACATCCTGAGTGACAGGAGTGTCTTTTGTTATTCCTAATGAGCCTCTTTCAGATCACACAGCATTAGCTCATGCTAAAAATATGACTTAGGGTAGGGTCTCCAGGTAGCCTCAGCATCACGGCAGTCACCAGAAGAAAGACCAAAAGATCTGAGGATTAGAGGGAAGGAACCTTCGGTGTCACCCACTAACCTCCAAGAAAGGTGATGATGGGGAGGCGATAAAGACCAAAGTATAAAAACTTTTTTTTTTTTGAGACAGAGTTTTGCTCTGTCACCCAGTCTGGAGTGCAGTGGCACGATCTTGGCTCACTGCAACCTCCCCCTCCCAGGTTCAAGCAATTCTCCCTGCCTGAGCCTCCCGAGTAGCTGGGATTACAGGTGCCTGCCACCACGCCCGGCTAATTTTTGTATTTTTTAGTAGAGATGAGGTTTCCCCATGATGGCCAGGGTGGTCTTGAACTCTTGACCTCAGGTGATCCACCCGCCTTAGCCTCCCAACGTGCTGGGATTACAGGTGTGAGCCACCATGCCCAGCCTAAAAACTCCTGAACAAGAAGAATTGAACTTCCTGGCTGCTGAACACATGGAGGTGCTGAAAGGATCTGGAGTCCAAGGAGGCCATGGAAGCTCCCACCATACCCATCGCTTCCCCTGTCCACCTCCCCTTATGAGCCTCGGTGAGAAATGGTCTTTCTTCTCAGTGCACCCGAGCTACAGGCAGGCCCTAAGCAGGAAATATAAGTGATCAGATTGTGATTCAGGAAAGTCCGTGTGTCCTTCTGTTGGGAGGAGGCTGGTTGGGAGGATTGAGATGGGAGCAGGAGACCAGGCAGGAGGCTGATGGAGCAGAAATACTCATGCAATTTCCAGAGTCCTGCAGGCCCACTCGCTCTCATGGGTGGATGAGATAAGCACTCACATCCCCGACCCCATTTCTCACTCTCACTTCTGGCCTCCCCTGTCCTGCAGCTGCAGGGTAGAGCAGTGATCTCCAACATGGGGATTGTGACACTTCTTCAGGTTGTGAACCAATTTATTTGTCACCATGGGTATCTTAGATATTAAACTAGCATCAGTAAAGAATAGAGGAATGTGCACGCTACAGTATCTTATTCGTCTGTTTAATTAAACTTTCTTTTGGGCTGTGTGTAAGCCATAAATAATGTGATATGAGCTTTTCCTAGTGAGTCACAGCCAAACAGTTACTAAACACTGGGAGGAAAAAATCCTCTGAGCACAGGTTCACCTCGTCTTTCCTAAAATCACTGGCTAGCTGCCCTGGCCTGTTGCCCCAAAAAAACAAGTTGAGAGCTCACAGCCTCAGTCCTAGGTCCTTCCTGGGGGCGCTGAGATTGGGCTTGGCATTCAGCCTGCTAAAAAGAGGGTTGAATTTAGGTCTGGAGACCAGCCAGTGCCAAGGAGAAGCACATTCCTCAGGGCAGGGTTGGGTTGGCGTCTCTGGGGAGGGAGGAGCCCAGCTGGCCGTCCTTGGCCTTGGTCCTGATCTCTCAGGGCAGCTGAGTCAGGCTGGGAAGAGAAATCAGCAGAGGGAGATGATGACAGAGCCAGGGAGTCACAGGCTGAGTGGGAGGGAGGGCAGCGGGACCAACCCGGGGCTCCGTGGATGCAAAAGCCCCTGTCTCAGCAATCCTGAGACTTTGCGGTCACACACACCTGGGTTGGAACCTTTTCTTTACATTTTCTCAAAGGGTTAGATAAGCTATTTTCTAGCAGCCCTTTCATCTCCCTGTATGGCAAGAACATTCAGTTTTGGAGATTATCAGCTTTCCAGTCCTTAGTCACATCCACTGCACATCTGGGCAGAGCATGTGCTCCCTCTCTGCACAGCAGAAAGACATTCGAACCCCTCAAAACCCAGCCCACATGCAGCAACCCTCACCATGGGCCCATGCACAAAAAATAGGCAAAGCCACCTGCCTAAGTGCCCACTTGCTTCACACTGGACCAAGCCTGAATCCTTCTTCTTGGGGAGTGCTGACACTGGGTTCTATTTTGGTTATAAAATTTATTTTATATCCATGAGCAACTGTGTGTCATTTCTCCTGAAATCGATTACAATTCCAAGGTGGGGAATTTTCCCAGCAAGCAGCAGGGGCCACTAAAACCCCATATCAAAATTCCCAAAGAAGCAGCCTGTGTCTGTCCCCCATCCCAGAGCTGCCCACTCTGGGTTGTCACTGTCCAGGGACAGTGGGCCTGAAACTCTTTGAGGACAGGAAGCCGGGCTGCACCACTCACTGCCATGTCCCTAGTTATTGGGGACCCCATCTCTTTCCAGGGTCACAGGACTCTCATGGCTTCCTTGGAAATAAGAGTAAACTCCAACTCCCATTGGTCACATTTTGTCACCCTAGTTTCCTCTATGTAAGAAAGAACCTGGCATGAGGGCCCCCTGCAGCTCATAGACACCATCTGGACGGGACTCAGGCACTCCTGTTCCAGCCCAGAATCCCCCTCAGTCCTGAGCTGAGCCCCTCCAGAAAGGCAAGCAGCCCCTGATCCCAGATGCCCCAGGCTGGCCTCAGGAAAGACTTTCCCACAACCCCAGGTGCTGCTGGGGAACCTGAGCTTCTGGAACGTGGCACACAGGAGAGCATTGGGATTTCATCCTGTCGTGGGCTTGCCCTCTGGAATAAGTGCAGAAGAGATTGAATCATTATCCTGGTGACACCTGGGTGTGATTTCCACCTGGCCTCAAGGAGTCTCTCCCAGATGACAGGCAGGAATTTGGTGGAATTTCAGATGTTCAAAAAGAATATTAGGAACGCAGATGTCACTGAGGGAGAGGGTTGGGCCTCACTAGTGCCTGAACGCCCATCCTCTGATATCCACCTGGGTGGGTGGAGTGCTCTGTGTTCCACCTGCACACTTCACGCACATAGGCTGGTCCCTGCTACCTGCAAAAAGAACTTAGGTCCCAGCCCCTGAAAGAACTGTAACACGAACAGGGCTGAAACATGACCTCCCACTCTGCACATTACCAGTAACAAGAAGCAGAGAAAAGCTGCAGCTTTTTGAGGACTGGAGACCTAGGGGTTTGTCAAGCTAGGCTGTGACACCCTCTTTGGGGCTCTGTGGTTCTTGGTGTCTCCAAGCTTCCAGGCACTGCCATGTTCCCCTTGTCCAGATGTACCACATGCAGCTTCTGCTGCAGGCACCTGCATCTGGGCCAGCCACGGCCTTGCATGGAGATGGCATCTATGCCAGCTCATGGAGCTGCCCACTCCACCAAAGCAGCCAGAGTGCTTGGCTGTGCACAGTGGCCAGACCTCATGCTCGCTTGCTGACACACCGCTCACCACTCCATGCCCGGCTTGCCTGTGGTGGGTGTGGGATCTGACGTGGTAGTGTGGTCTGAGTGCAGCCAGGCCGAGTGGGTGGAACAAGCCCAACAGGCAGGAGCAATACTCAAGGAGCCTCAGGACCATGCGACAGCCCTGAGTCTGCTGAAGTGCTAAATCTGAAAAATCCCTCAAAGGCCAGTTCTTTAGGTTTCACAGTAGTGACGTGATCTACAGAGACAGTGTTGGGGAAGTGGCTGGCAGTGTCTTTTGCCTTTCCCTCAAGATGAAACCAAAGATTTTCTTCTTTTTTTTTTTCCAGTTGCCAAATGATCCTTTATTGAAATATTTTCCTTTGTGCTTCTTAACTAGCTGGGCATTCCACAGCACCACTGTTGATGTCATATATGATGTCATGAGGGTGGCGGCCATCAACATCACAGCCCACAGACTGGGCAGTCCCCTGGATCTCTTTAATGGTTCCAGAGAGTTATCTGGCTAAAGATTGGTGCCGCATCTGTCGAGCAATGTCAACGACCTCATGAAAAGTGATATTCCTACTGCGTTTAATGTTTTTCTGTTTCTTTCTGTCTCTTGGTGGTTCCTTGAGGGCTTTGATGATCAGGGCAGAGGCAGAAGGTGCCACCTCAATATGGGCCTGTCTGTTTTGAATGTTCAGTTTTACTGTAATCCTACGGCCCTTCCAGTCACCTATTGCCTTGTCAATGTCATTACCAACCTTTTTTGGAGACAGACCCAGGGGGCTAATCTTGGGGGCCAGCGCAGAAGTGGCACCGACTTCACCCCCAGTGCACCTGAGGCATATGACTTTGATCTCATTGGGATCAAACTTCAGCGGCATGGTGGAGGCGGCTGGTGTCAGATGAACCTGGATTTGGGACGACCGAAGAAAGGTGCACTTTGGCCTCCTCCGAGCCAAAAGCTGAAAGCAAAGCCAAAGATTTTCTAGCATCCAGTTCCTACATACTAATGCCCAGGGAGCAGAGAACTACACACCTTCATTTTACTCACCTTAAGTGTCACATTTTTCTTTTTTAATGTCACATAAGAGCAATATTTTCTTCAGGTATCTTACCACAAGAACCACCACAAATTCTAAATCAGTGAGATCAGCCTTTCCATGGAGAATTCATGTTGACATCCCAGTCCCATTTTGTCAAATAGAAAGTTTCCCAGAAAATCAGATACTATGTGTTACGAAAGAAAAGGAAGTATTTAGTCTTGAAAAATTAAGGATTCACAAGACCTCAAGGGACAATCTATAAAGAAGTGAATGAATGAAGAGAAACTTCCCAGTGGCTCACGCCTGTAATCCCAGCACTTTGGGAGGCTGAGGCGGGTGGATCATGAGGTCAGGAGATCGAGACCATCCTGGCTAACATGGTGAAACCCCGTCTCTACTAAAAAATCCAAAAAATTAGCCGGGTGTGGTGGCGGGTGCCTGTAGTCCCAGCTACTTGGGAGGCTGAAGCAGGAGAATGGTGTGAACCTGGGAGGCGGAGCTTGCAGTGAGCAGAGATCGTGCCACTGCACTCCAGCCTGGGCGACAGAGCGAGACTCAGTCTCAAAAAAAAAAAAAAAAAAAAAAAAAAAAAAAAGAATCAACCAGGAGGCAGAGGATGACATTTGACTCAGCAAACAGTCTACACATGGTCTGAGTGTCCCTTCCTAGCCTGTGTGAAAAGCCTGTGAAAGATGTTTTCTACAATGACTTTGGCGATATAGGATGACAAGCAAATTTGTTACCCAATGAATAGCTTAAAAGGAAACCAGTAATGGAAACTCGTGGATGGTGGGAGGCACCTCACTCCACGCCTGTCTTCTGATGTTCATATGTTTTCTGCCTTTGCCTGACAACTCATCTACCTACCAGCACACAGCGAGGCACATGTTCAGCACCACGGACAGAGCCCCATTCATCCTGGCAGCTCGTTGTGTGAGGATGGATGCAACTTGAGAGTTTCCCACCCTGGGATACAGAGAGCTCTGGGAAATGTGTAAGAAACATATCCTGGGGTGACAGAGTCAGATCTGAATAAGAAGTCTGAATGAGCCCTCAGGAGGCTGAAATCAGGGAGTTCTGCAGGGACCCCAGGGCCCAGAACCATTGTTAAACAAACCATGTATTAGTGCAAGCAGCCTGTGTCATTCCTCCCTGAACCCTAGTCCTACAACATGAGATCCCAAACGGCCTGAGCCCTGTTCAAATCTCCACTACTTTCCAAGCCCACCTGTCCCCACTATACAACCACCAGTGGTGCGGATGGGTAGATTAGGACTCTCCCAATACAAGGCTCTAGTTGCTTCCAAAGTGGGGTTAACTTTGAAGAGACCAGAAAAAACAATGATAACACCAGCATTTTCCAATCAGCTGTAACAGAATATTGAAGAGGTTTGGCTGTGTTTTTCTGACGACCGTCAAGTAAGACCTTACTCTAGGTATCCTAGAGACATCTCACTTTCCAGTCCAAATTTGACATAAACGTGGTTTAAATAACACCCAAATTCATGAAGCATTCCATAAAACAATTAATCAAAAGGCCAGCTCAGTGACTCATCTCACTTTCCAGTCCAAATTTGAAGAAAAAGTGGTTTAAAAATTAATAAAAAGGCCGGCGTCGTGAATCACACCTGTAATCCCAGCAGTTTGGTCGAGGTGGGTGGATGGCTTGAGGCCAGGAGTTGGAGACCAGCCTGGGCAATATGGCGAAACCCCGGCTCTGGCTACCCATCTTGTGCTCTGTGTCTCTGGGTTTCCAGACAAGAACCTGTCCACTCTCTCTGTGTACCCTTCCTGCCTCTGCTATGCAGCACATTCCCAGGCCCTCCCTGGAGTATGTGCCTCCTCTCTCACTTCTCTCTCCTATCCCTCTCATCCTCTCAGCCCTGCTGCCAGGCTTCCAAATGCTCCCTACACTCTCTGGCAAATGTCCATTTGTAAGATTTACCCTAATGCTAAAATTCCTGAGAGACCTTCTCTTTTCTCTAGACCCTGAGGCTTAAGGTGAATATCACCACCAAGGAACAAACTGGGGCAAAAAATGATGAATCTAGAATGTTATCAGATTTTTAAAAAATAATAGTTTTATTGTTGCTGTGATTAGCAGTCAATTTTCAAGCTTGAACTCATTCTTCAGTGCTGCCAGCTGCCAGGGGACCCCTGAAGCCTCACACTGCCTGTGGACATGCTGTAGGGATGGACTCTCTTAGAAGGCTACATTGCAGGAAGTCACTCAAGTGTCTATGTCTAGGGCAATATCATTCCCAGGCAGTTATTAGTAATATATTCTAAAGAAGGAACTGAGGCAGGAGAATAGGGTCTGGAGACAAGGAGCCTAAGGCCAACCCACGGCTGACTTCTTGGAATTAAACCAAAGGGAGAACTTCAGCCTTTGATGGCCATGGGCCAAGCCTTCACTTCAGCCTCTGATTGGCCGCCAATCAATCTTCATTTGCATAGGATGTAACTCCACTTCAGTCTCTGATTGGCCACGCACCAAATCCTTCATTTGCATAGGGTGCAACCAATTGGAGGCCTCTAAATGGTACCCCAGGGGGGTTACCAACACTCAGAGCTCTTGAGCTGCTTGCTCGAGCCCACTCCCACTCTGGGGCATGTACTTTCACTTGAATAAATCTATGTCTTCCTCTTCCGCTGTTTTGCTTGTGATTTTTGTTCAATTCTTTGTTTAACATGCCAAGAGCCTGGACAACTCACAGTCAAGACTTTCCATTGGTTACAGAACCTTAGCCAGGAGTCATAATATCATCAGGTTTCAAATATGTTTCCTCTTCAACTATTCAAATAGTTCTATTAATAGTAAAAACTTCAAAACACTTAAAACACTAAACACCCAGTTTAGAATAAAACGTCAAACACCCAGTTTAGAATAATTTCCTGAAAGTGTTTTCCCAAAGTCCATTATTTTGAAAATTGTTTGAGGAGAAATTACATTTCATTTTCTTCCTTTCTCTGACTCTTGCATCCTTCATTTTCCTTCTGCCTGTGTTAATCCCCCAGGACTGCCATAATCAAGGGCACCAGAGGGGTGGCTTGAACAGGAGAAATTCAGTTCCTCACAGTTCTGGAAGGCAGAAGCATGAGATCAAAGTGTTGGCAGGATGGTTTTTTCTGAGGGTCTATCCCTTGGTTTATCCATGGCCAATTCCTCCCTGTGTCTTCACATGGCCGCTGAGTGTGTGTCTGTGCCCTAATCTCCTCTTCTTATAAGGACACCAGTCAGCTTGGATTAGGTCCTGCTCATATGACCTTTTACTGTAATCACCTTTTCAAAGGCCTTATCTCCAAATACAGTTATATTCTGAGATACTGGGGTTAGGACCTCAACACATGAATTTAGGGGGAGACATAGGTCATCCCATATTAATGCCCAAACAAAATTTATTACTTCACATAGTCATGCCCCAAATGAAAATTAAACAACCCAAAATTAAATAGAATTTTTAAATTTCATCATTTCTTTATTACTATTTTATTTTTTTATTTTTTTGAGATGGAGTCTCGCTCTGTCACCCAGGCTGGAGTGCAGTGGCGTGATCTCGGCTCACTGCAAGCTCTGCCTCCTGGGTTCATGCCATTCTCCTGCCTCAGCCTCCCGAGTAGCTGGGACTACAGGCACCCGCCACCACGCTGGGCTAATTTTTTGTATTTTTAGTAGAGACGGGGTTTTGCCGTGTTAGCCAGGATGGTCTCGATGTCCTGACCTTGTGATCTGCCTGCCTCGGCCTCCCAAAGTTCTGGTATTACAGGCGTGAGCCACCGTGCCTGGCCGATTTCTTCTTTTTTTTTTTACTATTAATGTTATTTTTTATGAGAGACAGCACGCCAAGTATTGCTGTAAATATTAGGATTAATTCTACTGATGTACTTCATGATCATGTATATTTTATGAAGATTTATTAGATCAAAAATTACAAGACTTAAAGTTACCACTCTTGGATTAACTGTACATTTTTAGCACTGTTTTTATCTATTGGAATATTTTCATAGCTATAGTTAGTAAAATTCACCATAATCATTAATTAGAGCCATAATTACACTTTTATAATAAATATACATTTATACTTTAACCGATGGATAAAACATCAACCTAAATATCCAAAAGGAAATTTTTAATCAAGTGACTCCTAGGAGGGTGTCTGTTCTGACGGTGGCTATTCAGGAACAAAGAGCAAATCTGAAGAAAAGGCCTGGTTCCCACTCTGGCCACACCTGTTGCCACACTGATGGGATGTGCTGATCACAGCAAGATCACAGTCAGGATAAGTGTGGGGCCAGCAATGGCCTTTCTCAAGGCACTTTGTGCTGAGGACACGTGACAGCCTGTGTGGTGTGTGTGTGTGTGTGTGCGCGCACGCGTGTGTTTGCTTCTGTTTTTCTGTGGGTAAATACATGACCCAGTAATTTCTCAAAATAATTTTATTCTTACTACATAAGATCCACTCCATCACAGCTCTTTGTGTTCTGCTTTCTTGTTTATTGGATACCTCTTCAGGCCCTGGACGGCTCATGGAGGAGACAGGGACTCTCCCCAGGTCGAAGGCCCAAGGCCTGGATGATGGGGTGGGGCCCAGGATGGGTGCCAGGGGTCTGGAGGACATGAGTGGATGAAGGCCCTGGGCTTCAGCTTCCTCTTGGTGGAATGTGGGTGATGAGGTCCGACCATGCAGCGCTGCTGTGAGGACCGGATGAGAGGATCCCTGGGAGGTGGCCGGTGACTTGGTACCGTCACCTCAGTGACTGTTCTTCATCCTCATGGATGTTCAGAGAAGACTGGTTCATTCCCTCTGGTGGCCGTCTGTCCACCAGACAGGACCGATACATCCTCTGAAAATTTCATCACTTTAGGCAATAGCACTTTCATTCTTTTCCAGTTCATCTGATGCCATTTAAATCGACCTGGTGATTCTGGGAAGCCCGGGATTCCTGTCCCTTTGAGGAGACGCCAGGTGCCATCTGTGTGCATGCGTGGCATTTGGGCGGGAACCCAGAGCCCCGACTCTGGGCTTGTTGAACTCAGGTCCAAGGAGGGATTCACTACGTTGGTGTAAGGTGCGGTCTGTGTTTCAGATTCTTGTGCCAGATGAGGTGATGCTTTGATGTCAATACCTCGCGTTGGGGGAAGGTGGAGGATCTGGACCAGTGGTGTAGGAGGCCAGGATGGGGCGGGACCCAGACACATGAGGATTCCGGGTTTCAGAAGGACGGAGCTGAGCAAGGCCACTCGGCGCACGCGCGGTGCCTTGAGCGCCTACATCCAGATGTGCATCTTCCGTGGGGCCGTCCCGGGGCGGGGTCTGAGCTGGGAGACCTGCCTCTCTCCTGCTCTCCTAGAGTCACTTAAAACTTTTTAGTTTTCCGTTTAAATGACCAAATGAGATCATTTCATGGGGTGGTGGGGGGAGTGGAGGCAGGGAGAGTCACAAACAGAAAGCGGCCAAGACAGCTGTGGGAGAGGGAAGGGGAAGATGGGGTGAGTGGACAGCCACAGATACGACTGGCACTGACATTTAGAAGAAGATTGGGTGGAACCAGGGCTCGGTATGGCTTTGGGCAGTTCAGAAACTGAAACAGGGCTGTGGATGGGGCTGACCCGGGCGCTGTGGATGGGGAATTGCTGTGAGCAATTCACGCCTGGAGATTTGGCTGGGCATGGGAACAAGAATGAGGGAACAGGGAGTTTGGGGTGGGGAGCGAGCCCTGGTGGTGGCTGAGATGGGAGATGGGTTCGGTTGGGAATGGGGTCCTCCCCTCCTTACCCAGAACACGGCTTCGGGGAGCCATTGCTCTGGGGCGGCTGCAGCGGAGTGAGCTGGTGATCAGCCGATCTCAGCCACTCCTTGTATCCCATATTCCTAGAGGAGCTGGTGATGTCACGGCATGTCTGGCCCTCCTGCAGAGACAGGCTGGGTCGCTGGGCAGTAAAGGAGCCAGGCAGGGTATGTGTCATAGTAGATTTGATCTCAGACACTTTGAGAACCCAGGGAGAAGTGGTGCACCCTCCGCTTCTGTGTCCTACATGCCCCCTCTTTGGCAAACAGGAAGGTGCAGCATGCTCCTATAGTTACCGCCCTCCCCCACTCACACAGCCACACAGTGATTCCACAGGATCCCATTGAGCTATGACTTTCTCCACTTTCCTTGGTACATTGCTAACCCCTGACATCCTCTAATCAGGTCCTAACTTCACAACCCAAGCCCATGGCCCAGGATGCAGTAACTGCTCACTCACCTGCAGCTCATGGCATTCGGGTGGGAGAGACTGTGCGACTCAGGCACCTGACTTTCACAGGTTTGGAAGGTGGGAGTGGAGCTGGCGGGACCCCTGGGACTCACACTCCTCTGGGGGCTCTTCAACTCCTTCTCTGTTTCATTAATGGTCATTTATCCAGGAGAGGTCCACTTGGAAGCCCACATGTCCCAGGCTTTGTGTCAGACACTGGTGATGCAGTGCTGAGTAGAAAATGCAAAGTCAGTGTCTTCGTGACGTTCATGACAGTGAGAGGAGAGAGAGAGAGAGAGAGAGAGAAGGTAGGAGAATAAAACTCCTGATTTTGGTTATTGTCGTTCTTGTGTTTGGTGTCATTGTCACTGTGAAGTTCTGGTGGTGGAGAAATTCCACAGCCCTCCTGAGATTTTCAAGGACATTTTTCCTTAACGTGCTTTTTCAGAGGGTCGGGTGTGTGATTTCCCCACAGAAGAGCCATCTTGGGGTCAGGACGAAAAAACAGAGGGGAAGAAGCTGTCTTGGGTCAGTTCTGTGGGCCCCTCCCAGCTTCTGCAGGATTTCCTCAGTTTGTGAGTTCACAGGCCACACCTGGTATGGACAAGCCATTCTCCCCAGGGTTATTCCCAGCAGGGGATGTATGTGGTCAGATCTGTGTGTGTGGAAGATCCTGTATCTTTCTGGGGAGCATGGACAGGGGCTTCTCTCTGGAGGCAGGCGACAAGGGAAGAGGCTGCAGCAGAAATGATCTCATGATAAATACCAGAGTGCTCAGCACGCACCTTCCCCAGGGGAAGAGCAGACCCTGCTTCCAGCACCATCTCCCTGTCTTCTCCATTGGCCTCCATGCCTTGTTGCTGTGGGGTAGAGTGTTGTTTTCCAGGACACAGATTAGGACGTGCTGATAACATGGAAAACCATCAGTTGGGCATAAGCAATGTTATTTTTTAATTGAAAAAAAAAATGGATTAAGAAATGGGACAGTGTGCCCTAACCAGAATGCTGTGCTAGATTGTTTATGACACTCTTATTGGAACTGTGTGTATTCCACGTAATGGTAGAATATCATTCTATCATTCGATCATATTATACTATTGTACAATAGAAGTAGGGAAGCTGCTGACAGCAGGAAATGCCAAGTCCTCAGAGGTTTCACATTCCAGGAACCAAAATCTGCCAGCCTGGCCCGAGAACCTGGGTATCATTCAGGAGTGTCTGTGAACAGGGCCTGTCTTCCTTTCTCAGAGAGACCAGGCCTGGGGAGTTGGGAAGCCCATGGGTGAGAGGTCAGGAGACCTGGGTTCTTGCCTGGCCTGCGTCACTGACCAGCAGCAGTACCTCAGCCCGTGTCTTGCTTGGATCCAGGAAGCGGGGTGAGAGAACAGGCAGGGCTGGCAGATCTTGGCTTCTGGAATGTGAAACCCGGAATGTGAAACCCCGGAGGACGTTGGCATTTCCAGCTGTCAGCAGCTCCCCCACTGCTTGCCCTTTTATGCCAGGAAAAAATAGAAGGAATCTCCCTCCTGGCAGATTTGGAGTGGCCTTTCCATCTGCCCTCAGGGAAGCCCTGCTAGGAAACAGGCAGGAATGAGGTGGAATTTCAGGTGTGCAGGTATGTCAGGTATGTAGAAGGAAGGCCGGGTTTCCCCAGGCCAGAGGCCTGTCCGCTGCTGGCTGACAAGGAGGAGTCTGTGTGAGTCATTTTCTCCAAACACTATGTTGGGATTTCAGAAGCTCCCTGCAAGGTGGCTTCTGTTGACCAAAGCCTAATCCCTGCTCTGGCAGGATCCTTCGTATGATGCAGACCAGTGAATTAAGAGCCTCCATGTCATAGGAGAGGCTGGAGGAGAGGCCCCAGGGTTTGCCAACCAGGAATGAAGCTAGAACAATCTGCTGAGCTGAGACTCAAGATTCAGGTGCCATTTCTGTGTCTGGAACAGCCTTTCAGCCATTCAGAGCTATTGCTTGGATGTGAGATGTTACTGTGGATACACCCAGAGACACAATGACTGTGCTACCAGAGATTCAAATGTATCCAGAACCCCACCTGCAAGGCCCTCTGGGAAGGAAAGTGTGAAGCTTCCAGCCTCTGCAGACCAGAAAGTCCTGAAGAAGTTGGCTGGATGCCAAGTGTCCACCTCCACATCATGCACACCCTCTGTGATGGTTAGTACTGAGTGTCAACTTGATTGGATTGAAGGATGCAAAGTATTGATCCTGGGTGTGTCTGTAGGGGTGTTGCCAAAGGAGATTAACTTTTGCATTAGTGGGCTGGGAAAGGCAGACCCACCCTTAACGTGGGTGGACACTGTCTAATCAGCTGCCAGCAGAGCCAGAATATAAAGCAGGAAGAAAAACGTGAAAAGGCTAGACTGGCTTAGCTTCCAGCCTACGTCTTTCTCCCGTGCTGGATGCTTCCTTCCCTCGAACATCAGACTCCACGTTCTTCAGCTTTGGGACATGGACTGGCTTCCTTGCTCCTCAGCTTGCAGATGGCCTATTGTGGGACCTTGTGATTGTGTGAGTTAATACTACTTAATAAACTCATATATATATATAAATTGTGTCCCTCTAAAGAACCCTATTAATTGTGTCCCTCTAGAGAACCCTGATTAATACACCTTCCCTGGCTCTCACTGCCCTCGACTTAGCACAGTTCCTTGGAAGAACCACAATGTCTCTCTGGCTTCTGCCTCCAATTCTCCCATCCCTCTTCATTTTTCATTTTTCCCTTAAATGTCACCCACCTTCTGGAATCTTCTTGAACACCAAGGCTGAGGTCAGTCACCTGTCACCTCCCGATAGCACCGTGGATGTTATCTGCCACGCTCTTACCATGTTTCTTTGTGGCTTTTCTGTTAAGGCAGACACTTGAGAATTAGTTCCTGCTAAGGTTTCTGATCATCAACAAGAAGGGAACAAGTCCTTCCAGTGACCAAACTGATAAAGGGCTTTATTTTTAGCTGAACCAGAGCAGAATATTTACCACCAGATGTCTGGATGTTTCTTTCCGCTCCCCCCCTGCAGCCCCCACAATTAAGTATATGCGTTTACTTAAGTTTTCATGTGTATGTGTGTGTTTTCAAGTGTGCAATTCAATGGCATTTCACAATGTTTGGCAATCATCTGTGATATTTTGAGCAAAAAAATCCACAGTCATTACTGGACTCTCAAATACATTATGGCCCAGGATAGTTAAGACCAAAGGACCAGTGGAAGGTTTTCCTTCTTCTTCTTTGCAGGAATTTAATCCCTTCCTGTGTGAATGTGTTTGTTCTGAGGAGAGGGGAGAGGTTTCCTCTGAAATAAGTCATTTGGGATCAAAGTTGAAGAAGCCACTCCCCTGAGGGAAGCTGACATATTCTTGACAATTTTTGCTTTCGCTTTTTGTGTGTGTGTGTGACTGTGTGTAACCCAGTAATAATGTCACACCTATTTTTCTTAGTAGTTGCAGTGAAAGGATTAATAAACTTAGGAATCTAGAAGGCTCTTCTGAGTACCAGCCATCCCTACCCTCTTCTAGCAGGATGCTGATGCTGTTGACAGCCTGGGCTCCTGCAGCCCTGGACATGGTGTGTCCTATGTTGGGAGGGCTAAGGGGACAAAAGGTGGGCTGTGGAGAAGAGCCTTAGTTCTTCCCCAGTGCATCTGACCCCATAGGGCACAGCTGAGAAGCAGCTCCATGCGGAAGCCCTGGAAGGGAGAGAGCTTTAAAGACCTTCAGGCAACAATTCTCACCAAGTCACCATGACAGGACAGACAGGTTGAGTGAGACACACCCTGAACACAGGGCTTTCATCATGCTTTCACTTTTCTTTCATTCATTTAGCACACACTATGCACTTACTCTGTGTCAGTGGATGCTGGGGACACGACTGTGACTTAGCTCCAGGCCCTGCTTTTCTGGGTCTTATAGTCTGGGGAGGACACAGACCCCTCCAAAAACGGTGATGACCCAGGGTGAGCAAGGCTGGGAGCAGCGCCCAGGGCACCAGGAATGGCTTCCTGGAGGAGGGCACCAGAAGACAAGCATTGGATGGCTCTGGCTTTCCCGCCTCTCTTCTTGCCCACAGTTCCCAGAATCACTGTAGAATACAGTAGAAATGTGTATTAGTCCATTTTCACACTGCTAAAAAAAACTACCTGAGACTGGGTAATTTATAAAGGAAAGAGGTTTAATTGACTCATAGTTCTGCACGCCAAGGTGGCCTCAGGAAATGTACAATCATGCTGGAGGGTGAAGGAAAAGCAAGGCACGCCTTCCATGGTGGCAGGAGAGAAAGAGAGCGAGCCGGGAACTTCTACACACTTTTAAACCATCAGATCTCCTGAGAACTCCCCCACTATCAGGAGAACAGCATGGAAAAAACTGCCCCCATGATCCAATCACCTACCAGATCCTTCCCCTGACACATGGGGATTACAATGTGAGATGAGATTTGTGTGGCAAGACAGAGCCAAATTATATAAGAATGCACCATCCTGAGTAAGGAGGAACTGCCTGAAAGTGCCCAAGCTTGGTTTCTATTCCTCCGAGAGAATGCAACACCTTGAGCTAAAGAGAAACTGCCCAGGACAGCCCTGGCCTCATTCCCATCCCTCCTAGAGGGGGTGTCCTGCCACACTAGCCCAGGGCGTGTCCACCACATCTAAAACCCAGAGCTCACTGCTGAGTCCTCAGCTGTGGTGCAAGTGGGGCAGGCATGGGAGACTCTATCTGCCCTGGGCAGTGCTCCTGAGCCCCGGGAGACCAGTTTGAATGTCCTTCTGCTGCCAAGACAGAAAGCACATGGTATGCCCAGATGTGCACTGGATGTGACTGAGGAAGGGCTGGGAAGCTGACAATATCCAAAAATTGAATGTTCTTGTCGTACAGAGAGATGAACAGTCATGCAGCCTAGGCTTCCGCTGTCCCTCGCTGCCTGTCTGTAAGTAATTAACCTGCTTTGTCGAACTGGCTGTGGCTGTGGGTGTTCTGTTCACCACGCTCAGTGTAGTCAGAGTGCAGCCCAAGATGCGGTGGCTGAAGTGTTCAGACCCCTATTCCGGGTGGTTAGCGCAGTGGTGACCTTTGCCATCCTCCCTGCAGTGGGAGTCCTCCCTTGGGATTGGTAACTCACAAATGCTGCCAATTTGGCAGAGCAAAGAGAGTCCAATCTGATGAACCCATGGCTTACTGGGTGTGCTATAACATGAAAATGTTTGTTCTTTGACTCTTGTTCCTACCATGAAGCTAAACTTGGAATTTCCTGAGTGATAGGAATGTCTTTTGTTCTTCCAGATGAGACTCTTTCAGATCACACCAGCTGAGTTCATGCTAAAAATGTGATTTAGGGGCCAGGTGCGGTGGCTCACACCTGTAATCCCAACACTTTGGGAGGCCGAGGCGGGTGGATCATCTGAGGTCAGGAGTTTGAGAACAGCCTGGCCAACATGACGAAACCCCGTCTCTACGAAAAATACAAAAATTAGCTGGGCATGCTGGTGGGCGCTTGTAATCCCAGCTACTCGGGAGGCTGAAGCAGAAGAATTGCTTGAACCTGGGAGGCGGAGGTTGCAGTGAGCTGAGATCATGCCACTGCACTTCAGCCTGGGTGACAGAGTGAGACTCCCTCTCAAAAAAAAAAAATGTGAATTAGGGAAGGGTCCCCAGGTAGCCTCAGTATCATGCCAGTCATCACAAAGACCAAAAGATTTGAGGATTAGAGGGTAGAAACTTTCAGTATCACCCACCAACTTCCAAGAAAAGTGGCAATGGCGAGGAGATAAGGACCAAACTTTATAAAAACTCTTGAAAAACTAGAGTTGAACTTCCCAGTTGCTGAACATGTGGAGGTGCTGAGAGGATGGGGTGTCCAGGAAGGCCAGGGAAGCTCCCACCATCCCCATCGCTTCCCCTGTCCACCTCCCCTTATGAGCCTTGGTGAGAACTGTTCTTCTCAGTGTACTCAAGCTACAGACAGGTCTTAAGCAGGGGATAGAAGTGATCAGATTGTGATTCAGGAAAATCCGTGTGTCCTTCTGCTGGGAGGAGGGTGGGTGAGAGGATTGAGATGGGAGCATGAGACCAGGCAGGAAGCTGATGGAGCAGAAATTCTCATGCAATTTCCAGAGTCCTGCAGGCCCACTCGCTGTCATGGGTGGATGAGATAAGCACTCACACCCCCGACCCCATTTCTCATTCTGCCTTCTGGCCTCCCCTCTCCTGAAGCTGCAGGGTAGAGCAGTGATCTCCAACATGGGGATTGTGACACTCTCAGGTTGTGAATCAATTTATTCATCAACATGGGTATCTTATACATTCAACTAGAATCAAAAGAAATAGAAGAGTGTGCATGGCACAGTGTCTTATTCATCAGTGTTCAATTAAACTTTCTTTTGGACTGATGTAATATGAGTGCTTCCTAGCAAGTCACAGCCAAACAGTTACTAAACACTGGAAGGAAAAATCCTCTGGGTATAAGCTCGCCTCCATCTTTCTTAAAAATCACTGACTACCTGTCCGGGCATGTTGCTCCCCCTCACCCCGCCCCACACACACAAAGAGTTCAGAGCTCACAGTGTCAGTTCTAGGTGCTTCGTATGCTGAGACTGGGTGTGGCATTTGGCCTGGTTTTCTGTGCTAAAAACAGGGTTGAATTTAGGCCTGGAGAGCAGCCAGTGCCAGGGAGAAAAGCACATTCCTGAGGGCAGGGCTGGAGTTGCCATCTCTTGGAAGAGAGGAGCCCAGCTGGCCCTCCTTGGCCTTGGTCCCCATCTGTCAGGGCAGCTGAGTCAGGCTGGGTAGAGAAAACAGCAGTGGGTGATGATGACGGGGCAGGGGGTGTCAGAAGCTGGGTTCGAGGGAGGGCAGTGGGGCAGGGCCAGGGCTCTGTGGATGCAAGAGTCCCTCTCTCAGCAATCCTGAGACTTTGTGGTCAAACAGCCCTGGGTTGGACTCTTCTCTCTACATTTTCTCAAAGGGTCAGATAAGCTATTTTCTAGTAGCCCTGTTTATCTCCCTGTATGACAACAACATTAGATTTTTGGATATTGTCAGCTTCCCAGCCCTTCCTCAGTCACCTCCAATGCACATCTGGGCACACCATGTGCTTTCTGTCTTGGCAGCAGAAGGACGTTCAAACCACTCAAGCCCCAGCCCACAGGCAGCAACCCTCACCATAGCCCCATGCTCAAAAACTAGCCAAAGCCACGTGTTTAACGGCCCACTTGCTTCACACTGGACCAAGCCTCAATCCTTCTTCTTGGGGAGTGCTGACACTGGTAATGTGGCGTCATCATCTGGGGTAAATACACAAGGTTCATTGTCTCAAACCAAGAAAATCGAGTACATGGACACAAGAAGTGGGTTTAGGAGCAGGGGTTTAATAGGCAAAAGAGAGAGAAAGAAGAACAGCTCTCTCTCTCTCTCTCAGCACCTGAATGGGACTTCCAGCCTACAGCAGAGTGCACTGGATTTTATAGACGGGTTTGAAGAGGTGGTATCTGATTTCCATAGGGCCCACAGATTGGTTGGATCAGCTGTGACATTTACATAGTGCTGGAAGAAGCTGACCACCCCACCCTAATCTTATTATGCAAATGGACTTTCCACTTGGTGGATGCCATGTTATCTGCTTTCTACTGTGCATGTGGTTGGAAAGGAAAAGGGAAGATGGAGCTGCCATTTTGAAAATGCCTAGTCCCAGGTAGCCTTTTCCTATTGGCACAAATGCTGGCATTCACCTGTGGAAGCTTCTAGCCTGCCTTTCTATGTCTGTGGCTTGATTTTAATGGCTGCTGTTTGTTGGAAAAGTATATGATTTGGAGGGTGCTTTTCATTAAAAGAAAAACCTTACCAAGGACTTTCTTACCTTCACTATCTGCCTAAAATAATTTCTTCTTAACTCCTATATTACCGGGTCCTATTCAGGTTATAAAATTTATTTCATGCTGGGCACGGTGGCTCACGCCTGTAATCCCAGCACTTTGGGAGGCCAAGGCAGGTGGATCACCTGAGGTCAGGAGTTTGAGAACAGCATGGCCAACATGGCAAAATCCCGTCTATACTAAAACTACAAAAAAAAAAAAAAATACCTGAGTGTGGTGGCAGGTACCTGTAATCCCAGCTACTTGGGAGGCTGAGGCAGGAGAAGCGCTTGAATCCGGGAGGCAGAGGTTGCAGTGAGCCGAGATCGTGCCACTGCACTCCAGCCTGCGCGACAGAGTGAGACTGTCTCAAAAACAAACAAAAAACAAAACAACAACTTATTTCATATACACGAGCACCTGTGTGTCATTTCTCCTGAAGTCCATTACAATTCCCTGAGGGATTTTTCCCAGCAAGCAGCAGGAGCTGCTAAAACCCCATATCAAAATTCCCGAAGCAGCCGCCTGTGCATTCCACATCCCAAAGCTGCCCACTCTGTGTTGTCACTGTTTAGGGACAGTGGACCTAGAGCTGTTTGAGGACAGGGAGCAGGGCTGCATCACTCACTGCCATGTCCCTAGTTATTGGGAACCCTGTCTCTTTCCAGGGTCACAGGATTCTCATGGCTTCCTGGGAAATAACAGTAAACTCCAACATCTGTTGGTCATATTTTCTCACCCTATTCCCTCTATGTAAAGAGCACCCTGGCATGAGGGGCCCCTGCAGGTCACAGACACCATCTAGACTGGACCCAGGTACCCCTGTCTCAGCCCAGCAACCCCCCCCAGTCCCAGGCCCAGCTCGTCCAGAAAGGCAAGCAGGCCCTGATCCCAGGCACCCGGGGGCTGGCCTCAGGGAAGACTTTCCCACAACCCCAGCTGCTGGTGGGAGACCTGAGCTTCTGGAACGTGGCACACAGGAGAGCACTGGCTGTCCTCCTTTCATGGGCTTCCCCTCTGGAACAAGCACGGAAAGGGCTGAATCATCATTCTGGTGGCATCCGGGTATGATTTCCACCTGGCCTCAGGGAGCCTCTCCCAGGTGACAGACAGGAATCTGGTGAAATTTCAGATGTTCAAAAATAATGTTAGGGCTGGGATCGGAGACTCATGCCTGTAATCCTAGCACTTTGGGAGGCCGAGACGGGTGGATCACCTGAGGTCAGGAGTTTGAGACCAGCCTGACCAA
This sequence comes from Homo sapiens, assembly GCF_000001405.40. Classification (NCBI taxonomy): domain Eukaryota; kingdom Metazoa; phylum Chordata; class Mammalia; order Primates; family Hominidae; genus Homo; species Homo sapiens. The sequence goes on along the minus strand of NC_000019.10, from coordinate 46,203,919 downwards.
CAAAGTGAAACCCTGTCTCTACTAAAAATACAAAAATTAGCTGGGTGTGGTGGCATGCACCTGTAATCCCAGCTACTCGGGAGGCTGAGATAGCAGAATTGCTTGAACCTGGAAGGCAGAGGTTACAGTGAGTCGAGATTGCACCACTGCACTCCAGCCTGGGCAACAGAGTGAGACTCTCTCAAACAAAAACAAAAACAAAAACAAAAAAACCCAGAATGCTAGGAATGCAGATGTCACTGAGGGAGAGGACTGGGCCTCACCAGTGCCTGAGGGCCCATCCTCTGATATCTGCCTGGGTGGCTGGAGTGCTCTGTGTTCCATCTGCACACTTCAAGCTTGCAAGCTGGTCCCTGCTACCTGCAACAAGAACTTGGGTGCCAGTCCCTGGATGGCTGAACTGGATCCCTTCCTGCTTAAATGCTCTACAGCAGCAGCAAAAACTGTAAGAAACCACTGAAATTCAAATCAGGAGAACAAAGCAGCTCTAGTGCAGCTGGCCAACTGTACCGGGGTGTTGGCCAACTCTCTGGTGTCAGGCCTCTGAGCCCAAGCTAAGCCATCATAACCCCTGTGACCTGCACGTATACATCTAGAGGGCCTGGAGCAACTGAAGAACCACAAAAGATGACATTCCATCATTGTGATTTGCTCCTGCCCCACCCCAACTAATCCATCAACCTTGTGACATTCCTCCCCTAGACAATGAGTCTCATGATCTCCCCACCCTGCACCTTGTGATCCCCATCCCTGCCCACAAGAGATAACCACCTTTAACTGTAATTTTCCACTACCTACCCAAATCCTATAAAACTGCTGTACCCCTATCTCCCTTTGCTGACTCTCTTTTCAGATTCAGCCCAGTTGCACCCAAGTAAAATAAACAGTCTTGTTGCTCACACAAAGCCTGTTGGTGGACTCTCTTCATATGGACTCATGTGACATTTGGTGCCGAAGACCTGAGACAGGAGGACTCCTTTGGGAGACCGGTCCCCTGTCCTCGCCCTCTCTCCATGAGATCCACCCATGACCTCGGGTCCTCAGCCCAGCCGAAGGAACTTCTCACCAATTTTAAATCGGGTAAGTAGCCTCTTTTCATTCTCTTCTCCAACCTCTCTTGCTAGATATCCCTCCACTCTTTAATCTCTCCCTCCCTTAATTTTGGTTCCTTTCCGTTTCTGGTAGAGACAGAGGAGACACGTTTTGTCCATGAACTCAAAATTCTGCTGCTGGTCACAGACTCGGGAAGACAGTCTTCCCTTGGTGTCTAATCACTGTGGGGATGCATGTCTGATTATTCACCCACATTCCAGAGGTGTCTGACCACTGCAGGGACGCCTGCCTTGATCCTTCACCTTGGTGGCAAGTACCACCTCCCCTGGATGGCAAGTACCAACCCCCCTCTCCATGTCTCTACCCTCTCTTTTCTCTAAACTTACCTTTTTACTATGGGCAACCTTCCACCCTCCATTCCTCCTTCTTCTCCCTTAGCCTGTGTTCTAAAAAACTTAAAACCTCTTCAACTCTCACCTGACCCAAAACCTAAGCATCTTATTTTCTTCTGCAACAGCATTTGACCCCAATACAAACTTAACAATTGTTCTAAATGGCCAGAAAATGGCACTTTCGATTTCCCCATCCTACAAGATCTAGATAATTTTGTCAAAAAATGGGCAAATGGTCTGAGGTGCCTGATGTCCAGGCATCCTTTTACACATCAGTTCCTCCCTAGTCTCTGCTCCCAATGTGACTCATTCCAGATCTTTCTTCTTTCTCTCCTGTCTGTTCCTTCAGTCTCCACCCCAAGCTCTGAGTCCTTTAAATCTTCTTTTTCTGTGAACTCATCCGACCTCTCCCCTCCTCCCCACACTGCTCCTCACCAGGCCAAGCGAGGTCCCAGTTCTTCCTCAGCTTCCACTCTCCCACCCTATAATCCTTCTATCGCCTCCCCCACTCACAACCGGTCCAGCTTACAGTTTTGTTCCGTGACTAGCCCTCCCCAACCTGCCCAACAATTTCCTCTTAGAGAGGTGGCTGGAGCTGAAGGCAGAGTCAAGGTTAATGATCCTTTACATCTTAACAAAATTATCCACTACCCTGACTATTCCTGGACTACAGCCACATCTCAGTGCCGCCCTTCTCCCCAACCTAAAGCCTCCTTCACGTCTTCCTCTTGTATCCCCCAACCTTAACCCACAAGTATGGGACACTTTTACTCCCTCCCTGGCAACCAATCACACGCCCGTTACTATCCCATTAAAACCTAATCATCCTTACCCCGACGTGCTGCAGAGGACACAGCAGAGACATAATAGCGGGCCATGTGCCATCACTGGGAACACAGATTGTCCTCAGGCCTTGATGACTCAGAGAGTCAGGGCTGGGTTGGGGACGCGTAAAGGCTTGGGAGCCCACAGTGGTTGCCTCACCCAGCCTGGAAGGCCAGCGATGTCTTCTAGGAGAAGAAGACATTTGAGCTACTATTTCAAGAATGAATGAGAACTGTGCCTGTTTCGACAAAGCTGAACCCAGAGGCCAGAATGCAAGGCAGGAAGAGGAGACTGGAGTGGGCAGCAAGGCTGGGGCATTTTTATGGGCCCTTGGAGAACTCCAGTCTATCCTGAGGGCACTGACCATGGCCCAGGCCTAAGCAGGGGATGGAAGTGACCAGATTTATGGTTGTAGAACATCCCTGTATCTCTCTTGTGAGGAGGGTGGAGAGGAGGGTTGAGTCTGGAGCTGGGTAATGGTGCAATCACGAGGGGCCTGCAGTCTTCCTCCTCCCTTGTGGAGAGGGGACAGCGTGTTCTCCTTCTCCATTGCTCTCTGCTCCCCTGGCTTCTCCATTTGCAGTTCAGGAAAGAGTAGTGTCCTCCATACTAAGGGTGGCAACATTTTATTGGGTGGTATAACTGCTTGAGTATGTCATAGATATTATTTTTTTAATTCAAGAAACAGACACAAAAATGGGTTAGTGTACACTGCACAGATTTTTATGAACTGCCTTATAGTGAAATCTTCCTTCATGACTGTGGTAAGTCACATATTGAGGGAGAATTTATATTTTTTCCAGCGAAGCAAAACCAACAAGAATGAAGTGGTCAGGTATGGTGGCTCCTGCCTGTAATCTCAGCACTTAGGGAGGCTGATGAGGAAGAATTGCTTGAGGCCAGGAGTTCAAGACCAACCTGGGCAACATGGCAAAATCCAGTCTTTACAAAAGTTTTTTTTTTTTTAAAAGCTGGGCATGGTGGCACACACCTGTGGTCTCAGCTATTTGGGAGGCTGTAGCAGGAGGAACGCTTGAGCTCAAGAGTTCCAGGTTGAAATTAGTCATGATAAGACCACTGCACTCCAGCCTGGGCAACAGAGTGAGACCCTGAACGAAAGAAAGAAAAGAAAAGAAAAGAGAAAAGAAAAGAAAAGAAAAGAAAAGAAAAGAAAAGGGCCAGGTGTGGTGGCTCACACCTGTAATCCCAGCACTTTGACAGGCCAACTCAGGTGGGTCACCTAAGCTCAGGAGTTCAAGACCAGCCTGGGTAACATGACAAAACCCCATATCTACAAAAAATACAGAAATTAGAATTAGCCGGGCATAATGTCATGGGCCTGTAGACCCAGCTACTCAGGGGCTGAGGCAGGAGAATTTCCTGAGCCTGAGAAGTGGAAGTTTCAGTGAGCTGAGATCACACCACTGCACTGCAGCCTGGGTGACAGAACGAGATCTTGTCTCAAAAAATAAAATAAAATAAAAATTAAAAAAAATTAGGGCAGGTGCGGTGGCTCACACCTGTAATCCCAGCACTTTGGGAGGCCGAGGTGGACAGATCACAAGGTCAGGATGGTGAAACCCCATCTCTACTAAAAATACAAAAATTAGCCAGGCGTGGTGGCGTGTGCTTGTAATCCCAGCTACTCGGGAGGCTGAGGCAGGAGAATCGCTTGAACCAGGGAGTCAGAGGTTGCAGTGAGCCGAGATCGTGCCACTGCACTCCAGCCTGGCTACAGAGCGAGACTCCGTCTCAATTAAAAAAAAAATTTAAAAAGGAATGAAGAAGGGTGCAGGCATGGCCTGGCTTCCTTCTTGCCTAAGTGCTGCTGACTTAGATGTCCCAACACATCTCCCAATAACGGGCTTCATCTCTCAAACCATGGTTCCAGGCATTTCCTGGGATGGCTCGAGGCAGGTAGAGGCCTAGACGCTGGTGGGAGAAAGCAGGTTTCTTGGGTCAGGATTAGGATTGTGTCCCGAGGAGAGAGGAGTCTAGCTGACCCTCCTTGGCCTGAGCCTGATCTCTCAGGGTGGCTGAGTCAGGCCTGGGGTGAGACAGTGGAGGGAGATCATGACAGCGCAGGGGGCTCTCAGAGGCTGGGAAGCGGGGAGGGTGGCCAGGGCTAGTCCAGTGCTCCTGTCTCTGCCCCTTCTCCAGGTGTCAAAAAAGCCTTTGCACACAGAGCTGTCCAATGCCTCCGCCAGCCCCGTGGAGTCCCCAACCCTATCCAATCCATTGTCTGGGGACAGGTCTGTCTTCGGCACTGGAGCCCAGCTCTGCCTTGGTGGAACTGATCCTCAGGGGTTGGAACTCTACCTCTACCCACGGTGAAAGGAGGTTGTTTTTCTGACAAGTAAGGGCAAGATCCTGACCTCAGACAGACATTTGTTTAATTCTCCCATCTCACTTTCTAATCCAAGCAAGACACGGTCCGAGGACCCACTGCTGGTCACAGACACAGGCTGGACCAGAGCCCAGGTCTCCTGAACTCCAGTCCACAGGCCTCCAACTGCTGCCCTACCCTGCCTCTGCTGGCCCAGCCCCTCTGGGAAGGGGAGGCAGGCCTTGGTCACAGATATCCCTGGATGAGACCCAAATCTGACATTCCCAGGGTTCCTCGGTGGGGCTGGCAGAGCTGGGCTCCTGGAATGTGAAACCGTGGGGGCCTTGACATTTCCCACTCTCAAAGGCTCTCTCTTCACTTGCTCTTTTGTCCAGGAATAAATAGAATGACTCTTCCACCTGGCATCTTTGTGGTGTTAGTTCCATCTGGCCTCAAGGAGCCCCTCCCAGGGGATAGGCAGGGATGGGGTGGCATTGCATGTGTGTACAGGAGGGACGGAAGCTCTCCAGCCTAAACACCTCTCTTTGCTGGCTGATGAGGAAGCTGTGTCACTCATTTTCTCCGAGCATAGTTATCAGAATTGAAGGGGCTGATCTCTCTCTCCTTGCAAAGGGGCTTTGGTGACCAAAGACTGGATGGTGTCAACCTGGTGATCAAAATGGTCAGAATCTAATTTAAAGAGAGTTTATTCCAGCACGAATGTTGAGGATAGCCCACCCAGAAACACCAACTCCAAAAATTGGAGCCAGCACCCAGAAACTTATGGTTTCATTTCTATATATGAAACTGCCTTGTAGTGAAACCTTCGTTCATGACTCTGGTAAGCCACATACCGAGGCAGAATTTATTTTTTTTTCCAGGGACGCAAAGCCAACAAGAATGAAGAAGTGGCCAGGTATGGTGGCTCATGCCTGTAATCCCAGCACTTAGGGAGGCCGAGGAGGAAGAATTGCTTGAGGCCAGGAATCCCAGACCAGCCTGGACAACATGGCAAAATCCAGTCTTTACAAAAAAAAAATTTTTTTAATTGCTGGGCATGGTGGCACACACCTGTGGTCCCAACTACTTGGGAGGCTGTGGCAGGAGGATTGCTTGAGCTCAAGAGTTCCAGGCTGCAATTAGCTATGATCAGACCACTGCACTCCAGCCTGGGCAACAGAGTGAGACCCTGAAAAACAAAAAAGAAGGGAGGAAGGGGGGAAAGAAAGGAAAAAGAAAGGAAGGAAGGAAGGAAGGAAGGAAAGGAAGGAAGGAAGGCAGGAAGGAAGGAAGGAAGGGAGGGAGGGAGGGAGGGAGGGAGGGGGAGGGGAGGGGCCAGGTGTGGTTGCTCACACTTGTATCCCAGCACTTTGGGAGGCCAATGCAGGCAGGTCACTTAAGCTCAGGAGTTCAAGACAAGCCTGGGCAACATGACAAAACCCCATCTGTGATGGGAGGAGGGCAGCCAGGGCCAGTCCAGGGCTCCTGTCCTGGCCAGGCACAGTGACTCACACCTTTAATCCCAGGACTTTGGGAGGATGAGGAGGGAGGATCGTTTGAACCCAAGAGTTTAAGACCAGCCTGAACAACATGCTGAAACCCCGTCTGTCCAAAAAATACAAAAATTAGCTGGGCACAGTGGTGCACACCTGTGGTCCCAGCTACTCTAAAGGCTGAGGTGTGAGGATCGCTTGAGTCTGGGAGGTTGAGGCTGCAGTGAGCTGTGATTGAGCCACTGCCCTCCAGTCTGAGCTGACACTGAAGACAGAGACACTGAGCAGGCCAGAGATGGGGGAGAGACTGAACAGTGCAGAAAGGAGGACAGGAGAGCCAGGAGGAGAGGCCAGCAATGTTGAGAGAGTGAGGTTGTGAGAGGAAAATAAAAACGAAGGGAGGAAGAAATACAACTGTAGGGAAAGGGGGAGGTGGATTGACTAGAGGCAGGAGGACAGACACAGAGAATGGGGGCTCTACTCAGGGCAGAACAGGCATGCAGCCCCCCAGGACCCACAATCTCATGGAGGAGACAGGACCTCACCTGTGACAAAGCCTGTTATCTGAGGTCAGGGTCAAGGAGCACTTCTGGCCTTTCATCTTCACCATGAGGGACGCTGGGGGACTGAGGGACCAGGGGCAGCACTTCTCGAAGCAGACTCTGAAGGTGCAGTTCCACCCCTCTGGGTCCCATCCGAGGGCAGGATGGCATTGTCATAGTAGCAGTGCTGCAGAGGGTCACAGAACGTGTCCCCACATCTTGCCTGTGGCTGGCACAGCATCAGATAAGCACCCATGGGGGCCACTGGAGGAGACAGAGCTGGTGAGGTCCAGGTGGAAGGGCAGGTGGGTCCCAGCCTGGGATCTCCTGGGAGCCACACCCCTCCCCCAGATTCCCAGCCCTTCCTGGGCTCACCTGGGGGCTCCACATGATCAGAGAAGGCTGAGGATGCAGAGAGACGCCAAGACAGCTGTGGGAGAAGGAAGAAGAGGAGGGCTCTGGAGGAGGCCACGAGCCATCTTTGGGACCCCAGCCTGCGGCAGCACTGGGTCCAAGGGGGTCTCTGTCCTGACTGGAGCTCGAGGAAGGGCTAGAAGGTGATCTGAGGTCAGGCACAGTCTCCCTGTGCTCAAGGGTCCTGGGCAAGGCCAGGGAGTGCAGGCAGGACTCTCAGAAGAAATGGGCCTAGGGTTCAGGGCAATGTGGTTGTTTCCTGGTGTTGGAGGAGTTCAGAGCTGGAGGCTCAGCTGGGGTCGGGCAGGGAAGGGGCTGAGCCGAGACTAGCGTTGTGCTATGGGTGTGGCTGGCACTGACATTTAGAAAAAGACTGGGTGGGACTGGAACCAGGGCTAGGCATAAGTTTGGGGAGTAGTTTGGGGACTGAAACAGCTGTGGATGGGGCTGACCCAGGGGCTGTGGATGGGGAATTGCTGTGATGGAGCCATGTCTGAGGAGGAGGCCAGGCATGGGGACAGGGATGAGGTGTAGTTTGGGGTGGGGAGTGAGCCTCGGTGGTGGCTGAGATGGGAGATGGGCTCGGGTGGGAATGGGGTCCTGTCCTCCTTACCCAAGATGTGGCCTCGGGAGCCATGGCTCTGGGGTGGCTGGAGGGGAGTGAGTGGGTGATCAGCAGGTCTCAGCAGCTCCTTGGCTCCTATACTCCTAGAGGAGCTGGTGATATCGTGGGATGCCCTGCCTTCCTGCAGAGACATGCTGGGCCCTGGAGCGAGACAGGTCCCAGACAGGGTATGTGTCATGGTGGATTTGATGCCAGGTCCTTTGAGAGCCAGGAGAGGACCGATGCTCCCTCCACCCTCGGTCCCTCTCTCCTCCAGAATGGAGGCTTCTTTGGCAAATAGGAAATTGCAGGACACTCCTGGGGTCGTCCTCACCCTCCCACACTCACACAGCCACAATGTTACAGCTGACCCTGTGAGTCTAGAGTCGAGACACGGACTGAGGGTTGCTCCATGACCTGGTCCCCTTCTAGATGTGAATCAGTGCAAGGGCCCAGGACAGCGGAAGAGGTGTGAAGCCATCCTGTGATCGGGAAGCCACAGGGTGTCCAGACCCAGCGGGAGCCGAGGATTCAGGAGAATCTCCCCAGTCAGCTCCAGAGGTGCCCACAGTGTGAGCTCTAGTGTCTCCCAGGTAGGGGCCAAAGCGTCACCTGCCCGGCCCTGGGGGTGCAAGTGGAGTGGATTTTACTCCTGTCCAGAAAATGGAGTGAGACCCTGTCTCTAAATAAATACATACATTTAGACTCCTCTGTCTTTGCGTGTATATAAGCAAAGACAGAGGTGTTTTTATCAGGATTACAACATTTTTCATAAAAGGTTGGCACATCATTACAGCAAGTTGCTTATAGGCAATGTTTCTCTATGAGAAGGGCACATTTAACATTTTTTACAAAGGGTGTAATAGTCATGGTTTTTCTGTTATCTGATCTAAGCAAGGCAGGACAACAAAGGGGAACTTAATTGATAACAAGGGTCATTAATTAACAGGGCACCACTGGGTGGACACAGTGGCATCTGTAATTCCAACACTTGGGGAGGCCGAGGTGAGAGGATCGCTTGAGGTCAAGAGTTTGAGACCAGCCTGGGTAACATGGCAAAACTCTGTCTCTACCAAAAAATACAAAAATTAACTTGGCATGGTGGCACATACCTGCAGTCCCAGCTACTTGGGAGGGTGAGGTGGGAGGATAACTTGAACCCGGGAGGTGGAGGTTGTAGTCAGCTGAGATCATGCCACTGCACTCCAGCCTCTGGAACAGAGAGAGACTCAGTATCAAAAAAAAAAAAAAGTCTTGGTCAGATGCAGTGGCTCATCCCTGTAATCCCAACCCCTTTGGAGGCCAAAGCAGGAGGATCACTTGAGGCCAGGAGTTGGAAACCAGCTTGGCCAAAATAGCAAGACCCTGTCTCAAAACAAAAAACACTACCAAAAAAAAAAAAAAAAAAAAAAAAAAAATATATATATATATATATATATAAAATGAGGAAGCCTGGGTCTTGTTCTGTCACCCAGGCTGGAGTGCAGTGGCACAATCTCAGCTCACTGCAATCTCTGCTTCCCGGGGTTCAAGTGATTCTCCTGCCTCAGCCTTCCTAGTAGCTGGGATTGCAGGTGCCCGTGACCACGTCTGGCTGATTTTTGCATTTTTAGTAGAGATGGGGCTTCACCATATTGTCCAGGCTGGTCTTGAATTCCTGATCTCAAGTGACCCACCTCCCCCGGCCTCCCAAAGTGCTGGGATTACAGGCGTGAGCCACCGTGTCCGGCCCTTGATTGGTTTTTGCTTGCATTGTCCCTGGTGAAGCCATTGAAAAGCTTTACTGCTTTCTGCAGCAGAATGGGATCAGACCCAATGAGTGATGAAAGTTAAAATAAACAAAGTCAGAAGACTCTAAACCCAAGCGCTTGTGCCAGAGGCAGCCTCTGGGTGCCTGGCTGATACCACAGGAGGTTTCTAACAAAGAGATTGACAGCCTTTCCACATCTGATATCTGGTACCAGGCAGAGAGAGGCCCTTGCAGACCGTGGAGTCAACGCCTCACTGGGTATTTTGGATATTAAAGACAACATAGACTCCATCTGGGCATTCTGGTGGTCCCCCTGCACCAGATAACCAGAGACATAGCTGCTTTCCAGGGACCCCCAGTGGGGGTCCAGGGAGTACAATGCACTCCAGGCCCTACCTCAGGCAGTTACTCAGGCCCCTGTGTCCCGTAGAGCCCAGCTCCCCATTTGAATGACAAGTTTCAGTGCTAGGAGATGAGGAAGACTGGAATCTGACCAAAAGGAAAAGCCATCAGAGTCTGATGACCGCAAAGTTTCTGGACTTCTAGGCTCCCAGAAATGGCCACTCATCATGCACCTTTTCTGAAGGAGCTATTAACATGTTGTTGGGCTCTGGTGGAAACAGAGAGGCTGAGCCAACACACTGTGGTAATACTCTGACCAGAAATACCCATCTCTTCCTGAACTGATAGCAGCCTAGACCCGAGAGCGGTGTCTGCTGGACAGAGCAGCATCATTACATCGAAGGGAGACATCCAAGATAGAATAAAATAGAACAGTTACAATATATTGTAACAGTTACCACATAGTGCAGCTGTAAGTTTTGCAGTTTGAGGTAGGACACAAAGCTAGTGCAAATTTCTGTTTCTTCCTGCTCAATTTCAGGTACAGCAGATTCATTCTTACCATAGATCTTAGCAACCTCAGCCCATTTTTTTTTCTTTCCTTATTAAGTGGAGAATTTTCATCTTTTTACTGAAAGGAAGCACTTTACAGTTTCTGTTTGGCATATCTGAATTGCCAGCATCACTACTCTTGCAGTTTGGGGCCATTACAAAGTAAAATAAAGGTTTTATTTTACGATAAAGAAAGCCCTCTTGAGAAACTTTCACAAACACTGCAATAGCATGACAGTTGATCTGATAACTGAGACAGCTACTGGAGACTACTGAGCCGGTAGCATCTACAGTGTCAATATGCTGCACGAAGGATGACTCACCAGCGGGGCAGGACAGAGCGGGACGACACGGCATTTCACAATCAGTGTGACACGCAACTTTAAAATTTATGAACTGTTTTTTCTTTGTTTTGTGTTTTGTTTTTGTTCTTTTGAGACAGAGTCTTGCTCTGTCCCCCAGGCTGGAGTGCAGTGACACGATCTTGGCTCACTGCAACTTCCACCTCTCGGGTTCAAGTGATTCTCCTGCCTCAGCCTCCCAAGTAGCTGGGATCACAGACACATGCCACAGCACCCGGCTAATTTTTGTAATTTTTTAGTAGAGATAGGATTTCACCATGTTTTCCAGGCTGGTCTCGAACTCCTGACCTCAAGTGATCCACCCACCTTGGCCTCCCAAAGTACTGGGATTACAGGCATGAGCCACCATGCCTGGCCTCTGATATTTTCATTTAATATTTTCAGATCACAGTTGATCATGGGTAACTGAAACCTACGCCAAAGTGAAAGTGGAGATAAGAGGGAATTACTATACCACAATAATACTCAGCCACTAGAAAGGCTGGGATGACTCCATGCTTTGTTCTTCAAAAATACTTCAAATAATTCTATTTAAAAAGCAAAAGAGACCGGGTGCAGTGGCTCACACCTGTAATCCCAGAACTTTGGGAGGCCGAGGTGGGTGGATCACAAGATCAGGAGTTCGAGACTAGCCTGGTCAACATGGTGAAACCCCTGTCTCTACTAAAAATACAAAAGTTAGCCCGGCATGGTGGTGGGCACCTGTAGTCCCAGCTACTTGGGAGGCTGAGGCAGGAGAATTGCTTGAACCCAGGAGGTGGAGGTTGCAGTGAGCTGAGATCATGCCACTGCACTCCAGCCTGGGTGACAGAGCGAGACTCCATTTCAAAAAAAAAAAAAAGCAAAAGAATGAGGCATTTATGTAAAGTTATAACAAACAAAATATTTTCAGAAAAGCAATTCCACAATGTTTAATGTAATTTGAGCATCGAGCATTCTTCATAACTCTTTACAATTATTGATTCATCTTGTCTGGGTTTCATCATCATTTTACAAATGAGGAAACTGAAACACAGAGTGGCTTCATAACTCACCCACAGTCACAGTCAGTGGGGCAAGGTCAGGGTTTGACCTGGGAGCGCTAGCCACAGGGCACCTGCACCCCAGCCCCTGCTGCCCACTGTTGTGTCCCTGTGGGTGTGCTCTTCTAGGCACGTTTGGAACCCTGAGTTCTCACCAGAGAGGACAGTGAATCACTCCAAGGAGAAAGACAAGGGCTTAGAGTGGAAAAGGAGCTTTGGTTTTCACTTTATTGCTGTGCTGATGAAGTTTTAAAAGAACACCTCTCACATGTATAAAATAATGGAAAACAAGCTATGCCAAGAAGAAAAGTATGAATCAAAAATTCAATGATTACAAATAAAATAGTAAATAAGATTACAAAAGAAAATCAGATACTTTTAGTCAAACTATGTAAAAATCCCATATTTTACAAAAAGAGTAATCAAATGATGGGGGGAGAAGAGAGCTAATATTTAATGAAATTATGGTGGTCACTGTGAGACAAAGTAACAAACATGAGAAGCCGGTTTGCTCATTTCTGCTTCCCAGCATAATTTCACAAGGCCCCTGAGTCTGTGATGACCTGCGGCTCTCCAAAAACATGCTTTCTTTTGGAGAAAAAAAGGAGAGAGAAAAGGGCCCTCATGTCTCTTGCCCTCCCTGTTCCTTGCAGGTGGTGAGATTGAGAACTCAATCCAAAGTATGACATAAAGACACACCTCAGAGCTCAGAGCTTTCTTTCCCAGGATGCACCTATCCACTCTGGCAACGTTTACTTGTTCCCACCACCACCTAGTCCTGTCCACCTTCCTTCATCCTCATCCTCACTTCCTGATCTTCTCTTTAGCCCAGCTCAGGTTGAGGCCAAACTTGAATCTGACCCTCACCCCGCCCTGGGAGGGAAAATTCAGTGAGGAATAGCATTCCTTCCAGTGAGGCATACCCTGGAGTCTACATCGGCCTCCCAACCCCAAATCAGTCTCTTTTCTCCTCTCCCTCCCATTATGGCCCTGCGTCTTCCCTTTCTGGGCTGAGTTTTGTAGTATCTGTTTTCTGTGGGCTCTTGAAATTATACTAGAAGTATGATTTTTCCTTTATTAATTCTATATTTAATAACTTTTTTGTTAAATTTAGAAAGGAAGGTGAGATATCTCTAACATATCTAGAATGAAGTCTTTCTTGACATGCCTCAGAAAAACATACCTGCTTCTCCCCCACTTTGAGGTCCAGTCCATTGAGAAATGCTGGCATTGTGGGGATGGTGCATACTGAGGGGCCTGAGGGGAGATGGAGCTTGGACTGGAGGCTCAATCATTCCTGGTGTTCCTAGCACCACAGATGACTCAGCGGGACTCCCGAATAGTCAACCCTTCTTCTGAGGGCGAGGGCCAGAGTCTCAGGGATTGTCTTTTCTGAATTTTTCTTTTTGATGGTAAAAAGATCCAGGTCCGTGATTTTGCAGAATACCCTAAAGCCACATGCATTTTTGGTCTCTTCAAAGTCAACCCCCACCCCCCATGGGGGAAGGAATGATGCAAGGCTCTTTGCCCCACAGGAGAGGGTTGGGGGATTACCAGGGGGCGTGATAAATATCCTCAGCCTTGGCAAAGAGGGCTGGGAGGGTCTGTGGTAGGCTGCAGATACAGTCCTGATTATCTCTCCTTCCTCATTCACACACTTGCAAAATATGACTTTACGTCTATTAAGATTTGGTATCCATGTCCCCATTCCCTTGACTGTCTGCACCCTGTGGAATTTGTGGTCTATAGGACACTGTGGAGTGATCGATCATGTGCCAGTTTTGAGTTAAGACTTTGCTCAAGGACTCTGGTACTTCCACTTTCTCAGGAAATTAAAGCAATGTGAACACCCTCTGGCCAGCCTGTTGGAGGGTGAGAGACCACATGGAGGAGACAGAGCCCTGATGTCCCAGCTGAGGACATCCCAGAAAAGCCTATTTCCAGACAACTGAGGACAGGTGAATGAGTTCTTTGTAGATGAACCAGAATCCAGTCTATCTACCTGCTGAGCACAGACATGTGAGCAACCCCCCCATCAAGGTCAACTGAGCCTGGCCCAGATCAACAGAATCACGAGATGACCTATGGACTCAGGAGCAATCATGATGTGGTTGTTCCATGACACTGAATGTAGAGGTCGTTGATTCTGCAGCACCAGCAAACTGACACATAACACCGTGTTTAATATTGGGTTCTGGGCTTTGGGGTCCCTGCAGAGTTCCTGATTTCAGCCCCAAGGGCTCATTCACAAATTTATTACTCAGATTCTACCCTGTCAACCCAGGACGTGTTACTTACACATTTCCCAGTGTGGGCAGCAAGCCACCCAGGTGCCGAGGCAAGAGACCGAGGGCACAAGCTGTTCCAGTATAATAAAGAAAACATATAAAATAAGAATAGTTATACTAGATATAGATCGTAGATATGATTATATATGAATATTACTAATCATTAGTCTGTAGCAATTACTCTTTATTCCATTATAATAATAATCTTCTCTCTACAATTATAACTTAAGAGAAACCAGGCCATACAGAGATAGGAGCTGAACGGACACAGTGAGAAATGACCAGAAGACAAGAGTGTGAGCCTTCTATTATGCCCCGACAGGGCCACTAGAGGGCTCCTTAGTCTAGCGTTAATGCCAGTGCCCGGGAAGATGCCCGTTACCTAGCCGACTTTGGTCTAGCGGTAGCGTCAGTGCCCAGGAAAAGCACCCACTACTTAGCAGACTGGGAAAAGGAGTGTCCCTTTCCCCGGGGGAGTTAGAGAAGACTCTGCTCCACCACCTCTTGTGGAGGGCCTGACATCCGTCAGGCCTGCCCGCAGTTATCCAGAGGCCTGTCTCCCTGTGATGCTGTGCTTCAGAGCAGTCACGCTCCTGGTCCGCTTACATGTTCCATCCTGTACACCTGGCTCTGCCTTCTAGGTAGTAGCAGAATTAGTGAAAGTACTAAAAGTCTCTGAAATGCAAAAATAAAGGCATAAGCTGTCTCCTTTCTCTCCACCTCAGCTGCCAAACAGGGAAGGGCCGCCTGTCCAGTGGATACATGACCCACATGACCTTACCTATCATTGGAGATGGCTCACACTGCTCACCCTGCCCCCTTGTCTTGTATCCAATAAATAACAGCGCAGCCTGGCATTCGGGGCCACTACTGGTCACTGTGTCTTGGTGGTAGTGGTTCCCCGGGCCCAGCTGTTTTTTCTTTTATCTCTTGGTCTTGTGTCTTTATTTCTATGATCTCTCGTCTCCGCACATGGGGAGAAAAACCCACAGACCCTGTAGGGCTGGTCCCTACATCCCAGGACTCTCTATCCCACTGTGGAAGACTTCGCAGTTGCCTGCCATGCTCCCACAAAGAGCTGGCCACCTGCCCCAGGATGAATGGGGGCTCTGTCCGAGTTGCTAAAGGTGTGCCTCTGGCCATATGCTGGGAGGCAAATGAGCTGTCAGGCAAGGGTAGGAAATATGTGGGCATCAGAGGACAAACAAGGAGTGAGGTGCCTCCCACCAGCCATACATCTGAAGTGCTGTCAGATGGCCATAGGGGCCAGCTGGGTATGGGTCCCCAACAACCAGGAAGGACACTGAGCATCTGAAAACCATTGGTCATGGAACACAGAACCCACGGGGAACACTATGGGTTCACAAAGACCCAGGAGGTCTATTGTAAGCCTCAGTATAGAGAGAGGAACACACTGAGCTTCTGATCACCCATTATCAAGGCTGTGCTGCTTTATGTTGATAGTCCAAAATTATCCTGCATGGGAGTTGGTCCACACAAATTATAATCACAAAGGCAATATAGAGGAGAGTGGGGGGGGCGGTCACAGGAATGAGCGTCACGGTGGCTGGGGATGGACCTTTCACTTAGCTGATCATGTGCAAACAGCAAGATTCATGATGAACTGCTCCACCACAAAACAAATAAATGGGTGTCTACAGTACACACACTGGGCCCCCCACTAACCCTGACATGCACAAGATGCCCTGGGGTTACCTGCCTTTCTGGGGGCTGGACCAAGGACCGATCTGGAACAGGTAAAGATAGGGAGAAATAGGTATTGGGGGAGGGTGAAACTGGAACTTTTGGAGACTCTCATAAATTATTCAAGAAAGCATTAACCCCATTTATGCCTAGTGTTCCATTATTGGAATGCTAAGAATGTGGGAATTATTTATATCCTATTGCTCAAGGTCATCACCAAGGTCCGATTTTTCAAATTTAAAAACTGTAACCTCAGATACAAATGGGTTAATGCTCACCGTCTCTGATCAAGTAGCACACACCAGCAACACGATCTCAGGTATAAATGGGTTAATGCTCACCGTCTCTGATCAGGTAGCACACACCAGCAGCACAACCTCAGGTTTAAACGGGTTAATGCTCACCATCTCTGATCAGGTAGCACGTAGCACACACCAGCAGCACAACCTCAGGTTTAAACGGGTTAATGCTCACCATCTCTGATCAGGTAGCACCAGCAGCACAACCTCAGGTATAAATGGGTTAATGCTCACCGTCTCTGATCAGGTAGCACACACCAGCAGCACAACCTCAGGCTTAAACGGGTTAATGCTCACCATCTCTGATCAGGTAGCACACACCAGCAGCACAACCTCAGGTTTAAACGGGTTAATGCTCACCATCTCTGATCAGGTAGCACACACCAGCAGCACAACCTCAGGTTTAAACGGGTTAATGCTCACCATCTCTGATCAGGTAGCACACACCAGCAGCACAACCTCAGGTTTAAACGGGTTAATGCTTACCGTCTCTGATCAGGTAGCACACACCAGCAGCACAATCTCAGGTTTAAATGGGTTAATGCTCACCGTCTCTGATCAGGTAGCACACACCAGCAGCACAACCTCAGGTTTAAACGGGTTAATGCTCACCGTCTCTGATCAGGTAGCACACACCAGCAGCACAACCTCAGGTATAAATGGGTAAATGCTCACCATCTCTGATCAGGTAGCACACACCAGCAGCACAACCTCAGGTTTAAACGGGTTAATGCTCACCATCTCTGATCAGGTAGCACACACCAGCAGCACAACCTCAGGTTTAAACGGGTTAATGCTCACCATCTCTGATCAGGTAGCACATACCAGCAGCATCGACTGGGTCCAACCACCAGCAGGTCTGACATCTTTCAAGTGCTAAAGAAAAGCCAGGTCTGGTCTCCCTATAAGCAAGTGCTCATCCTTAGGAAACCCCCCTTTCTAATGTCTCCCCACTGTGAAATACTTTACACTATCTACCAGGTTCCTCCTGTTTTATAATCGTGTGATCTGAGAGCAAAGCTTAAATAAACTTAGGTTATTTTTTTCTTTCACACTGAAGAGCAGGCTCGTTAAGAGAGCAGGCATCTTGTCTTTCCTGTTAGCCAGGGACTCCCTGTGCCCCTAAACAATGCCTGACACGTAGCAGCGGACTTCAGTGTTTTTCAATTGTACACTTTAGGGAAGGGTAGAAAAGAGACGCCTAATTTGCTAATTAACACCCCATATCTGTCCCTGCAGCCATCAAATCTATGCTGTGCTGAAAAGCCTTCCTTCTTGTAATATCTTCTGGAAGGCCAGACTATCAACTGGATAGAGGTTTCCTGGGGAAGGAGGACAAGTGACTAGGAGAAACGGGATGTGATGTTCATTTTATCAGCTGGGCTTTGATAAACTTGTGGACAGTGAATCTGATAAGCAGCCTCCATGTGGGACCATATCCAGGCCATAGCACTCTTTCCCTGCAGGAACAAGGTCAAGGAATTTATTCCACAATAGCATGGGGTCAACACCGATAAGAGCCTGCCACCGCTGCCAGGGTCCTGGAACGCTTCTGTGGACACCGCAGCTGGGTAATATCCCATCCAAAATTCTCCGGAGCGCCAGAGAAAACCCTCTAAAAGTGACTGCCAGGTGGCGCCCGACAAGTGGCATGGACGGCACCAGGTCTGATCTGGGTCTTCAGGTCGGCGGGGGTGCCCTGCCTGCGGCCTGATCCACGGCCGTTTCCTGGTGCCCCTTGGACGGAGTTTCTTCACCCAGGGCTGCCGGCACGCAATCAGCCCGGCCCCAGTAGGGAGTCTTGGGGAAATTTGGGGCGAGCCTCCTGTGATCACTGGGCCCTGCCAAGCAAAGGACACACTCACCTCGAGACTTCCTGGCTGGAACAGGAGGTTCCCGAGACCTGGAGAACGATTAGGAAATTTTCCTAGAGTCTCATAAAGACTACCCAGCACCAGATGGGACGGAGGCCGGGCCGATGACGCCCACCATAGCCCTCTCAGGCCATCACTGATCTGTCCCTTCCTTCAGAGGGAGTCTTAAAAATTTCCCGGGGCTCATAGGACTGCCTGCCTGGCATGTACATGACCTTGGGAGGCCGGGGTGCGAGGTGTGTGTAGGGGACCCTCTGTCGACAACTTCAGTAAATCAAACCCATTTCATGGATAAACTTTAGTCAAGGTTATAACAACAATAAACATCAGTAATAATAACAACAATAATAATAAAACGACCTCAATGATCCAAGCTCACTGTATAGACTGGGTGTATTAACCAGGTCCGGTATTTTCAAAGCTCTAGGAATAAACAGGCTTCTCTTCAGAAGAAATTAAGGACCAGGTCTCCTCACATCCAACTTTTAGAAAGAGAGGTGCCCAGTATTGGCTCTGACCACGCTGTGTGACTGCTAGACTCCCACACCACTCTAGAGCCCCCACCTTTATCCAGTAGAGGGAAGAGCCCAGGTTCCTTGACTTGGCAGCTGCTATCTGGATTTTCTAAGGGAGCAGGAGTGAAGGCGGGTGCCTAAATCTCCCCATCATTGCCTCCTCCCCATGTCTCTGATTCTGAGCACCCACAGTGGCCCTTCCCCAGGCTGGACTGGAGGCATGGCCCACCCTAAGGAAGGGTAGTAGACACAAGGAAACTGAGCTGGCAGGCAGAGAGAGGAGCAGCTGCCCAGAGAAGAAGAGAGGAACTGAGAGGGAGGGGGGTAGAAAAAAGGAAGAAACTATCAGCAGAGTGAACAGACAACCTACAGAGTGGGAGAAAAATTTTGCAATCTATCCATCTGACAAAGAGCTAATATCCAGAATCTACAAAGAACTTAAACAAATTTACAAGAAAAAAAACCAAAAACCCCATCAAAAAGTAGGCAAAGGACATGTACAGACACTTCTCAAAAGAAGACATTTATGCAGCCAACAGACACATGGAAAAATGCTCATCATCACTAGTCATCAGAGAAATGCAAATCAAAACCACAATGAGATACCATCTGACGCCAGCTAGAACGGCAATCATTAAAAAGTCAGGAAACAACAGAAGATGTGGAGAAATAGGAATGCTTTTACACTGTTGGTGGGAGTATAAATTAGTTCACCCATTGTGGAAGACAATGTGGCGATTCCTCAAGGATCTAGAACTAGAAATACTATTTGACCCAGCAATCCCATTACTGGGTATATACCCAAAGGATTATAAATCATTCTACTATAAACACACATGCACATGTATGTTTATTGTGGCACTGTTCACAATAGCAAAGACTTGGAACCAACCCAAATGCCCATCAGTGATGGACTGGATAAAGAAAATGTGGCACATACATACCATGGAATACTATGTAGCCATAAAAAAAGGCTTTGCAGGGACATGGATGAAGCTGGAAACCATCATTCTCAGCAAACTAACAGAAGAACAGAAAACTAAACACTGCATGTTCTCACTCATAAGTGGGAGTTGAACAATGACAACACATGAACACAAGGAGGGGAACATCACACACCGGAGCCTGTCGGGGGTGGGGGACTGGGGGAGGGATAGCATTAGGAGAAATACCTAATGTAGATGACGGGTTGATGGGTGCAGGAAACCACCATGGCACATGTATACTTATGTAACAAACCTGCACATTCTGCACATGTACCTCAGAACTTAAAGTATAATTAAAAAAGAAAAAAAAAAGAAAAAGGAAAGCAGTGACATTGAAAGAAAGAGAGAGGCACATATAATTTTGAACTACCCAAGTAGACACCATGCATTTTGTGGTTGATTATGACCCACAAGCAAAATTATACATGTGTTGAATGCAATGAAAACCTTACCAGAACAAAATTAGAAGTGTGTCCAATAAAATTAGAATTAAATAATGAGAAAACGTGATCTCCATCATCACTGGAAAGTTAAGAAATATGCTGACAGATATCCCTTAAATCAAATAGGAACTCAAAAAGGAAATAACCAATTTTGGGGGCAAAAACCGATGCAACTAGAAGGGGAAAAAATGCTGAAAACCTAGAAGGCTGGAGAAATTAGAGAAGCATGGGAGTGATGGGACTGAGGAATTAGTAGAGAAGCGAAAGACAAGGAGAAACCTGTGACAAGAGTCTGCAAGGCTGGGCGTGGTGGCTCATGCTTGTAATCCCAGCACTTTGGAAGGCCGAGGCAGGCAGATCATCTGAGGTCAGGAGTTCAAGACCAGCCTGGCCAACATCATGAAACTTCATCTCTACTAAAAATACAAAAATTAGCCAGGCATGGTGTCAGGCACCTGTAATCCCAGCTACTCGGAAGGCTGAGACAGGAGAATTGCTTGAACCCAGGAGGTGGAGGTTGCAGTGAGCAGAGATCACCCCATTGTACTGCAGCCTGGGTGACAGAGTGAGACTCCATCTAAAAAAAAAAAAAAAAAGTCTGCAGAAAGGAGAGACAGAGTAGGGGAGAGACTGGGAGACAGAAGAGGAATCAGGAGAGACTGGGAGGGGTAGGCTGAGGCCCAGCCTGGGAGAGAGAAGAAAGAGTGGCTGGGAGGGAAGAAATGAGAGAGGGAGAGAAGGCTGGAGAAAGAGGGAGAGAGAATGGAAACTGGGAGAGTCTGTGATATGCTTTGGCTCTGTGTCCCCACTCAAATCTCATCTCGAATTGTAATCCTACATGTCAGGAGAAGGACCTGGTGGGAGGTGATTGGATGATGGGGGTGGTTCCTTCATGCTGTTCTCATGATAGTGAGTGAATTCTCATGAGATCTGATGGTTTAAAAATGTGGCACGTCCCCCGTCTTGCTCTCCTGCTGCCATGTACGACATGCCTTTGCTTCCCCCTTTGCTTTCCACCATGATAATTGAAGTCGAGTTTCCCGAGGCCTCCCCAGCCACATGGAACTGTGAGTCAATTAATCTCTTTTGTTTATAAATTACCCAATCTCAGGCAGTAGCTTTATAGCAGTGTGAGAATGGAGTAATACAGTCTGGGAGAGATGGGGAGAAGTGGGAAGCATTGAGAAGAGTATGAGGAGAAAGGGAGAAAGGGGTGAGGTGAGGAGAGACTAGAGAATGTGAGGAGAGACAAGAGAGATGACAGAGAGAGGCAGGAGAGATGGGGAGAAACCACAAGACAGAGGGCAGGAGTGTAGGGAGAGGAGGCAGGGAAAGGCAGGGCCACACTGACCCAATGTCCTTCAGCAGGTGGATGGAGAAACTAACGGCAGTACAGTCATCAGCAAAGTCCTGCTCGGCAATGAAAAGGGACGATCTGACACATGCAACACCGTGGCTGACACGTGCATCGAGAAAGAAAGGATCCAATCTCCAACTCACACAACAAGTTCAGTGCACGGAACGGATGGAGTTTACTGTATGTACATTATGCCTCAATCAACTCAGCTAACAAAAAAGGACTTAAGCTATGCCTGTGACATTATAAGTTTTTTCTTGTACTTGGCTCAAGTTTTCTTTTAGCAAATAGAAATTATGTTAAGATCTCAATATAAACAGTAATTAAGAATGCACTAAAAAAACACAAGCAAATTGTGAGAGAAAAAATGTTCTGGGCATCCAGAATTTTTTTTTTTTTTTTTTTTTTTTTAGGCAAAGTCTTTCTCTGTTGCCCAGGCTGGAGTGCAGTGGTGCGATCTTGGCTCACCACAACCTCTGCCTTCCAGGTTCAAGCAATTCTCCTGCCACAGGCTTCCTGGTAGCTGGGACTACAGGCATGCACCACCAAGCCCGGCTAATTTTTGTATTTTTAGTAGAGACGGGGTTTCACTATGTTGGCCAGGCTCATCTCGAACTCCTGACCTTGTGATCTGCCCACCTCGGCCTCTCAAAGTGTTGGGATTACAGGTGTGAGCCACTGCGCCTGGTCCAGAATTCTTTATCCACTGAAAATACCATTCAAAAATAATGATATAAAATGAGTATATTTTTATGCACACAAAAGTTCAGGGAAATTGTTGCCAGTGAACATGTATTATAGGAGATGCTAAAAAGAAAGTTCTTCCTAATGAAAGAAAATGATGTCTGACTGGAGACCAGATCTGGAGGGAGAAAGGAGAGGTACTGGGAAGGTAATCAGGTTGTAACAATCCTACAAGTTCACCTTGCCCACTGCCCAGAGAGCCAAATATACTGAGAACAACCAGTATTGTTGCAAAGACTTTTGTTATTTCATGGCTAGCCAAGCAAGGAAAACAGAGAGAAACTCCTCAAACCCGTCTCTCCAAGAATTTGGGGGCCAGGGCTTTTTAAGGATCCTTTGACAGGCAGGGAGCTGGGAAACTGAAACAGTTGATGACATCACAGGGACGTCTAAAGCTGTCTTTACGCAGCTGAGTCAGTTCCTGGGAGGGAGTGTCAGGACCAGGCGGCAGCCCTGGGTCTGCCGAAGTGCTAAATCTGAAAACTCTCTCAAAGATCAGTGCTTTAGGTTTCACAATAGTGATGTGATCTACAGAGGTAGTTGGGGAAGTTATAAATCTTGCAACCCCCTGTTATGTGACTCTGGGGCAGGAAGCAACTTATAGAAAAACAAGTTAAGTGATGGCAGGTCATTGTTTGACCACGCCTATTCTTTAGCAAAATTCAAGTCCCCTTCCATAATTTTAAACTCACCTTATGAATGTGGCTTCAATCTCTGGACAAGAAGGAGGGTCAGTTTCCCTTGTCTGCAAGTTGAACTATAAGTTAAATTCCTCTCATAGTTATCTTGGTCTCTGTGCTGGAATAAGAAATAAATAAATAAATAAATAAATAAAACAGAAAACACACAACACACAACCAAATGTAGCAGTGAGGCTGGAAGCAAGATGGAGTCAGTCATGTTTGATTTCTCTCCTTACTTATAATTCTGCAAAGGAGGTTTCAATGTTGGGATGGCAAATATTAAGTATCAACTTGATTGAATACAAGAATGCAAAATATTGTTGCTAGGTGTGTCTGAGAGGGCATTGCCAGAGGAGATTCACATCTGAGTCAGTGCACTGGGAGCAGCAGACCCACCCTCAATCTGGGGGGGCACCATCCAATCGGCTGCCAGCCCAGCTAGGAAAAGTAGGCCAAAGAAAACGGAATGAGTCAACTTGCTGAGTCGTCCAGGCCTTCATCTTTCTTCTGTGCTGGATGCTTCCCTGCTCTTGAACATCAAGACTTCAGGTTCTTTGACTTTTGGACCCTTGGACTTACACCAGTGGTTTGCCAGGTGCTCTCAGGGCTTCCGCCACAGACTGAAGCCTGCACCGTCAGCTTCACTGTCATATTTTTCAGGTTTTGGGACTCAGACTGAGCCACTGCTGGCTTCCTTGCTCCTCAGCTTGCAGATGCCTATTGTGGGACTTCACCTTACAGTCATGTGAGTCAATTCTCCTTAATAAACTCCCTTTCATATATACATATATCCTATTAGTTGTGTCCTCTAGAGAACCTTGACTAATACAAATGTAGTAAATATAAAAGGCTATTTTAAAATTATCAAAATACTGCTGGGCGCGGTGGCTCACGCTTGTAATCTCAGCACTTTGGGAGGCCAAGGCAGGCGGATCACAAGGTCAGGAGTTCGAGACCAGCCTGGTCAATATGGAGAAACCCTGTCTCTACTAAAAACACAAAAATTAGCCGAGTATAGTGGCAGGTGCCTGTAGTTCCAGCTACTCGTGAGGCTGTGGCAGGAGAATTGCTTGAACTCGGGAGGTGGAGGTTGCAGTGAGCTGAGATCGTGCCACTGCACTCCAGCCTGCGCAACAGAGGGAGACTCTGTCTCAGAAAAAAAAAAAAAAGAAAAATATCATCAAAATACCAGTGCCTCAGTAAAGCAGGTGTTTTCTTGGCTCTCAATCAAGATGGAGTTAGGGCTAGTCTGAATACGAAACTCCATTGCAGCATTCCTGTTTCTCATATATGAATATATACATCACAGATGCGTGTATTTGTCTTCTGGAGAGATGGTGAGGTGTTACCAACAAGAGGGAAAACCCTGGGGGAATCTCTATAATCTCTGCCACCCCCAACCAATAGCAATGTTTTTTTGTTTTTGCTTTTTTTGAGACAGAGTCTCACTCTGTCGCCCAGGCTGGAGTGCAGTGGCACAATCTCAGCTCACTGCAACCTCCACCTCCCGGGATCAAGCAATTCTTATGCCTCAGCCCCCCGAGTAGGTGGGATTACAGGCATGCACCAACACTCCCGGCTAATTTTTGTGTTTTCAGCAGAGATGGAGTTTCATCACGTTGGTCAAGCTGGTCTTGAACTCCTGACCTCCCCTCGTGGCCTCCCAAAGGGCTGGGATTATAGGCATGAGCCACTGAGCCCAGCCCAACAGCAATGTTTGTCCTGAGATGCCACTGTTCAGTAAACGATCCACCCATCCTCATAAATGCTCTTCCATTCTACCCTCTTTCCTGCTGTGCTCGGATTCATCAGACCCGATGTGAAGCCTGACTGAGCAGAGTGGAGACCAGCAGCTGCACGTCAAGTAAGGAGGACCCCACCCGAGCCCAAGTCAGGCTGCTCAGATCCTTCCCCTCCTGCAAACCCCTGCCTCTCACAGACCCTGCACACCACAACCAGCTCTGCTCAGACTCCTGCACCCCTGCCTCTCACAGACCCCCCCCACCCTATGACCAGCTCTGCTCAGACACCTGCACCTCTGCAGCCCTGCCTCTCACAGACCCCGCACCCCACAACCAGCTCTGCTCAGACTCCTGCACCCCTGCCTCTCACAGACTCCCCACCCCATGACCAGCTCTGCTCAGAGCTCACCCTGCAGTCCTGCCTCTCACAGACTCTGCACCCCACAACTAGTTCTGCCCAGACCCCTGCATCCCTGCCTCTCACAGACCCCCCACCCCACAACCAGATCTGCCCGGACCCCTGCAGCCCTGCCTCTTTCTCCTCCTCTCCTCACCTATCCTCGTCTCTCCCACCCTGGTCTTCTCTCTCTGCCTCTTCTCTCTGCTCTACTCACTGTGTTGATGAAAAAACCAAACTCTGTAAAATATTTAAAGAGGTTTATTCTGAGCCAATGTGAGTGACCACAGTCTGGGGAACAGAGTCGAGGAAGTTCTGAGAAAGTGTGCCTGAGTTGGTCAGGTTACAGCTTGGTTTTATATATTTTAGGGAGACAGAAGCTACAGGCAAAGACATAAATCAATACACGTAAGGTATACATTGGTTCAGCCTGAAAATGCAGGGCATTTTGAAGTGGGGGCTTATGGGTGGATTCAAAGATTTTCTGATTGGTTGAAAGAGCTAAGCTATCTCTAAAGACTTGAAGTCAGTAGAAAGTAATGCTTGCGTTCAGATAAGGGAAGTTGTGGAAACCAAGGTTCTTTTTATGTAGATGAAATCTCAAGGTAGCAGGCTTCAGAGAGAATAGATGATAAATGTTTCTTTTTAGACCTAAAAGGTGTCAGACTCTCATTTAATCTCTCCTAGATCTGGGAAAGACCTAGAATGGGAAGGAGATTCTGTACAGTTGTAAATTTCTCCCATAAAAAAATGGCTTTGTAGGGCCATTTTAAAATATGTCAAAGAATTATATTTTGGGGCAAAATATTTTGATTTCCTTCAGGGCTGGCTATCTGTAGTGTGATGTTATAAGACAGTCAGGTTGAAATTTGGTATCTTATTGTCACAGAGTCTGTTGTGTTAGCCTTACGATCTCTATTTTTTTTTTCTTTTTGAGGCAGAGTCTTGCTCTGTTGCCCAGGCTGGAGTGCAGTGGCACGATCTTGGCTCACTGCAACCTCCGCCTCCTGGGTTCAAGTGATTCTCCTGCCTCAGCCTCCTGAGTAGCTGGGATTACAGGCATGCGCCACCATGCCCGACTAATTTTTTTATTTTTAGTAGAGACAGGGTTTCATCATGTTGGTCAGGCTGGTCTCGAACTCCTGACCTCATGATCCACCCGCCTCGGCCTCTCAAAGTGCTGGGATTACAGGCGTGAACCACCGCACCCGGCCACGCTCTCTATTTTAATGTTAATGATGGCCAGTTGTGCCTAAACTCCAAGAGGGAAGGGATTGAACACAAGGGGTGTCTGACCTCCCTTCCCATCATGGCCTGGAATTTAGTTTTTCAGATTTCTCTTGGGTCACCTTGGCCAAGAGAGGCTCTGTCCAGTTGGCTGGGGAGCTGAAGATTTTATTTTTGGTTTAGAGCTCCTCCTGGTCTCTCACTGCCCCACTGCATCTCCCAGCCCATCTGCAGTGCCCCTCATCTCCCCCAGCTGCAGCCTCCATCCTCACCCTCCTGTGTCCAGGTGGGGGTGGAATCACAGGACAGCAGGGAGTGAGGGGTAGGAGGACTCTCCAAAGGGATTTGGAAGGGTCCCTGGACCCTAAAATGTTGGGGCTCTTGACTACCTTGGACCATGTCCCCAAGAGTTTTCTCATTCTTTCTCATTCTTTGATGGCCTGATGTGCATAATTACATCTTTTTTTATTCTTATGTGGAGTATTTTATATATAATGCGTATATATATATGTATATATATATTACATTGCCTGATTCCTAGTTCAGTACACATTTGATAAAGGATTAAGTAAACTATCTGTATATTGTTTTGAGACGGAGTCTCACTCTATCATCCAAGCTGGAGGGTAGTGGTACGATCTCAGCTCACTACAACCTCTGCCTCCCAGGCTCAAGTGATCCTCCCACCTCAGCCTCCCCATTAGCTGGGATTATAGGTGCCCACCACCACACCGCTAATTTTTGTATTTTCAGTAGAGACAGGGTTTCACCATGTTGGCCAGGCTGGTCTCGAACTCCACCTCAAGCAATCCTGCCACCCCAGCCTCCCGAGTAGCTGTAACTACAGGTTTGCACCACCATGCCCAGCTATTTTTTTTTTTTAGTAGAGGACAGATCTTTTGAAACAATCCAGTCAAACAAAATTAAGGGCTAAAAAAGATTGAAGAATGAGCAAAACCTTCAAGATATCTGGAACCACATAAAGTGATAAGGGCAGTGGGTAGGGTAATGCGTGTGCTTAGAAGAGCTTGGACTCCCCTTTTCTTCTCCCAACTGGGCAATAGATTCAGTCACATTGCCTCCAACTTGGCCTGAATGTGGGGTGCAGCCCAGTGATAAACTGAAAATGGTGCTTTCAGCCTTGGACCAGAGAGGATGGGGCGCATCTCAGGCAAGCAGCATGGGCAACAGGCTGGGGGGAGTGTGGTCCGGTCACATCGCAGTCTCAACAGCAGCCTGCTGCAGGGTGGCAGGGACCCTCCCAGGGGTGAATGACAGCCCCTAGGATCCCCACTTCCCCCTAGGAGCAGCACCCACATGTGTAGATCCCTGGCATCTGGGCTCTCAAATGGCTCCCAGTTGAGGTTATTCCAGGTTCAGATGCCTGTGGGCTTCTGTGAGGGCTCCCTTTCTGCAGCAATGGCCCTGTGCAATCTTTAGGCAGCTCTGTATGTCAGGCCTGTGGCCTTAGTGGTTGAGGGTTTCTCCCAGAGTCAAGATTATAAAAGCTCATTTTGGATCCCTGCGGGTTTCTCTCTCACTGTTTTCCTGCATCCTAGAGCATCTCCAGCTCTCAGTGTGTCCCCAAGTGGGCGAGTGGCCTCAAACCCTCTTGTTACTTACTTCTGCTGTTTCCTGTCTCTTGCCTGGTCAATGCTAGAATTCTCTCCTAAACAATATATTCAAAATGTGAATATCTACTTCCTGTTTTTGTTCCTCTCTGTGGAAGAGGCACATACTACCTGCATCTAGTCATCCAATTGGATCCTTCTCCAGTTTTCTTTTCTTTTTTTTTTTTTGGCATTAATTTTGATTTTTAAAAATAGTGCTGGGCTGGGAACGGTGGCTCACGCCTGTAATCCCAGGACTTTAGGAGGCCGAGGCGGGCAGATCACGAGGTCAGGAGTTCAAGACCAGCCTGACCAACGTGGTGAAACCCCGTCTCCACTCAAAAAAAAAAAAAAAAAAAAAAAATTAGTCGGGCGTAGTGGCATGCACCTGTAATCCCAGCTACTCAGGAGGCTAAGGCAGGACAATCGCTTGAACCAGGGAGGTGGAGGTTGCAGTGAGCCGAGATTGTGCCACTGAACTCCAGCCTGGGTGACAGAGCGAGACTCCGTTTCAAAAAAAAAAAAAAAAATAGTGCCAGGCACGGTGGCTCATGCTTGTAATCCCAGCACTTTGGGAGGCTGAGGCAGGAGGATCACTTGAGGT
Organism: Homo sapiens; assembly: GCF_000001405.40. NCBI lineage: Eukaryota > Metazoa > Chordata > Mammalia > Primates > Hominidae > Homo > Homo sapiens. Next base: position 46,175,769 of record NC_000019.10, on the reverse strand, counting down.
CAGGAGTTCGAGACCAGCCTGGCCAAAATGGTGAAACCCCGTCTCTACTAAAAATACAAAAAAATTAGCCAGGTGTGGTGGCGGGCGCCTGTAATCCCAGCTGCTCGGGAGGCTGAGGCAGGAGAATCACTTGAACCTGGGAGGCAGAGGTTGCAGCTGAGTAGAGATCATGCCATTGCACTCCAGTCTGGGTGACACAGCGAGACTGTCTAAAAAAAAAAATTGCACAAAGTATTACTTATCTTATTCATTTTTTGGCACAAAGTATTACCTTACTCATTTTTTGACACCCTCTTAAATTTTGCACCAGAGATGTATACCTCTCTCATTCAACTCTATTCCCTGCCCTGCATGGAGGCATTGTAGAGTGATGTTTAAGAACCTGGGCTCTACAGTTAGATACTTTGGGTTCAAATGCTGATTCTGATTCTTACTATCTTTGTAGTCCTGAGTCAGCTGCTTAACCTCACTGTGAATTATTCAATTTTATTATCTGTAAGTTTGAAATAGGAATTAGTATTAACAGATAAATGTGCTGGGAGAATAAAATAAGGTAATACATATAAGAAAATTAGGGTAATATTTTGGATATATTATGTGCTCGATAAGTGTTAGACATTATTAGTTTTCAGAGACAGATTCATGTATTAATATATTACTTCTCTGGGAGGAATATATAGACCAAGTTATTAATAATTTACTAATTTTTAAAAACTCTTCTATCATTCTTGTACTTCTCAGACTTCAAATATCACAATATTTGAACACCCAGATTCTTGACAAGCAAGCTTTAAAGATTTTAAAATTCAGATAATTGGTCTTGGTTTGTAGTAATATCAGACCTGGTAATTTGGATCAATCCTTTTGCTAAAGACAATAAAAGAAGCTGAACAAAATACAAAAACATCTTAAAAGCATCAATGACCTAACAAAGTAATGAGCAATTACCGAGCCACATTCCAGAAGAGGATGGGAATTTAGAGAGTTAATCTGGGAATTTGGTTGGAGTCACCTGCCAGTTCCAAAGAGGGTCTGAGAGACTGGGCTGCATTTTTGACAGCTCCCAACCCCAGGGTTAGAAGCATAAATGTCAGAGGATATCAAGTGTGAGGAGCACTGGGGAAACGTCTTTCCTATTGCCCTACCCACTCCTCATACATTTATTATATGGAGGTGCCTTTACTTGTCACTAGGGAAAATTGAGGACGAGTCCTCAATGTTTTCCCACCAACATCCAGTTTTTCCATGATTGGGAAACTTTCAGCTATGCTGAGGGTGTTACCAGCCACTTCTTTCTTTCCCACCTGATATTTTATTCCTCCTCCCTCTATGTAGTTTTTGTTCTGGAAAAACAGGGAGGAAGAGTTCTTACATAATTGTAATCTCGTGTCAGATCTCAGGATGTGGATCTCCAGAGCCAGCCACAAGGGCGGGTCCCCTGCACTTACAAGGGCCCGGTGTTGGTTTTATGCTCTGCTGTCACTGTGTTGAAATCCAAAACACATATTGAACAAGCAGCGCTGCATGTTCACTTTGCACTGAGCCCTGAAAATTCTGTGGTCGGTCCTACCTCGACTCCAGGTCCTGTGATAGCTCACTTGTGCTTTTCTGGGTGAGGAAAAGGTGGGTCTGTATTCGCCAGTGCTAAGTCCTTTCTCAGCCCAGGCAGGCAGGGGTGCTACCTGCTCATCTGTCCTGTTTCTGCTCCCTCCTCTAGGTGGCCTTCCCAGGACTTGACTCCATATGCATGTTCTCGTCCATGGGCTCATACCCAGTCCAAAGGACTTTACCCCAGCTCCATCTTTGCCCAGACACACTTGAGGCTGCAGGGTTTTGGTAAGAACACAACTGCCAGATCAATAATTGCATACCAAGTACCAAACTCTGTTTTGATTTGCCCCAATAAAGACACAACATCTGGCACAGCATCTGTGGTTGGGGCACAATCTAGCTCTGGTTATGAAAGTTTACAATTTCCTGCCCTTGTCTGTGATACAGTTTGGATGTGTGTCCCCTCCAACTCTCATGTTAAAGTGTGATCCCCAATGTTGGAGGTGAGGCCTGGGGAGGTGTTTTGGTCATGGGAGGAGATTCCTCACAAATGTCTTGGTGCCCTCCTCACAGTAATAAGTGAGTTCTCACCCTGTTACTTTGTGCAAGAGCTGGTGACTTGAGTCTGACATCTCTCCTGTTCTCTGTCTTGCCATGTGACGTGACTGCTCCTCCTTTGCCTTCTGCCATATTGTAAGCTTCCCAAGGCCCTCACCAGAATCAGATGCTGGCACCATGCTTCCTGTACAGCTTATAAAACCGTGAGCCAATTAAATCTCTTTTCCTTATAAATTGCCAAGCCTCAGGTATTCATTTATAGCAATGGAAATGGACCAACAGAGGTAGTCTGCTTTATAATGGGTCAGAACGTGAATCACATGAGGATACGATAGTGCTTGTTATTCCTGAATTTTCCACATCATACAATTCACCTTCTGGGCTCCATATAGGGGAAGTGATTCTGGAAAACGTGGTTCCCACTTCAGAAGGAACAGTGGTGTTGGGGACACGTTGACAACAGAAAGTCTAGCACAGTCCACCCCATTCAAAAATAAGCATCTGTAGACATTTTCAACTTCCAAATAAAAGCAGCAACAATACTATTTTCCACCTAATGTGATGCAACTATTCATTTTACAACCCAAAGACCTTTAATCTTCTCTATGGAAGAGATATTTGAAAATGCTAGTCCGTCTCCCAGATGACTAACAACCCCTTTTGCTCTTTCATGCTATAAATACCAAGGATCAACCAATATAAACCTATATTACATAGAGGGGTATGAAGGCACTGAGACAAAAAGCAGAGGACTCAGTTAATACAGAAACTATATTCACATCAGCTGGGCATGGTGGCACATGTCTGTAGAGCTACTCAGAGGGCTGAGGTGGTAGGATTGCATGAACCTGGAAAGTGAAGGTTACAGTGAGCCAAGATCGCACCACTGCACTCCAGTCTACATGACAGAGCGAGACCTTGTCTGAAAAAAAATATATATATATACACATCAAAGTGAGGAAGATTATATAAATATCTAACTTAGTCCTTGTTTCAGCAGCTGGCCTTGAGGCTAAAGCTGGCATTTAAAAATTTCCTCTTTCAAGTTAGACACAGTGGCACATGCCTGTAATCCCAGCTACTCAGGTGGCTGAGGTGGGAGGCTCATTTGAGTTCCGGAGTTCAAGACCAGCCTGGGGAACGTAACAGAACTCCACCTGAAAAAAAATTTCTTCCACTATCCATTCCATAATCCCTATGCTCTCAGCAAACACCTCAACTGGCTGTGATTTTTTAACCTGGTGAAGTTACTCACGTCTTCATGAAGTATACATTCCCTCAGGAGTCCTTCCTGTAATGGATTATTATCATTTTCCCATGTTTTACAATGGGACGTGGGAGTTCTAAGAGGCATCCCACAGAATGCCTTGTGTGAGTGGTATAGTTATACTCTCTTCTGCCGATTGTGTAGTAACTACCCAATTCCCCCCTTGATAATCAGGACAATTTGCCACTTTTTACTATCAGGCTTTACACGATTTCTTCTACCTTAGACTATATAACCATTCAGTTACATCCAGGTTAATGGCTTCCACTTCCAAAGTCCGTATCTCTGGAGTCAACAGCAAGAACACTTCCTGCCAAGGACTACTCCAGATTTTTGCATGCTTAATCCAAAGCAAAAATAAGACCTTTTGAATTAGGGATGTTTCTATCATTAATCTTCATCACACATAATTTTTTTTTTGCAATTCAGATTCCTGGTGAAAGTTCTTCAGAGCTTCAAATTCCTTTTGGTGTAACAATATATTATTTGCACCAATTTTACCTGTACGGCACCCACTTTTCATTCTTATAAAACTTATCACTTGGTAAAAAAAATTCTCACTTTTCCTGAATGTCCTTTTGGTTCCTTGTAATATCCTCCATCTAGGCCATTCAACAGGGTGAGCTTCATACTGATGGGGAGTTCAAGAAGGGAGTTATCAAAAGATAAAGTAAGTGTACTCGCATTTTCTCCTTGAGAGGTTGGGTAAGTCAACAATAGACTAGACCTATGGAATATGAGAAACAGCAGGCTGTCCCTATAAGACAGGAGACTGCTGAGAGCTATGCTGAGTCCAAGGAAGAGAAGGCAGTTGTAAATTGTACTCAGAGTTAATTTGCCCTGACAGAAAATGGAGATAGAGAAAAATAAGACACAATACTCTGAAATGTGCATCTCCATGTCATTCCATGAATGGTATGGTCTAAGTTTGATTGTTTTATCAGTAGAGATTATCTTCGAACTCATCTGAGTGAGCAAGTCACCACTCTTGCCCAATAGCTTCTTCTCTCTGTCAATCTGAACCCCACCCATAATCTCGTCTTGAATAGCACCTCCCTCTGGCTGACTCCCCTTGACTTAGCTCCTGGCTCTTGACCCAGAAAGTGACTCATTCAGGCTATCACTTATCGGGGGAAGCAGCCCCCGATAATTCAACGTAGGTTCTTTTCTGTTTTCCCTAAGTGTCGGCCAGTCTGAGAAATAAAGCGAAAGAGTACAAAAGAAAGAAATGGTAAAGCTTGGTGTCTGGGGAAGACATCACAGGTCGGCAGGTTCCATGATGCCCCCTGAGCCATAAAACCAGCAAGTTTTTATTAGCAATTTTCAAAGGGGAGGGAGTGTACAAATAGGGTTTTATTAGCAATTTTCAAAGGGGAAGGAGTGTACGAATAGGGTGTGGGTCACAGAGATCACATGCTTCAAGGGCGACAAAAGATCACAAGGGCAGAAGGTCAGGGCGAGATCACAAGGTCAGGGTGAAACTAAAATCACTAATGAAGTTTCATGTCCCGCCGTGCACACATTGTCATTGATAAACATCTTAACAGGGTTCAAGAGCAGAGAACTGGTCTGACTAGAATTCGCCAGGCTGGAATTTCCTAATCCTAGCAAGCCTGGGGGTGCTGCAGGAGGCCAGAGCATGTTTCATCCCTTATCTGCAACTGCATAAGGCAGACACCCCCAGAGTGGCCATTTTAGAGGCCCCCCTGGGAAGGCATTATTTTCCCAGGGCTGTTAATTATTAATATTCCTTACTGGGAAAAGAATTCAGCAATATTTCTCTTACCTGTTTTCCGTAATAAGAGAAATATGGCTCTGTCCTGCCCAGCCCACAGGCAGCCAGACTTTAAGGTTATCTCCCTTGTTCCCTGAAAATCACTGTTATCCTGTTCTTAAGGTGCCCAGATTTCAAACTGTTCAAACACACATGCTTTACGAACAATTTGTGCAGTTAATGCAATCATCACAGGGTCCTGAGGCAGCATACATCCTCAGCTTATGAAGATGATGGGATTAAGAGATTAAAGATAGGCATAGGAAATTATAAGAGTATTGATTGGGGAAGTGATAAATGTCCATGAAATCTTCACAATTTATGTTCTTCTGTTACGGCTTCAGCAGGTCCCTCCATTCGGGTTCCCTGACTTCCCACAACAATCACTGATACACAACAGTGAGTGACACCAACACAGTGAGTCTCAAGCTTGAGAGCCCGATTCTTACTCTCTCTCGGTGCACCCACTTAGTAAGCTACCCTGGACATGTCATTTAGCTATCCCTATTTTATTTTTCATATCTCCCATATGGTGCCATGGAGCCCTTGCATCCCCCTTCTAGCCACCCAGAATGTTCAGAAACTGAGCTAGTCATTCAATTTCTACTACTTGGGCAGAAAATCTGAGATCAATTTGGAATGTTTCTTGCAGGACATTAGCAAAGATCTCACTAGGTACCATTTATTTGAAAGCAAATCATACAAATACTTGAAAAGATTAAATTCTGGCAATTCTAGGGTGTTATCTCCATTTTTTTTTTTTTTTTTTTTTGAGACAGAGTCTCACTCTGTTGCCTAGACTGCAGTGCAATGGCATGATCTCAGCTCACTGTAACCTCTGACTCCCGGGTTCAAGCAATTCTCCTGCCTCAGCCTTCTGAGTAGCTGGGATTACAGGCACCCACCACCACACCTGGTTGATTTTTGTATTTTTAGTAGAGACAGGGTTTCTCCTTGTTGGCCAGGGTGGTTTTGAACTCCTGACCTCAGGTGATCCGCCCACCTTGGCCTCCCAAAGTACTTTATTTAAATAAAGGCATTATTCTTTGCTCACCCATATTCTCATACAATTACTCCTAGTTTTGTTCTCATTAGGTCTCCAACACTATCACCAATACAGATTTATTTATTTATCCACCTTGAAAACATCTATTCACTCTCTCTCTCCACTTTCTTCTTTTGAGTGGCATTATTTTTGCTTTAGAGTGTATGGCCTTTATTTTACTTTGTATTTTTATGGTCATTGTTCTTTCTCTATCACTGCATTCAATTGAAACAATCTTGATATTTCTACTGTCTTCAGGTTGATTCACCTAATTTAGTCCACTGAAATTCAATTTATATTGGATTGGGCAATTCTATTTTTAAGGTCTTAAAGATTTCTGAAAACATTTTTAATTTATTTTATTTTTTAGAGATAGAGTCATGCTCTGTTGCCCAGACTGGAGTGCACTGGTGCAATCATAGCTCACTGCAGCCTTGACCTCCTGGCTCAAGTGATCTTTCAGCCTCAGCCTTCTGAGAAGCTAGGACTACAGGTACATGCCACCAGACCTGGCTAATTAAAAAAGAAAAATTTGTGGAGCTAGGGTCCCACTATGTTGGATATAGCAACCAGTGGGCAAACAAACACATAGTTTCCAAATAATCTTAGTGGAGAAAAAAGGTACACATACACATACACACACACACACACACACACATACACACACACACACACTCAATCTACTGATCTATTCAGGAAAAAATAAGTACAGAAAAAAACAGGGAAAAAAATTACAGCATGTAGGATATGCCAACCTTAAAGGAAGAAGCTGAAGCAAAATTATATAAGTAGAACTTTATTTGGGCCAAGCTTGAGAACTGCAACCTGGGATCATGGATGCAAGTTGCACTGAATGCACACTCTGCTTAGCAGCAGTTACAAGTGGATGTTTAAAGGCAAAAAAAGGGGGACAAGCAGTGGGGTTGATACAAAGTTGTTTGTCAGTTTTCATGGGTTTACAGAAATGGCACTGGTTAGTGACTGGCTACATATTATTAAGTTATAGGGTGTGGGTTATAGTGTCAGGTGTGGCATTATTAGGTTAATTTATAGCTACTTGTGGCAATAGCAAGCAGTTTCCAGAGATGAAGATATAGCTCAAAGGGAGGAGTATGACATGATTGGATGTCTCATTTTAATGCCTCTCTGGGCCTGAAAATTGAAAATATTTTCATTCCTTAGATAAAAGTTCTTTTCTCAAAAACATAAGAGTGAAATGCTTTAAATAAGACCAGACATTTGCCCAGCAACTGCCTGTCCAAACTCAAAACTGATGCCACCCTTGTTATTAATCTTTTTAACCAACGATAATGTTTTTCAAAACAATCATGTAATCCTTGTCTGGGTATTGGCAGCTCATGCCTGTAATCTCAGTGCTTTGGGAGGCCCAGGCAAGAGAATCATTTGAGGCCAGGAGTTTGAGACCAAGATGGGCAACACAGCGAGACCTAGTCTCTAAAAAAATACAAAAATTAGCTGGCATGGTGGTATGTGCCCGTAGTCCTCGGTATTCACGGCTTTGACTTTGTTTTAGCCTTTCCTCCTTCTAGATAATACATATTAAGATATCATAGTAGGACACTTAGGCTGCCATAACAAAATACCACAGACTGGGTGGCTTAAACAACAGAAGTTAATTTTCTCACACTCTGGAGGTTGGAAGTCTAAGATCAAGGTGCTGGTCAATGCCGTTTCTGTTGAGGGCTCTCTTTCTGGCCTGCAGACAGCCGCCCTCTCACTGTGTGCTGACATGGCCTCTTCTTTTGTGTGTGCAGGGAGAGTACAAGCTCTCTGGTGGCTCTTCTTATAAGGACACCAATCCTATCAGATCAGGGCCCTACCCTTATGACCTCAAGCACTTCCTTAGAGGCTCCACATTCAATTACAGCTACAGTGGGTTTCAGGGCTTCAACATACAAATTTTGGGGAAGACATAAACATTCAGTCCATAATAGATAATGTATTTTTGTCCAGTAAAGTGTGAGCCCTGGTCCCCGTCCATATCGGAAGGGGATGCCATATGTTGCACACAGCTGCTCTAGTCTTTTTATGGTGGTTTTCTGGGTGGCACGCTTGCTGGGATATGCCTGCATTAGCCCCATTGTAGGGGTCTGCACAAGTCAAGGCATAGCAGCAGCCATCAGATACGGGCAAAGGTCCTATATAGTCTACCTGCCACCACGGAGCCAGGCTCCGACCCTGGCTGATCTGCCCAGTATCATGCAGCAAGGGGCTGCGGCTCTCCTGCACACACGCAGGACATTATTGACAGATGTGTACTATGTCTTTATGTCATAGTGGTGGGCACCAGTTCTTCACTGTGGCCCAAAGGGTACCTGTTGCGGGAAGTCAGGGACCCCAAACGGAGGGAACGGCTGAAGCCATGACAGAAGAACGTGGATTGTGAAGATTTTAGGGACATTTATTAGTTCCCCAAATTAATACTTCTGTAATTTCTAATGCCTATCTTCACTGCAATCTCTAAACATAAATTGTAAAGATTTCATGGACACTTACCACTTCCCCAATCAATACCCTTGTGATTTCCTATGCCTGTCTTTACTTTAATCTCTTAATCCTGTCAGTTGAGGAGGATGTATATCATTCCAGGACCCTGTAATAATTGTGTTAACTACAAAAATTGTAAAGCATGTGTGTTTGAGCAATATGAAATGTGGGCACCCTGAAAAAAGAACAGGATAACAGCAATTATTCAGCGAATAAGAGAGATAACCTTAAACTCTGACCGCCGGTGAGCCAGGCAGAACAGAGCCATATTTCTCTTCTTTCAAAAGCAAATGGGAGAAATATCGCTGAATTCTTTTTCTCAGCATGGAACGTCCCTGAGAAAGAGAATGCGCACCTAGGGGTACGTCTCTGAACTGGCCACCCCTCCGGGGCGTACCTGTCTCTTATGGTCGAGATTGCAGAGATGAAATAAACTCCAGTCTCCCATAGCGCTCCCAGGCTTATTAGGAAGAGGAAATTCCCGCCTAATAAATTTTGGTCAGACCGGTTGATCTCAAAACCCTGTCTCCTGATAAGATGTTATCAATGACAGTGGTGCCTAAAACTTCATTAGCAATTTTAATTTCGCCTCAGTCCTGTGGCCCTGTGATCTCGCCCTGCCTCCACTTGCCTTGTGATATTCTATTACCCTGTTAAATACTTGATGTCTGTCACCCACACCTATTCATACACTCCCTTCCCTTTTGAAAATCCCTAATAAAAACTTGCTGGTTTTTGTGGCTTGTGGGGCATCAAGGATCCTACCAATGTGTGATGTCTCGCCCAGACGCCCAGCTTTAAAATTTCTCTCTTTCGTACTCTGTCCCTTTATTTCTCAAGCCAGCTGACGCTTAGGAAAATAGAAAAGAACCTATGTGATTATCGGGGCAGGTCCCCCGATAGGTATCTTGTTCTTAATGTCCTCTTTGTTAGCCAGTGGGCCACATCTTCTGTTTCTAACACCTTTTTGGAAGTTAGAAACAGAACTTCCTCCAGTAGATGAATGTGGGATAGCTAGTCCACCTGCTGATTTCCAGGTGGTGCAGGTGCTGTGCAGGCATCCACATGCTAGGCCATTATATGCATGTCCGAGATACAATGGAGAATGTCCTTCCACATGTCAGCCTCCCCAAAGGGGGCGGCCAGCTACCATCCAATCCAGTGTTTCCCACTGTAGTAGCCACATGGTAAGTCCCTTAAAGATGGACCAGCTATTGATGCACAGGACTATTGGGTCCGGCTCACAGAAGAGACAACCCAGGCGGCTCACAGCTCAGCCCATTGGCTATTATGTCCTTTGCCTGTATCAAGCCAGATACTATCAGTGGATGGCTGGATGACCATGGCTATCCAAGTGCAGGCATTGCCTCGTGACAAGCCACCTCTGTACCAGGCCTGGTCAGAAATCGGGCCCTGTCCCTCTTGCATGAGGAGGTAATTTGCGGAGGCTCAGTGTCTGTGTCAAAGGCCCTCCTTCAGCTGTCATGTAGGTGACAGGGCCACGCACCAAATGGAGCCCTGTGCTAGTTAATGTGCTCCCTGTGCTAGTTAATGTGCTCCTCTGTGCAAGCATGCATGCTATTTGGCCACACTCTGTGTCTGGGCATTCCCAGACTTTGGTTTCTGGAAGGTGTCCTTCAGCCAACCTGCTATGGGGTGCTGGCTGCAGACTAGAATGGGACCCCCTTTGTAACATCCTCCCTTTGCTGTAAGGCATGATATGTAGTGTAGCATTGTTGATCCATGATTCTACAGATAACTTCAGCACCCTTCCATAGTTGGGACCGGAATACTACAGGCACATATCTGTGTCCTCACCTTTGCCACAGGCTGCGCCCTAACCTCTTGGAGTAACTGGCTACGTCAAATTTACAAGGCCGTCCCTGCCCTAGAACACCCAAGGTTTGTATTCACTTCACTGTGAGTTTAGCTTGTCCAAAGGCATCATCCTCCTTTGTGGACCAGTCCCAGTGGGCCCCTTTCTTGACTAAGCAGTACAAGGGCCTAACAAGTTGGGCCACATGGGGAATAAAAAGACACCAATACCCTAGAAGGCCTAAGAAGGTCTGCAACTGCTTTGGTGTGGTAGGACACAGTTAGGCCTACACCATATCTATAATGACAGATGGAACAACTTTAGTCTTACCTGACCAGACGACACTCAAGTATTTGATAAGCCTGGACCCTGAACTTTGTCTACATTGACCACCCATCCTCTGTTCACGAAGTGAGACAGCAAGGTGGGGCCTGCAGTTTGTAAGCTGAAAAAAGACTCAGAAGTTAGTGATATCATCAATGTAATGGAAAACACGTGCCTTCTCCAGCGCACTCCATCTACTCAGGTCAGCAGCCACTATAAGGTTATGTAAATATCCCTCACGCAAGACGTAAAGGTCTATTGTTCTCCTTTACCAGGTGACTGTAAATTGGTCTTGACCCTCTGAGGAAATGGGGATGCTGCAGAAGACACTGGCTAAATTGATAAAATGGTATGTACCAAGTGCTTCTCCTATCCTCATCAGGAAGCAGGTGATCAACTGGGGCCTCCAGCCACCCCTGCTGATGTTCTCCAGCTGACAGAGGTTTGAATTCTCCCTGGGATGGAACCCCCAGAGGGAGGGGTGGGCTGCCATCTTTGCTGTTTGGGTGACTTAGCTGTTTCAGCCTTTGGGTATTGGAGAGTCTGAGCTGACTGGGGGCAGAAGAGGTCCCCCAGCACAGCACAGCTGCTCCACCAAAAGGTGGTCAGACTTCTTCTTTAAATGGGTCCCTGATCCCGTTCCTCCTCACTGGGTGGAATGTCCCAACCAGGACCTACAGTCACCCCTGTTTGTGTTCTCCATCCTACAGAGATTTGTAACCACCCTGGGACAGAGCTCCCAGAGGGAGAGACGGGCCACTATCTTTGCCATTTAGATGACTTAGCTGTTCCAGCCTTCAGGCCTCAGAGTATCTGAGGAACCAGGGGCTGACATGGACCCCCAGCACAGCACAGCTGCTCTACCAAAACATGGCCAGACTGTTTCTTTAAGCAGGTCCCTGATCCCATTCCTCCTCACTGGGCAGGACCTCCCAAATGGGGTCTTCAGCCACCTCCTACAGGTGCCTTTGCATTGGCAACAAGCCTGTACCATCCTGGGATGAAGCTTCAGGGAGGGACTGCTGCTATTTTTGCTGTTTCACAGTCTTCACTGGTGATACCTCCAGGTACTGGACTATCTGAGGCAACTAAGGACTGGAGCAGGCCCCCAGAATACCACAGCAGCCCTACAGAAAAGAGGACAGACTGTTACATTGGTGCCCATTCCCATGTCTCCTCATCAGGCAGATTCTCCAAGCCTAGGCCTCCAGCCACCCCCTGCCAGAGCTATGAAGCCAGTAGCAACTCAGCAACTCCATGAACAGAGCCTCCAGCGCCATCTGAAAGCCCCTCTGCCACTGCCTCTGCAGTGGAACTGTCCTTGCCACCCTCAGACTAACAAAGGAGCAAAGGCCCTAAGCGCTTTATTCACACCTCCAACAAGCTGCAGTCAACCCAAGGAGAGGAGATCAGTCTGTTTCCCATGGGTCCCATACTCCCTCTCCCACTGCTCATCACCAGGCAGGGAACCCCTGGCATGGACCCACGGCACAGATGCTCCACCTTGAGCTGACTGCACTGAGTGGCTGCTGACCTTCATCTCTCTGGAATGGAGCCCCCAGGAGACAAGCAAACAACCCTTGGCCACAACCACTAATAAGATCCCTTCCTCTGCTGCTTCCAACTTGAGGAAGGAACATAAACACTGAGATCACCCCAGAGCTGCAGTGGGCAGCCCAGGAGTCCCAAGTCATAATCACAGCCAGCACTCAAGAGGGAGAGGAACCCACACTTTCAGAGCATTGTGAGAAAACACAGCTGCAACTGTGAGGAAACATAGGGGAGCCATACAACTGACCAATAAGCCTAAGTGCCACCTGCTGGATCACACCCCAAAGCGTCAACATAAATAATACCTTACTAACATATCCGGCCTCTGAAACCAGAGACAAGAAGTCAGTTTCAAATAAAGACCCCACACAAAGCCTCAGCCCAGGGAAAACATCCAGAAAAGAAGTCTATTGACTGTACTTAATCTACACTGTGGTTAAAGAAACACTCACACACAGAGATGAGAAAGAAGCAATGCAAGAACTCCAGTAACTCAAATGGCCAGAGGGTCATATGTCCTCCAAACGACCACACTAGTTCTGCAACAAGAGTTATGAACCATGCTGAACTAGCTGAAATGACAGAAGTAGAATTCAGAATACAGATAGAAACAAAGATCACTGAAATTCAGGAGGATGGCAAAACCCAATCCAAGGAAAACAAGAGTCACAATAAAGTGATACAAGAACCAAAGGACAAAATAGCTGGTATAAAAAAGAACCTAACAGGTCTGGCAGAGCTGAATAACACAACACAAGAATTTCACAATGCAATCACAAGTATTAACAGTAGAATAAACCAAGCTGAGGAAAGAATCTCAGAACTTGAAGACTGGTTCTTTGAAATAAGAGAGTCAGACAAAAATAAAGAAAAATAAAAAATAAAAAGAAATGACCAAACCTCCAAGAAGTATGGGATTATGTAAACAGGCTAAATTTATGAATCACTGGCATCCCTGAAAGGGAGAGGGAGAAAGCAAACAACTTGGAAAACATACTTCAGGATATTGTCCATGAAAACTTTCTCAACCTTGCTAGAGAAGCCAACACACAAATTCAGGAAATACAGAGAACTCTTGCAAGATTCTACACAAGGAGATCATCCCCAAGACACATAATCATCAGATTTTCCAAGGTTGAAATGAAAGAAAGAATGTTAAAGGCACCTAGAGCGAAAAGGCAGGTCACCTACAAAGAGAACCCCATCAGGCTAACAGCAGACTTCTCAGCACAAGCCAGAAGAGATTGGGGATCTATATTCAACATTCTCAAAGAAAAAGTCTTCAACCAAGAATTTTATATCCAGCCAAACTATGCTTCCTAAGATCCTTTTCAGATAAGCAAATGTTGAGGGAATTCATTACGACCAGCTCTGCCTTACAAGAGATTTTGCAAGGAGCACTAAATATAGAAGGAAAGACCACAACCAGCTAATACAAAAACACACTTAAACACACAGACCAGTGTCACTATAAAGCAACCACACAAACAAGCCAACATAATAACCAGCTAACAGCACAATGACAGGATCAAATCCACATATATCAATACTAACCTTTAATGTAAACAGGCTAAAGGCCTCACTTAAAAGACACAGACTAGTAAGCTGGATAAAAAAGCAAGACCCAATGGTATGCTGTCTTCAAGAAGCCCATCTCACACTTAATGGCACTCATAGGCTCAAAATAAAGGAATGGAGGAAAATCTACTAAGCAAATGGAAAACAGAAAAAAGCAGGAGTTGCAATCCTAATTTCAGACAAAGACATTAAACCAATGAAGATAAAAAAAGAAGGGCATCACATAATGGTAAAGGGTTCAATTCAACAAGAAGACCTAATTATCCTAAATATATTTGCAACCAACAGAGAAGCACATAGATTAATAGAGGAAACTCTTAAAGACCTTCAAAGAGACTTAGACTCCCACACAATAATAGTGTACTTAAAAACTCTCCAGCCTTTTGTTTCAGCAGAACTGAGTTCAATCTCTTTCCTCCATTGCAATAGTCTTGAATAGTCTTCCTTGCCTATTTCAATCCAAAAAAAAAAAAAAAAAAGAAAGGAGACGACATTGGGTACAGGTGTGTACATTGGAAAAACCACTTTATTTATTTCCTGATAATCTACTGTCATTCTCCATGTCCCATCAGTCTCCCACATGGGCCATACAATGGCTTGGAGCTGCATCATTTTGTAAATTCCTCAGGCTTCTCTACTGGTACACATATTACCTTAGCCTATGTTTCTGAGATGCCTTAGTGAAAGTTGATTTTCTTTCTATGTCTTCTCAGGGAAAACGTCTTCTGCTACAGAGAAAAAGAAACCAAGAAATTACGAATAACAGACAAGGAGATAACTGAAAATATTTGAGAAACTGCTAGAGATTAGACTACAGGGCCAGGGCTCTTCAAAAGGAGTGATGAAGACATCTAGACTCCCCTCCTCATTTCCACCTCCCTTCCCCCGACCCCCTGGCCAGGGACGGGGTCCCTACCTTTCACATTTACTGGAGATGGGAGATGAGTGGCACTGGGAATTCACACCCTGAACCTTCAGCTTCACAACAAAATCGTTTGTGAGGCCAAAGGAATCAAGACAGCAGAGCTCAAAGCAGGGCCAGAAGGTGCAGGGGGGACCACATTGGCGGGTCTCGCTCAGGGACACGATGGCGTCATTGTAACAGCACTGCTCCAAGGGGTTGTAGATCTTGTCTCCACACCTGGGTGCCGGCTGGCACAGCCATGGTTCTGAGCCAGCGGGAGCTGGACAGATGGACAGACATTGTTGGTGTGAGCTCAAGGATAACCAGGCACTACATCCCCCAATCAGGAGCCCTCTGTGAACCCCCATGCCCACTTTCCAAAGTCAGCCTCCTTCCTCTTCACTCTTGCCCATCCTTGTACTCACCGATGACTTCCCTTGGACACAAGAGGAGGAGACAGACTGACACATAAGCAGGAGCTGGGAGAGAAAGAAAGGAGGTTAAGGATGGGGCTGGAAGTGTGGCCACTAGGTTGATCTCAGGGAGGGCAGGCCAGGGTGGGGAAGGCTTAGTTCCAGATTAGCTCTAAAGGCTTGGGTTTGGAACTATCTTTGCATAGGATCTAACTGACACAGTTAAGAGTCCAGACAGCAGGGCCAGAGAAGCATGGACCCTTCTAGGAAAGAGAATGCAGGGAAAACTCTTGGAATATCTTCGTTTATGATTCTAAGAATATGCTGAAGTTTACCAGTTGGAAAAAGGAGGGAGCAGCTGTTAAAGATTAACCATGGTTAAGATTAAGGTGATAAGGAAGGAGGAAGGAAGCTGAGTAAGATTGGCAAGTGGAGAACTGGGGTGCAGGATTGTCTTGGAGATAGGATTGGGCTTGAGTAGGTCTTTTTTTGTTTGTTTGCTTTTTGTTTTTTGAGACAGGGTCTTACTCTGTCACCCAGACTGGAGTGCAGTGGTGCCATCTTGACTCACTGCAGCCTTGAACTCCAGGGCTCAAACGATCCTCTCACTTCAGCTTCCTGAGTAGGTGAGACTACAGACATGTGCCACCATGCCCAGGTAATTTTCTATTTTCTGTAGAGACGGACAGTAGGTCTAAAATTTGGGGCTCTCCTCATTTGTTTTGCAGTTTCTGACACCATGACTGTGGGTGAAGGTTGAGAGATAAAGGAAATGGAAAAAAATGATGGAATATGAAGGTTTTTTTATGGATGCAATCACCTGACTAACATAGTGATCCAAGTTCAAATATTCCATGGTTGAAAGCATGTACAGGCAGGTGAAAACATGTACAGGCAGCTTTTGAAAGCATGTACAGGCAGGTGACAATGAGATTATGTGAGCAAAATAAGAGGAAGGGTGTTCGTTTTTGTCTTCTGTACTTGCAAATGAAAAATGTTCCCCTTATACTATAACCTTTTTCCTCTCCTGGGCTACTCCATATCAGAGAGTGAATGCAGCCAAGTCCTACTCCATGTTGTGGCTTGAGGAAGCTCATGGCCTCCAGTACCACCGGCCATTACCAATGAACATGAAACTAGAGAAGGTGGCTCTTCCCATCTATTTTAATCCCCCTTCTACTAAACACCTTCTAATTCTATATTTCCCAGGCACTGTATCCTTAGAAGTTTCAAAAGATGATGCCCCAAACCACTTTGTTTACTCCCTGGAGAACTATTTGGAGTCATATCCACAGTTTTCACGTGATCTAGCAGAAGTGCACAGGCACCATAAACTCCAAAAGAGAACCAGAGAAGAGTGACAGCTGCGATTTTTTCATGGAGTTGTTGTGAGGATCCAAAGGGCATGTGGTTCTAGAGTGCAGATTGTAATAATAGTAATAATAGTAAGTGGCAGATGATATGTGATACAGCACCTGAGAGTGCAGCCCAGATAAACAAAATCACAAGGTAAACCAATGCCTATGAGGAAGGCAGCAGATCTGGCAGGACCCGGGCAGTAAGGAAGCCAGCCCTCAGTGATGACAACTGATCTGACACTCCATCCCCCACCTGCTGCCACAACTTGTGGGGGAGCCCTTACTCCTAATCATCCTGACCGCATCAGTAACCTTAGGGAGGGCTCTTCTCTCCCAAGCTCCATTCTTAGCCTCCCATGCACGTTGAAGGGTATTGGCCTCCTTTACAAAGCCTAAGAAGATCAAGAATCTGGATATTCTTGATGAGCCTCACCTGCCAGCTTGGTTATTCAAGAAAAGTTGTACATGAAATTAACAAGAAAAGGTACAAGTGTCAAAACTGTTTTAGCTATTCTAGTTCCTCTGCCTTTCCATATAAATATAGAATCTTGTCTATACCCACCCGCCCCCCCAAAAATAAAATCTTGCTGGGATTTTGATAGAAATTGCAATCAGGCCGGGCGTGGTGGCTCACACCTGTAATCCTAGCACTTTGGGAGGCCAAGGTGGGTGGATCACGAGGTCAGGAGATCAAGACCGTCCTGGCTAACAGGGTGAAACCCCATCTCTACTAAAAATACAAAAAAATTAGCCAGGCATGGTAGTGCGCACCTGTAATCCCAGCTACTAGGGGGCCTGAGGCAGGAGAATCACTTGAACCCGGGAGGCGGAGGTTTGCAGTGAGCCAAGATCGCGCCACTGCACTCCTGTCTAGGTGACAGAGTGACACTCTGTCTCAAAATAAAATAAAATATAAATTGCAATCAATTTGGGGGGAACTAACATCTTTACTAGTTGAGTTTTACAATCCATGAAAATGGCATGTCTCTCCATTTATTTCTTTCAGGAGCATTTTGTAATTTTCAGCATATAAGTCCTGTACATGTTTTGTTAGATTTACACCTAACTTTTTCATTTTTGAACAATTGCAGGTGCTATTTTGTTATTAATTTCAATGTCCACATGTTCATTATTGGTATAAAGAAACACGATTGATTTTTTCTATGTTGATCTTGCATTCTGAAACCTTGCTAAACTCACTTATTAGTTATAGGAGTACATTTTTAGATTCCTTGGGACTGTTTACATAGACAGTTGTGTGGCCTACAAATATAGGAACAGTTTTATTGCTTCCTTTCCAATCTGTATAAATTGTAATTCTTTTTTTCCTTGACTTATTGCCCTGGTTAGAATGTCCAGCAATACACTGAATAAGAATGGTGAAAGCAGACTTCCTCTCCTTTGCTCAGTCTTAGGTGGAAAGCATTCACTTTTTCACCATTACTTATTATATTAGTTGTAGGGTTTTTGTAGATGGACTTTATCGAGTTGAGGAAATTCCCCCTATTCCTGTTTTTCTGGGAGTTTTTAAAATCACGAATGGGTGTTAAATTTTATCAGATGCTTTTTCAGCATCAATTGATGTGATCATGTCATTTTTCTTCTTTAGCATGTTAATATGATGGATTACACTGAGAGTGATTTTTGAAATATTCTGCCAGGCTTACATTCTGGAATAAGCCCTACATAGGCATGATGTGTAAGTATTTTTTTATATTGCTGAATTTAATTTACAAATATTTTGTCAAGGATTTTTGCATGAAGGATATTGGTCTATAGTTTCATTGCTTTGTTGTTGTCATTGTTCTTGTTTGTCTTTTTATGATTTTAGTAGCAAAATAACTCTGATTTTATGAAATGAATTGAATTCCCTCCTATTCTATTCTCTGGATGAGATTGTGCAGAATTGGTGTCAATTTCTTTTTAAACATTTGTTAGATTCTCAGGTGCAACCATCTGGGCTTGGAGATTTCCTTTTTAGGAGATATTTTAAATTCTGAATTCTATTTCCTTAATAGTTATAAGGCTACTAAAATGATGTATTTCATATTGGGTGTGTTGTGATCATTTGTGCTTTTAAATGGGTGGTCCATTTCATCTAAGTTGTCAAATTGTGTAGAGTTATTCCTAGTTTTCCACTATTATTCTTTTAGTGTCTGCAAAACCTATATCTCCTGTCTCATTCCTGATACTGACAATTTGTGTCTTCTCTTTGAATTTTTGAGAGTTTTGCTAAAACTATCAAAAGATTATTGATCTTTTCAAAGAATTAACTCTTTATTTCATTGATTTTCTAGACTGTTTTTCTGTTTTCAATTTTATCGACTCCTGCTCTCCTCTTTATTATTTCCTTCCTTCTTGCTTTGGGTTTATTTTGCTCTTTTATTTTTTCCTAGCTTCTTGATGTGGGAGCTTAGATTATTGATTTTTCCTTTTTTCTAATACAACTATTTAGCACAATAAGTTTCACACTTAGCACTGCTTTATATATGTTCCATAAATTTTGATATATTGTATTTTCATTTCATTAAGTTAAATATAGTTTTAAAAATCTTTGAGACTCATCTTTAAACCATGAGTTATTTAGAGTTGTGTTGCTTAGCTGCCAAGTGCTTGGAGATCTTTCTGTAGTCATTAGCTTGATCAAATTATGGTCAGACAACTTACTCTGTTAAACTTCAATACTTTAGAACTTGTTGAGGTTTGTTTTACGGCTCTAGATAGAAGCCAATTCTCCATTACCATTTACAATGATATCAAAAATAACAAATACCTAGAATTAAATCTAAAGAAAGGTGAGAAACCTCTGCAAAACTCTGCTGAAAGATACTAAAGAACACCTAAGTAAATGGGAAACATACCAGGTTTATGCTTTGGAAGACTCAATATAACAAAGATGTCAGTGTTCCCCAAATTGATCGATAAATTCAATGCAAACTCAATAAATATTACAGCAAGGTTTTGTATAAGTTAACAAAGTGATTCTAAAATTTATCAGAAAGTGATGGTTGGGCACGGTGGCTCACACCTGTAATCCTAGCACTTTGGGAGGCTGAGGCAAGAGGATTGCTTGATCCCAGGAGTTCAAGACCAGCCTGGGCAACACAGTGACACCCTGACTCTATACATATTTTTTTTAAAAATTACCAGAAAATGAAAATGACAAGATAGCCAATACAATATTGAAGAAACTAAACAAAGTTATACGACTTACCCTAACAGATCAGGAAGTTTCATAAAACTATAATAATTTAGAGCGTGGTATTGCGAAAGATAAATAATTTTATCAATGGAATGAAACAGAGTTCAGATACAGATCCACACACAGACAATCAGTGATTTATCACAATTGTACCACTACAACTCACCAGGCAAAGATTAGTCCTTTTAATAGATATCTATATTGGGGGGGAATGTATCTTGACCCTTATCTCACACAAAATGTGAAAATTAATTTGAAATGGATCATAGACTTAAATGCAAAATATTTCAAACTATAAAGCAGGACTTCCAGAAGTCAGTGTGAAGAGCATGGGTGCCTTCCTCCCGGCAAAACAACCATTTAACTGATGAAAATTATTTTTTTTATAAAAACAACTAGTTAAGTCTCAGGAAATTGTCCTAAGGGCATACAGCAAATAAAGAAATGTTTATTCAAGAAATTCCACTCAATCTGTATAGAGCAGCGAGAGTCTGAGGGCATTTAAGCCACAAATTATCCCTATTCCCCACATCCCCAGCCAACTCTGTGTAATTGAAGCTCTATGCTGGGTAGTCACGGACAAGAAAATGGGACTCCACCTCTCCCCAGCTCCCAGCCTAGGGCTACAGTTTCAGTTCAGAAAGGGCAGTGCACCAGCATCTTTTATCCTACTGTCTCCATGTTGCGGATGTGCTATATTAGTTAGAAATTGTGGCTTACAGCACCGGGGCTCCTTCTCCCATCCAGCCCCTCCTCCTAGCATGGAAGTTCCATGCCAAGTTTAGCAGGTGAAGCACACTGGGCTTCACTGATCCTGCCTGAGTTCACTCATGGGGCAGAGGTTCCACACAAGAAAGGGCAAACCGAGAAGAGGAGCAGCTACCACCCCCTCCCAGTGTTCTAGCTGTAGAGGAAAGACATCGCTGCAGGAGAAGCTAGCTGCTGTCCCTGACACCAGCTCCAGTCCAGTGGCTCAGCGGTTCTGCCCGGGGGAGAGGGAGGCCATCAGAACAGAGAGCTCCACAAGTCTCCCTAAAACTGGCTTTTCTTGAAAAGAGTGTGGAGAAGTTCATGCCTAAGAACACCGTACAAAAATATCTGAAATTCTGGTGCTAAAAAACCAAGAAGAGGGTGGTAATTCCATGACAGTAGTAACAAGAAACAAAAAGACCAGCTGGGCGCAGTGGCTCACGCCTGTAATCCCAGCACTTTGGGAGGCTGAGGCGGGCAGATGACGAGGTCAGGAGATCCAGACCATCCTGGCAAGCACAGTGAAACCCCGTCTCTACTAAAAAAAAAATACAAAAAAATTAGCCAGGCGTGGTGGTGGGTGCCTGTAGTTCCAGCTACTTGGGAGGCTGAGGCAGGAGAATGGCGTGAACCCAGGAGGCAGAGCTTGCAGTGAGCTGAGATCGCGCCACTGCACTCCAGCCTGGGCGACAGAGCGAGACTCCGTCAAAAACAAAACAAAACAAAACAAAACCCAAAAATCCAGGCAGAAGCTTAACAGAGAAAATCAGAAAAAGAGATAACTAAGAAGGGCCCTCCTCCTGGGGTCAGAGACAGCCTCAAACCCTGGCAACACTTTGTCTTGGCAAAAGGGTTAGACATTAAGCAGCCCACAGGCCTATTAAAAAGAAAAGAGCAATCAATTAACAATTAGAGGAGTCTAACAGATGCAAGTGATACCAACAGAGGCAGACGGGCCAGAAGCTTAACAGAAACATCAGGAAAAAATAGTAAAAAAAGAATGAGTTCCTGTCCTTTGCAGGGACATGGATGAAGCTGGAAACCATCATCCTCAGCAAACTAACACAGGAACAGAAAACCAAACAACACATGTTCTCACTCAGAAGTGAGAGTTGAACTGTGAGAACACATGGACACAGGGAGGGGAACATCACACCCAGGGGCCTGTCAGGGTCTTGGGGGAAAAGGGAAGCAGCACATTAGGACAAATACCTAATGCATGCGGGGCTTAAAACCTAGATGACGGGTTGATAGGTGAAACAAACCACCATGGCACATGTAACAAACCTGCATGTTCAGCACATGAATCCCAGAACTTAAAGTAAAAAAAATATATATATATATATATATATACACATATATAATTTGTAATAAAAAGGCAAAAGCTACCCCAAAAAAAGAACCCAGCTAAAACCATAATTATCTGGAGTAGTTAGCGATCCAGCACTCATGCCCAAGGCTGCACCCTCTGGAGAGCACTAATAAAATAGAATTGTGTAATTATATAAGCAATTATATAACTTGTAACTACTTATTAAAACAGTATAATTGCTTATTTCTTATCCTTTCTTCTCTTAACTGGTCTTAAAAGTAATGGCATAAAACAATATGTACATAATTGTATTGCTGGGAAAAATAAAGAATCTGATTTTAAAAGGGGCAAAAGATCTGAATACCTAGTTCTCAAAAGAAGACATACAAACACTCAAGTATATGAAAAAAGTATATGAAAAAATGTTCAACATTACTTACATTAGGGAAATGCAAATCAAAACCACAATAAGATACCTCATCTCAGTTAAAATGGCTTTTATCAAAAAGACAAGAAATAACAGATGCTGGCAAGGATGCAGAGAAAGGGGAATACCCATACACGGGAAATGCCCATCCAGACCCAGATGGTGAATTTTACAAAACAATTAAAGAAGGCTTAATACCAATCATTCACAAACTTTTCAAAAAAACCAAACACAACTTTCCAGTCTATTCTGAGGCCTGTATTACCCTGATACCGAAACCAGACAAAGACATCACAAGGAAAAAAAACTACAGACCAACATCTCTTATGAATATAAGTTCAAAAATCCTCAACAAAACATAGCAAACCAAATCCAGCAGCATATATAAAGAACGATACGCCATGACCAAGTGGATTTATCCCACGGATGCAAAGTTGGTTCAACATATGAAAATCAATTAATATAATACACCACCTTACTAGACTATAGGAGGGAGACACGTAATTCTCTCAAATGATACTGAAAGAGCATTTGACAAAATCTACACTCTTTCATGATAAAATACAAAGAACAAACTAGGAATAGAAGAGAGTTTCCTCAACCTGTTAAAGAGCATCTACAATAAACTCATAGCTAACATCATACTTAATTGTGAAAGATTGAATACTTTCCCCCTAATATCAGGGACAAGACAAGTATATCCACTCTTACCACTCTATTCAAGATAGCATTGGCGGTTCAAGCCATGAAAGTTAGGCAAGAAGATAAAATGAATTTAGACTGAGAAAGATAAAGTAAAATGATTTCTATTTGCAAATGACATGATTTTGTATGTTAAAAATCCTAAGGACTAGGCACAGTGGCTCACTCCTGTAATCCCAGCATTTTGGGAGACCAAGTGGGGAGGATCACTTGAGGTCAGAAGTTTGAAACCAGCTTGGTCAACATAGCGAGACCCCATCTGTATAAAAATAAAAACATAAAAAAATTAGCCAGGGATGGTGGCACATGCCTGTAGTTCTAGCTGCTCAGGAAGCTGAGGCAGGAGGATTACTTGAGCCCAGGAGTTCGAAGCTGCATTGAGCTATGATCACACCACTGCACGCCACCCTGCATGATAGAGTGAGATTCTGTCTCAAAAAAGAAAAAGAAAAAAAAAAAAAAACCTAAGGAAGCTACTATGACCTAAAGACTAATAGAAAAATTCAACAGGATTGTAAGATAAAAGAGATCAACATATAAAAAGCAATTGTATACACTAGTAAAAAACCATCTAAATATGAAATTAGGAATATAATTCCACGTACCAAAGAGAATAAAATACTTATGAATAAATTGAACAGAAGAGGTGCAAGATTTGTGCATTAAAAACAACAAAACATTGTTGAAAAGAATTAAGAATATGTAAATAAATGGAAATACATCCATGTTCGCAAATTGGAAGACTTAATATTGTTCAGGTGCCAAAAATCCCAAATTGATCTATAGAATCAATGCAATCCATATCAAAGAACTTTTGTGAGATCAAGTGTCACTCTGTCACCCAGGCTGGAGTGCAGTGGCGTGATCATGACTCACTGCAACCTCCGCCTCACAGGCTTAAGTGATCCTCCCACCTCAGCCTCCCAAGTAGCTGGGACTACAGACGCACACCGCATGCCTGGCTAATTTTTTGCATTTTTTGGTAGAGATGTGGTCTCACCATATGGCCCAGGCTGGTCTCTTAACGCCTGAGATCAAGCCATCCACCTTCCTTGGCCTCCAAAAGTGCTGGGATTACAGGCATGAGCCACAGGACCCAGCCTTCTCTGAAGAAATTAATCAGTTGATCCTAAAACTCATATTGAAACATAAAGGACCGAGAATAACTAAAACGATCTTGAAAAAGAACAAAATTGTAGAATTGATACTTCATGATTTCAAAGCTTACCACAAAGCTATAGTGACAGTGTAGGAGCTGACACACAGGATAGACATATAGATCAATGAATAAAACTAACAGTCAGAAAATAAACCCTTAGATTTGTTGAAATCAAATTTCAACAAAAGTGCTAGGACTATGAAGTAAGGGAACAAATGATTTTTCAACAAATGGTGCTGGGAAAACTGTATATTCATACACAAAAGAGTGGGCAGAAAGAGGATCTCTTCCTCATACCATACACAAGGATTAACTCAAAATGTATCACAGACCTAAATACAAGAGCGAACATATAAAACTCTTAGCAGAAATGTAAAATAAGCAACCCACAGAAAGACAAATACCACACCATCTCACTTGTATGTAGAATCTAAAAGAGTTGAACTCATAGAAGTAGAGAGAAGGGCAGTTACCAGAGGATTGGTGTGGGCAGATGGGCAACAGGGAGATAAGCAAATGATATGAAGTTACAGTTAGACAGGAAAGATAGGTTTTAGAGATCCACTGCAGGGCACGGTGACTATAATAAATAATAGTGTATTGTGGGCTGGACGTGATGGCTCATACCTGCAATCCCAGCACTTTGGGAGGCCAAGGAGGAGGGTTGCTTGAGCCTACAAGTTGGAGACCGGCCTGGGCAACACAGTGAGACATCGTCTCTATGAAAAACAAAATTAGCATGGTGTGGTGGTGCGTGCCTGTGGTCTCAGCTACTTGGGAGCTGAGGTGGAAGGATCACTTGAGCCTCAGAGGTAGAGGGTGCAGTGAGCTGTGATCACACCACTGCACTCCAGACTGGGCATCAGAGTGAGACCCTGCCTCTTAAAAAAACAAATGGTGTGTTGTATATTTCAAAATTGCTGAAGAGTATATTTTAAATGTTCTAGTGACAAAAAGTAATAAGTATATTAGGTGGTAGATATGGTAATTAATTTGATTTATCATTTAACAAGGCAAACATACATTAAATCATCATATTTTACCCCATAAATATACACAATTATTCTTTGTCAACTTCTTAAAAAGATTCCTAGCAGAAAACATACAAGTAAGTCTTAATGACCTCGAGTTAGGTAATATTTTCTTAGATATTACACCAAAAGCACAAGAGAGAAAAGAAAGAATAGACTTCATCAAAAATTAAAAACCTATGCACTGCAAGCAATAGCATCAAGGAAATGAACACAATCCACATAATGAGGAAAGTATTTGCAAATTATATATATGATAAGGGATGAGTATCCAGCATATCTTCTAAAACTCTTACAACTAAATAATAATAAAATAAATAACCCAATTTAAACATGGAAAAATCTGAATAAACCTTTTCTCAAAAAGGAATACAAATGGCCAATAAGCACATGGAAAAGACACTCAGCATTGTTATTTACCAAGGAAACGCAAATTAAAACTACACAGGATATCACACCCACCCACCCAGATGACTGTAATAAACAGGAAAATAGAAAATAACAAAGGTTGAAGAATCTGGAGAGAAATGTGAGCCCTCATACACTGCTGGTGGGAATGTAATTGATGCAGCTCTGTGGAAAACAGTTTGCCAATTCCTCAAAAAGTTAAACAGAATTACCATGTGGCGTAGCAATTCCACTCCTATGTGTACACCCAAGATAACTGAAAACAGGTTCTCAAGCAAATACATGTATACATATGTTTGTAACAGCACTATTCACAATAGCCAAATGGTGGAAACAGCCCAAGTGTCCATCAACAGATGAATGGATAAATGAATGCTGATACATGGATACAATTGAATTTATTCAGTTGTAAAAAGGAATGAAGTACTAATAAATTCTATAATGGGGATATGCCTTGAAAACATTAAGTTAAAAAAAAAGTTACACGAAAGGTCACTTATAAATGGTGTGATTCCATTTATATGAAATGTCCCAGATAGGTAAATCCATAGAGACAGAAAGCTGACTGGTGGTTGCCAAGGGTGAGGGTAGAGGGGAAAGAGAGGAACAGCTAAATGGGCATGCGGTGGTCGGGGGCTATGGAGCCAGGTGACTCGGAGGTAAAAAGCAATTCTGGAAGATGACTGAGCTACTCTTCCTTCAACTTGAGAGAGGAAGGAAGAGAAGGAAGGAGAGGAGGGAAAAGACAGGGAGGGGAGAGGGGAAGAGAAGAGAGGGGGATGTGAGACAGAGGGACACAGGGAGATGGGGAGGGGAGGGGGAGGGGGAGAGGGGAAGAGGGGGAGAGGTGGAAAGGGTGAGGGGTGAGTGGGAAAGAGAAAGAGAGAGAGAGAGAAAAGGGAGAGAGAGAAAAGAGAGGGAGAGAGAAAGAGAGGGAGAGAGAAAGAGAGAGAGAAGAGAGAGAGAGAGAAGAGAGAGAGGGAGAGAGAGAGATGGTTGCCCAAAAAGAAGTTAGTGAACACAGCAGGCATTGCTCATCTTGATGGAATACACACAACAAAACTCAGTCCACTGCCTGGGCTGCCCTTACTTACCCAGCACACTCCTGGGGTAGTCGGTCCTCATGCCTGAGACACTGAACCTCATGATTTCCTGGCGCTGAGAGCCCAGGAACTCCAGGCAATAGTGCCTGGGCTACAGGGCTGGGTCTGGTTCGAGGGCAGGATGATCCCCTCATCACAGTCCCAACAGATTGCAGATCTAGTCTCCACTCCTGAGTGTCAACTGGCACAACCACAGTCCAATATCTGGAAGAGTCAGAGCTGATGAGCTGGCAGGGGACCTCTGGGAGCCCCCAACCCTATCCACAGTGCTATAATCCTCCCTCCTTTCTTCTCCCTCCACTCACCACACCCATTCTCACCTATGGTCCCTTCTGAGTCTGAGCCCAGGAGTTCAAAAATAAAGATCAGCTGAGAGAAGAATGACAGTGATTCTGGGGTCACCAGATCATGATCATGGGGCACAAGATGATGTCTCTGAGTTTCTTTGGTTGCTGTAACAGCTCAGAGCAGATTTTGGGACTGACTCTGTGTGCAGGTTCTGGGCATTGGGCTTGGCAGGTGAGGAAATGCAGGGAGGGCTCTGGAAAGGGTTAAGCTTCTGGAATTTGCAGGTGGGGAAGAGAGATTGCAATGCAGTCAGAGAGGACACGGGTGATTATGAGGTGGGAAACCAAGAATTAAATAGGGAAGAGAGAATTAAGTTTGAGGTTCAGAGGTACATTAGGGATAACAGTAGGCATTAGCTCAACCTGGGGCAAGGGTTACCTTACCGAAGATTCTGGGCACCATGGAGCTTCAGAGCAGCTGATGGGACAGCAGCAGTGCAAATGGGTCAGTGACTTTATACAGGGACTTATGTAGGCTATGAACTTATCCACATTTAGGGAGGTGCCCAGAAGCACTGGCCTCTTGGAAAGGGTGGGGCATGAGAAGCCACAGAAAGCATAAGAAAAAACTGCATCAACAGCTTAGTAAGATGTTCCTGGACCTGTTCCAAGTGACTGCTACCTTCTCAGACCTCTCGAAATCTCAGAGTAAAGGCTTCCCTAGAACCTTTCAAAGCCGTGAGTGAGTGTCATTCTTTGAACTCTGCCCACGGCAAAGAGACTTGAAAGAGATTCCTTGGCTCTCACTTATCTGAGAGCATACTACTCACCAAACATCACAGCTGGTGATGAAACTTCATATTCATCCACCCTGAAGTTTCAAGGGGTCCCTCTACTCCCCATCTCAGTCCGGCTCCAGACCTGCACTATGAGAAACAAACGCACCCGTCCAAACCCAAAGAATGGACTCAGAGACACAGAAAACAGTGGAAGCAAGACTTTTAATGATGGTCTTGCAAGATTGAATGTCTGGTAGGCAGGCACACCCAGTACGGTTACAACAAGCTATTTATCCCCTAGTGCACAAGTCTCTCCCCTGGTTCCTCGTAGGCTAAGTACGATGGGGTCACGATCTTCCCAGACGTCGCCTATTGGTTGCTGGGTTGAGGCTTTTAGGTGTTTTCTTTAGGATTGTCTCACTGCATTTTGTTGCAGCCTATAATACATTGCAATCAAAGCCAGCTCGAGGGCTTTTCAAGTATTTGACTTATGACCTAGGCAGTCAGGCAAGCTGATAAGAATAGATAAAGTGAGCTATTTTGCTGGCTAGTAAACTTTCATTCTAGACTAAACTCTGGTTTGGGAGAGGGTAACTAAGGGGACCCCGACAAGCATGCACCAGCTATGGGCCTAGTATATTCTGTCCTTCCATAGTTTGTGGGCCTCAGCCTATCTGAGGTACTTTGTCTTGGAAATGGACCACCATATCCATTATTATAATTGTAGACAGCACTGTCTATAATTCTTCAGAGTCATTTAGGGGAAACTGTGAAGATGCAGCATAATCTAGAAAAAGAGCAGGGGCTGTAAAAACCCTGCCAGGGAGAACAGAAAAGGAACAGACAGTGATAAAATAGACATCTGGGATTCATAGAATAGATGGAAAGGCAGCCCCTTTTTGTTGTTGTTTCTGGAGTGCTTTGTCCAAGGAAACGCTCCTTCTGTGTTTCTTACTGTTATTTTATTGTCACCATCACTATTATTTGTGTCACTGGATACCATGTGGGCTATTATTAGAATGCGCTCCTGTGTTTTCCATTGACTTCCTTCCCATCCCACAGTGAGATAGGTGGGAGGGTGAGACAGAGATCAGGAGAGGTGTTAGGGCTTTATAAAAGTGCATTGTTAGTAGAAGAGTTCTGGACCTGATAAGTGAATTTAGAAAGGTTGTAGCGTATGAAACACACAGAAGTCAATTGTATTCCTTTATACTGGCAAGAACTAGTGGATACAATAATTTAAAGAAAAAAAATGCCATTTACAATACCCCCCTCCCCAAAAACTGAACTGGTATACTGTAAATCTAGGAGAACATATAAAGGATGTGTACGATTAAAGTATTCAAGGAAACCTTAAATACAGAGTGGTATATCATGTCGTGGTTTGGAATCTGTAATTTAGGTAAGATGCCAATTCTTTCCAAATTATCTACAGATTTAACACAATTCCAATCAAACCCAAGCAGGATTTGTCTGAGAGAGAAACAAAATAACTCTAGAATTTATATAGAAAAGCAATGGAAACTAGAATGGCCAACACAATTTTGGATGAGGAAAGATGGTAGAGGACTCACACTATCCAATTTCACAATTACTCAAGCTACAGTAATGACAACAGTGTAGTATTGGCAAATGGATAGACATGGATAGACACATAGATCAAAGGAACAGAATAGGTTCCAGAAATAAACCCAAACAAATATAGTAAATTGTCTTTTGGCAAAGATGTAAAGGCAATTCAATGGGGGAAAAGATAGTCATTTCAACAAATGGTGTGAGACAATGGGCATGCATATGAAAAAAAAAAAGAAGACTTCTACCAAAGCTCACACTCTATACAAAAGTTAACTCCAAATGGTCTAGATATGAAAAGTAAAACTACGTATTTCAAGGAGAAGGCATCAGAGAAAACATTTATATCTGGGAAAAGACATCAAAAGCATTATCCATTTTTTAAAAACAGATTGGACTTATCAAAATTTTAAAGTTAAACTTGATGAACAAATTGTTAAGTGAAGCAACAGACAGGCTACCAACTGCAGAAAGTGTCTGTGAATCACATCTCTAACATAGGACTTGAATCCAGAGTATATGAAAAACTCTCAAAACTCAAAGTGAAACAACAAACAAAATCATTAAGCATCGGCAAAATATCTGAACAGATGCTTTACAAAAGAGGACATACAGATAGCAAATAAGCACATGAAAAGTTGTTCAACACCATTAGCCATACTGGAACTACAAATTAAAACCAGTGAGATACTATCTCCCATCTACTAGAATTGGCAAAATTTAAATATATATATTAAATAAATAAATAAATAAATACACACACACACACACACACACACACACACACACATATATATGAGTGTGTCCTTAATTCTCTACCAGTGAGGGAAGCTGGAAGCAAGATGGGAAGGTGGAGAGAAGAAACCCTGAAAGGAACTAAGAGTTACTGGAAGGAGGGCTTTAATCTGGTGAGTGGGTCACTCACTGGTAGGTAAGTCACGTGTGGAAACCTGTTTGGGGTGTTGCAAGGATTGACTGTGTTGGACTGGACGAGGGAGGGCCACTGGGGGTGTAAGTGAAAAAGTGCCGGAGTATGTGTATTTAGATATTATGAAATTATACACAAACATATATGAAAGAGAGAGAGAGAGAATATCGACAATACCAAGTGCTAACAAGCAAGTAAAGACACTGAATTTCTCATATTTTACTGATGGAAATGAAAATGGTATATATATATAACCCCGAAAAACATTTTGGCTGTTTTTATAAAATTATACATTTACCATACAACCCATCATTCACACTCCTGTGTATTTATCCCAGAGAAATGAAACTTATGTTCCCACCAAAAAAGCACAATCGTTCATAGTATTTTACTTGTAATAGCAAAAAAGTGGAAACAACTCAAATATCTATCAACAGGGGAAATGGGAGACACACCGTGGTACACACACACAATGGAAACTTTTGAGCAATAAAAAGACAAGGAACTATTTACATACACCATGACTTGGCAAGATCTCAAAGGCACCGTGTCAGATACAAGAAGTTGGTCTCAACAATTACATAGGTAAGAATCAACTTAGCCTTTCCTGTGACACTCAGGAAAGGCAAAACTATAGGAAAGAGTGAATGCCAGGGGTTGGGGTTGGGTTTGGGGTGATGGAACTGTTCTGTAACCTGATTTTGATCGTGACTACATGAATCTATACCTGTGTTTAAATCCATTAAGTTGTGCATAGAAAACAGTCAACTTACTGTATGTTTTTAAATAAAATAAAATCAGGGTGTGGAAACTGACCTTTGTATTCACTTATTTATTCAGAAATAATTTTGAATACATATTTTATACTAAGTGCTGTTCTAGCTGCAAAGAATATAGCAGTGAGCAAAATAAGGGGTTTAATTTTGTTTAGAAGACACAGAAAATAAACATCGAGTAAGTATATTTGATATGATATGATATGAGATATGGTATGATATGATACGATATGATACGATATCAACCAATGATGTATGCCATGGAAAAAATAACAAAGGAGTTTAGGAGATAGAGAATTACGTGGACAGGTATCAGCAAGTCATGACTTGAGGGTCGACTGCCAGAAGCTAAGAATAATTGTGTTGTATCAATGGTCAAAAAGATCAAAAGAGGAGTAACATTTCATGACACATTTAAAATATATGAAATTATATGAATTATATGAAGTTGGCATTTCAGTATCCATAAATAAGGTTTTACTGGAACACAGCCATATTCACTCATTCATTCATGTATTGTCTTCATGCTTCTTCACTACAATGGCAGAACTGAGTGGTTGCAGAAGAGACTTATGTTTTGCAAAGCCTGACTCTTTACATAAAAAGTATGCCAACCGCTGCTGTAAACAATGCTAAGTGAAGGTGGTCAGGGAAGGCCTCTGTGATGAGTTATTTTCTGAGCAGAGGCCTGACAGAGGTGAGAGGTGGGCCCACAGGTTACTGGAAGAATCCCCTAAGGCTGTAGCCCCAGTTGGGGTTGCCTGCATGGGGCATTCAACAAATAACAGAGGCCACGTGTTGGGTCTGAGTGAGGGAATGTGAAGTGGCAAGTGATGGGTCACAGTAGACCAAGGGCCTGTTTATATAGCTCAGTAGGCCACTGTGCACAATCTTGATTTTCTCTGAGCCACAGGGAAGCCCTTGGAGGGGGTTTGAGCAGAGACAATATCTATAGTGCCTGGCAAATGGGAAGGGGTTTATAAATGTGAGCTATTGTTATTACCAACAATACCATCTGATAATACAGTTGACTCTTGAACAATGTGTGGATTGGGGTGCTGACACCCTTGGGCAGTTGAAAATCTGCATGTAATTTTTGATTTCCTGAAAATGTAACTACTGGCTGGGCCTGGTGGCTCACACCTATAGTCCCAGTACTTTGGGAGGCTGAAGCAGGAGGATTGCTTGAGCCCAGGAATTCAAGGCTGGAGCGAGCCATGATTGCACCACTGCACTCCATCCTAGGTAACAGAGTGAGACTCTTGTCTCAAAAAAAAAAAAAAAGAAGAAGAAGAAAACAAAAAACGTAACTACAAATAGCCTACTGTTGATGGGCAGCCTTACTGATAACATAAACAGTAAATTAATACATAGTTTGTATATTCTATGTGTTATACACTACATTCTTACAATAAAGTAAAATAGAGAAAAGAACACGTTATTAAGAATCACGAGAAAGAGAAAATATATTTACTATGTGTTCAGTGGAAGTGGATCATCATAAAGGTCTTCATCCTTGTCTTCACACTGATGAGGGTGATGAGGAAGAAGAAGCATTGGTCTTGCTGTCTCAGGGGTGGCAGAGGTGGAAGAAAATACAAATGGACCTGCATAGTTCAAGCCTGTGTTGTTCAAACATCAATTGCAGTAACATGTAACAGTCAACCCCTGCATTTCCACCCAGCAACCTCACAGAGCCAGTGCATTTATAGGAGTTAAATGAAATTTTCTCTCATTTTGTAATGTACAGGTATTCTTCACTATATAAACTTACACTATAACAATATTTGCTGTGAAGGCTTGACAGTGATAAGCTAAATGAGATTATCTGTATCAAAAGCTGTTATAATGTGCATGTAGAAGCCAGTGGAAGCTTTTAAATTGGCAGAAGTACACGCAAAAGGATGCAGAGTGCAATTAGCCAATGTCAGCAGCTCTCTGGGCTTGTCTGTACATACAGAGCAGTATCTCTCATCTTCCCTACCATTTTCCAGAGGGTTTCACCCAGCATGGGTCCCAGTAATAATATCTGTCAGCCACCAGTCGTGCTGCCTACTAAAGTCCAATTTAAATAGTCTCTTTCATATAATAATTTAAACATAGATAGATAACATACTTGTATATTTATATTACATCACAGTGCATTGTTTTTTCATTGCAGAAGGAATAGATAATTTGATTCAGATATTACGCAACGTATTTCTTACTTCAGATACCCATACTCACCAGTGAGTAAATGTTAACAAAGAATAACTCTTCTCAATGCTATATTTCACGTAGAAACCCTGGATAGACTGCTAGAAAGCTTTTTAAGAGTATTTTTGTAATGTTTGAGGAAATTACCTGGTGGTATTAACTGGGCTAGGAACATTATTATTTTTGTCACTTAAAATAATAGAATGCAAGTTTCTACATTCTGAAAATTTTCCATCCAACATACTTCCCAAGATGGATTCACTTGGCATGATAAGGGGTGTGTGTGGGGTCCCAGTTTACATGAACTTTATACACACATTTATGTTATTGGATGCTTGTAAGTCATTATTTCATTGTGCTTAAAGAGGAAACTGTAGCTCAGAGAGGTTAAGTAAATTTTTAGAATTCCACAACTGGTAATGGTGTACCTGGGTCCCTAAAGTCATGAGAGAGAATTATGAGAGTATTATTGGAAACTTCAAAGGTACTGAAGCCAGAATCTGCTAACAGCACTGATCTCTGAGGAGAGCAAATGAGCAAGGGAGGGGTGAGGTAAAAGGAGGAGAAGGATACTTTATTTGTAACTTTCAAAAACAGAAGTTTTGTTCTTTGCATGCATATCTTTGATAATTTAGGGTGAATTCGGGTTGGGCAAATACCCAGGAGACTGACCAATGGCAAGACAGTGACAGAGGTAAGCATGAGTCCTGTGGGATGCATAGAGTGAGTGCTTAATTCTCTATCAGTGAGGGAAGTTGGAAGCAGGGTGGGAAGATGGGGAGAAGGAGAAACCCTGAAGGGAACTAAGAGTTACTGTGAGGAGGGCTTCAAGCAGGTGCTGGTAGGTGAGTCATGTTGTTGAAGCCTGTTTTGGGTGTTTCTAGGAGTGGCTGTTCAGCTGGATGACAGAGGGCCACCATGGGTGTAGGTGGAGAAGGTGCTAGAGGGAAAGGCAGGCCCAGGTAGTGAAGGGCCTTGTGGGATGAGCTGGGAGCCTGGGTTCCATCCTAGACATGGTGGGGAGTCGTTCAATAATTTTAAGCAGTGAAACTCATGACCAGATTTGCATTCTTCTAAAACCAGGCCCCACTCTGTGATCCTGGCGTGTCTTCCCAGACACCCGGGACTATCACAGTCACCACTGCAGCAGGGCAGCGTTTTCCGGCACACTATTATCACCTTGCTCATGTGTTTATTTACTTTGCAAAAATATTGGTTTGTTGGTGTCAGAGACAATTTCCCATGGATCTCTTGCATTTTTGCTGGCCTGGCAGTGAGGCATTGACTGTTCTTTTGTTCCACACTCTTTTCAAGGATGTTTGTGTAGTGAACTGCCTTGGAAGATAGAGGTAAGGTTTCCCTTTAGAGCAAAGAATACTTGTTTACTGTCCTGTATAAAAATAATACTCTCTTCCTCCAGGTCACTTAGGCTCTGATAAAACCCTAATAATTTAGATTCTGGTAAAATGCTTTCTCTTAATGGCAGAGCTTGTTAAGAAGAACAGAATACTCTGGTGTGTTTCACAGCGGTTACTTTCCCCCTTCCCACTTCATGCCAGACCATGAAGGAGATTTTTCTCCCATATTCACTGTGAGAACCTGATAGGGTTCCTGGAGGTAAAACTCTTAGAAAAGTGCAGAGGCTCCCCTTAGACTGGGCCCCCTGGAGTTTTTAACTCTCAGACTGCTCCACCCTGAGCCTCCAGGAATTCATTCATTAGACTTCATGTTTTCCTGTCCTGGTACTGGTTCCCACAGGGGTTTCTGGTCATGGGTTTCTGTTGCAGTAGTTTTGATTCTCTGTATCCAACTGCCTGTCAACAAATCGTAGGGTAGTAGTTTGCTCTGTGATCCCACTTATCTAAGAGTTGTTAATTTTTTACTTTGTTCAGTATTTTTTCTGTTAAGATGGAGCGATGAGTTCCAAGCCTCTTACATGCTTGACTAGAAACTGGGAGTCCCAGAGAACATTTTCTTCAGAGATGAGGTCTCGCTATGTTGCCTACGTTAGACTTGAACTCTTTGGCTCAAGTGATCCTCCCACCTTAGCCTCCTGAGTATTTGGGATTACAGGCATGTGCCGCTGTGCCCAGCTCAAAAACCTACTTTTAATAACGTTCATCCTCTGGAAGCTGAGACTTTCTTTATGACCTAACATATGATCAATTTAGCATAAATGTTCTATGTAGACTTGAAAAACATGTAAGTTCTACCATTTTGAGATATATATATATATATATATATAGGCTGGGCGTGGTGGCTCATGCTTGTAATTCCAGCACTTCGGAGGCTGAGGTGTGTGGATCACCTGAGGTCAGTTCAAGACCAACCTGGCCAACGTGGTGAAACCCCGTCTCTACCAAAAATACAAAAATTGGCCCAGCATGGTGGTGCACACCTGTAATCCCAGCTACTCAGGAGGCTGAGGCAGGAGAATCGTTTGAACCCAGGAGGTGGAGGTTGCAATGAGCTGAGATCATGTCACTGCACTCCAGCCTGGGCAACAAGAATGAAACTCCGTCTCAAAATATATATGTGTGTGTGTGTGTGTGAGTGCGTGAAATATATGTGTATCTCATACTATATATACATATATACATATACACATATAAATATATACAC
Organism: Homo sapiens; assembly: GCF_000001405.40. NCBI lineage: Eukaryota > Metazoa > Chordata > Mammalia > Primates > Hominidae > Homo > Homo sapiens. The sequence goes on along the minus strand of NC_000019.10, from coordinate 46,139,868 downwards.
ACATATAAATACATACACACATATAAATATATATAGACATATACACATATAAGTTTGGTTATGTGTGTTAGTTGTATTGTTCAAATTTTTAGCCCATTCTGATTTTTTGTTCTCCTTATTACATAAGCTATCCCAAAAAGTGTATTAAAGTCTTTCACCACAGTTGTGAACTTGCTTATTTCCACTTTTATTTTAGTTACTTTTTTCAAGCTAAGTAATTAGGTATATTCAGATTCATAATTATTATATGTTCCATTTGGATTGATCCCTGTGTCATTATTACTTGTCCTGCTTTATCTCTAGCTTTATCTTTTGCATTAAAGCCTACCTTGGTATTCACTTAGCTACAGTAATTTTCTTTTGCTAGTGTTTGCATGATGTATCTTTTCTACATACTAATTTTTAACATTTCTGGAACCTCATATGTAACATAGATTTCTTACATGTGCATAGAGGTTCTTTCTTAAATTCAGCCTTAAAATCTTAGAATTCAATTTGAATGATTTCGTTTTTAAAAAAAAAAAATTGGTTTTGATTGGGGAGAGGAGCTGAGATGGCCAACTAGATGCAGCCAGGAAGAGCTTCTCCCACCAAGGGACTGACCATCAAGAAGACCAGCATACACCAAGCAGATCTTCGAAAGGAAGGCATTGAGAGTGGAGTGAGGGAGGCAGGCCCTCAGCTGCAAGGGGAGGAAGCTGGAAACCCTGCACAGGGTTGCTGAGCATGAGGACTTGTTCCTGGCCCTGAACAGCTCCTGGGGAAGTGGGGAGTTAAATAGGCATGGAGTGGCCCACTCTTGCCAGAGACCTCCAGAATCCTAGCTGCAAAAGGTCCCACAGCCCCCATGGACATTTGCGCTGGCAGAGAGAGCTGCTTGGAGAGTTGGCAGGGACAGGACTCTAGCCTGTGTAGAGCCCAGAGAGTCTGGTTTGGAAACAGCTGCAGTGGAGCATGGACAGGGATGCTCATTCTCCAAGGCTCACCTTGCTCCTCTAGGTGGCTTTGGCCTTTCTTGACTGTCAGACCTGGACAGAATAGGACTATCTTGCCTAGGAGATGGGGCCAGTCTGATACGAGTGCCTCTCAGTGTGCTGGCCTCTCCCAAGTTCCCTACCCGCCACATCTGTTTGCAGCAAAGCCTCAGTTGCCAAACTAAGGTGCTTCCCAGGGGCCACTGCCTTAGCCCTTTCACCAGTAGACCCTGTCCAACTATCAGAGAGCCTTTGCAGACAGGTCCCACCAGGATGCACCCAGCCAAAGCCTCCTCTCACCACTTTGCCAGCAAGCACTCACCCACAGCCTCCCCTCAACACTTTGCCAGCATGCACATGCACACAGACATCAATGCTCCCCCACCACCAGCACATGTGTGAGTGAAGATCCCACTGCTGTGACCCAGATGAAGCACTTTTGTCAACACCCCACGTTGGAGTGTTGTTGCTAGCAAATGGGGAACACCTTAGCCCCTCTAGTGCAGTAGGTGTTTAACCCTGAAGATCCAGGGGACAAAGCCATGGGCCTGGTACCAGCTCCCCAGGGTTAGACGATGCAGCCCAGAAGTGCTGAGCTGAGCCTTGGCCCCATGAAATCATCCAGAAATGAAACCAGTTGACTAAACCCAACTTATACCATAGTTAAACCCTCAAGGGCATCAAAGAATGTAAAACCCAAAAGCCCCATCCAAAGGACAGCAACTTCAAAGATTAAAGCAACTTCAGCCCACACAGATGAGAAAAAACCAGCACAAGAACTCTGGCAACTCTAAAAGCCAGAGTGTCTTCTCACCGCCAAATGACTGCACTAGCTTCCCAGCAATGGTTCTTAACCAGACCGAAATGGCTGAAATAACAGACAGAATTCAGAAGCTGCATGGCAATGAAGATAGTCAAGATTTAAGTAGAAAGTCAAAACTCAATCCAAGTTATCTAAAGAATCTACTAAAATGATTCAAGAGCTTAAAGAGTAAACAGCCATTTTAAGAAAGGACCAAATAGATCTCACAGAGGTGAAAAACTGACTACAAGAACTTCATAATATAATCAGAAGTATTCACAACAGAATAGACCAAGCTGAGGAAAGGATCTCAGAGCTCAAAGACTGGTTCTTTGAATCAACTCAGTCAGACAAAAATTTAAAAAAGCATTTTTTAAAATGAAGAAAACCCTCTCCCTGAAGCCGGGGACCAAGGCTGGGCCACACTGGCCGCATAGGTGTCCCCATCCTGGGTCACGCAGGGTCCTGCTCCTCTGCACTGACTCATGGAAACAATGAAAGGTATTGTTGCAGCATCTGGCAGTGAGACGGAGGATGACGATTCCATGGACATTCCCTTGGACCTTCCTTCATCCTCTGGCTCAGGCAAGAGAAGGAGAAGGGGCAACCTGCCCAAGGAGTCTGTGCAGATTCTTCAAGATTGGCTGTATGAGCACCATTACAATGTCCATCCTTCCGAGCAAGAAAAAGCACTGTTGTCCCAGCAAACATATCTGTCTACACTACAGGTCTGTAACTGGTTCATCAACGCCCGCCACAAGCTTCTCAGATAAATGAGCCTACGAAGGAGATAATATTGCATGTGGTGTACGCATCCTGACATGCTGAGAAAGGATGGCAAAGATCCAAATCAGTTCACAATTACCTGCCGTGGGCCCAAGATTTCTGAAACAAGCTCTGTGAAGTTTGTGATGGGCATCAAAAACTTCATGCCAGCTCTAGAGGAGACCCCATTTCATTCCTGTACATCTGGGCCAAACCCAACCCTAGGGAGGCCATTGTCTCCTAAGCCGTCTTCCCCAGGATCAGTTTTGGCTCGTCCATCAGTGATCTGCCATGCCACTGTGACTGCATTGAAAGATGTCCCTTTCTCTGCCAGTCAGTTGGTGTGGGACAAAACACAGATATACAGCAGGTAGCAGCCAACAACTTTACAGACACCTCTCTCATGTGCCCAGAGGACATGTGTAAATCTAGACCAAGTACCAATACACAGAGTAGTCTTTTCAACACTCCTCCCCCTACTCCAATGGATCTCAACCAGGACTTTAGTGGATTTCAGCTTCTAGTGAATGTTGCACTCAAACGGGTTGGAGAGACAGAGCTTCAGCCGAAACTTACAGCTTAACCCATTTTCAAGCAAAACAGTTCTCAGAAATGTCATGATTTCTGGGGTGATGGCAAGAGATGAATTGCATTATTTTATATATTTTTTTATTAATATCTGCACATGGGATTGCTAAAACAGCCTCCTGTTACTGAGATGTCTTCAATGGAATACAGTCATTCCAAGAACTATAAACTCAAAGCTACTGCAGAAACAAAGAGTATTATTTTTTACATGTTTATTGGTAGATTATTCATAATGTGAGATGGCTCCCAATATCATGTGATTTTTTCCCCTTTCCTTCTCCTTTCTTGTTATTTTTTTACACTGTGCAATTCTTAAAGAACCTATAGCATCTTTTCATTCCCATGTGGAACAAGATGCCCACATTCTGCCTATTTAATAGATTTTCAATTCTTGTTCAAACAAGTATGAATCTAGTTAATTGATGAGTTTTTTCATGACATAATATTTTCTTAAAAAAAGAATGAAACCACCAAGAAATCTGGGACTATATAAAGAGACCAAACCTACCACATATTGGCATCCCTGAAGGAGAGGGAGAGAGGGCAAGCAACCTGGAAAACACATTTGAGGATGCTGTCCATGAAACTTTCCCCAACTTTGCTAGAGAGGTTGACATCCAAATCTGGGAAATTCAGATAACTCCTCTGAGATACTATACATGAGGACCATCCCCAAGACACAGTCATCAGATTCTCCAAGGTCAATATAAAGAAAAAATATTAAATGCAGCTAGAAAGTAGGGGAAGGTCTCCTGGAAAGGGAATCCCATTAGGCTAACAGTGGACCTTTCAACAGAAACCCTACAAGCCAGAAAAGACTGAGGGCCTGTATTCAGAATCCTTAAAGAAAAGAAAGTGTTTGCTGCCACACTTTGAAAAATGTTGACATGGGTGAAGTCTGGAAGCCAAGAATTGTTAGATAATTGTCAGCTAATAAACATTTACACAACTGTTACTGGAAAAGAGATACGGAGTCAGGAGTCAAAGGCAGTGGGATGTTTCCACTCAGGGCTGCAAGCCTGTCCAGGAAAGTCTTCCCTTTGAGGTGGAAATTAGTTCTAGATCTACACAGCCACAGAAGACTGGAATGGAGGTCAACTTGCTATTCCTCCAGCATGTTTCTTGCATCAGTGAGGTCCTACCTCCCTCACTGAAGGACCTCAGATCAAAGGTCTCACGAACTTGTGTCCTACTTCAGTGAGGTTCCTGTAGGAAGTGACTGAAACCTTTTATCTAACCCTCTTCTCTCCCCTACACTAAAGGGGATGGTTCGGATGGTTCAGAGCAGGGGTTCTGGCTCTCGGGGGAGATGCAAACAACTCTGACCATGAGTTAAACCCTGTAGTTAATGGATACCAAATAGAGAAATACAGACTCTAAGAAAACACAAAGCACTATCCCAGTTGGGAGGGCACAAAGGAGACATGATCATCAAAAGCAATGTGGGATTCTGGATTGGATCCTGGAGCAGGAAGTGGACATGAGGGGACAACTGATAAAATTAAAATAAAGCCTGTAGATTCATTAATAGTGTTAGTCAATATTCATTTCTTGCTTTCAATAATTGTATTAAGATCATTTAAGATGTTAACATTATGAGAATCTGTGTGAAAGAAAGAAACCAACTGTACAACTTTTTTGTAAGTTTAAAATTATTTCAAGATAGTAGTTAAGAAAATTTTGTAAATGATACCTACAGATATTATCAAGATAGTGACAGTGAATATTCATTAAAGAGATAATCAGGATGCCCAATGATGCTTCCTTGTGCCTAAAACTGCAATTACAGAGCTGCTCCTCTTCTCAGTATTATGCACCTAGGGCTCTCCTTGAGACAGAGAAGAGTCAGGGCTTGGCTTCATCTCACCCCTACTAGAGCAGGGGTCCCCAACCCACAGGCCATGGACTGGTACCAGTGTGTCTGCTTTTAGGAACTGGGCTGCATAGCAGGCAGTAAGCAGTGACTTAGTGGGTGGAGCTTCATCTGTATTTACAGCTGCTCCCCATCACTCACCTTATTGCCTAAGCATAGCCTCCTGTCAGATCAGTAGGAGCATTAGATTCTCATAAGAGCATGAACCCTATTGTGAACTGTGCATGTGAAGTATTTAGGTTGCACACTCCTTATCTAATCTAATACTCCTTATCTAATATGAGAATCTAATGTCTGATGATCTGTCACTGTCTCCTGTCACTCCCAGATGAGACCATCTAGCTGCAGAAGAACAAGCTCAGGGCTCCCACTGATTCTACAGTATGGTGAGTTGCATATGTAATATATAATGTATATTATTTCATTATATATTACAATGTAACAATAATAGACATAAAGTCCACAATTAATGTAATGTGCTTGAATCATCCTGAAACTATCCCCCTCCTCCTTTGTCCATGGAAAAACTGTCTTCCTTGGGAAACCAGTCCCTGGAGCCAAAAAGGTTAGGGACTGCTGTACTACAACATTCCTGCTGATCACAAAACCCACGCCACTACCTCATTGCTAATAGTCCTTTTACTTAAAGAATCCCAAGAACTGGTCTTAGGAGACAACCAAGATTCCAGAAAGAATGTTGAACAACTGATTCACAGCCTTGCTGCCACAGGCCAGACCACCAGGTGGTCTCTTCCTCAAGAAAACCATCCTAAGCAGATACTGCTGACCTGCATACCGTATACCTCTCCTGCTTTGCCCAGCCCAGCCTGCATACCCTACCCCTGATGTCAATTCCCACACTTTGCCTAATAAAAAAAGCCCTACCAGCTCTTTTCAGGGAGTCATCAGGGAATTCTTTCTCTTTTGTGCTGCCTCTCTTATTTCCAGGAATAATCTCCAATGAAGTTTTGTCTGGGAAAACTATTTTGACCTCATGTCAGTTTCTATTGCATTGAGAGCCCAAGAACCCAAGACCAGTAATGTATTATTTAGGGGCTTGCCTGGGATCATGGTGTAGAAAATAAAATAAGTAGAGGTTCCTCTTCAGAGGGACTTTCCTCCCAGTCTAATTGAGAATAGATAGTAACCTCTCTTAGAAGCAAAATTTACTCAAAGACCTGTGCTAATATTCTTAAATATCTGCTAGCCATAATAAAGAAATCAATATACTCTGCGTTCTTAGCTACCGCATTTTAGCCTAGATATTTGCCCTGGCATGCCTGAACAGGCCCAAGCAAGCATTAGGTCATAGCCTATTCCTCTTCCTTATTTGGAAGTGCTTTTGCCTCTCTCAGCATTCCACAAGTTACTTCCTGTCTTCCTTTGTTCTCCTCTGCCTTTGCCTCTTTGGGGAAGTTCTAAGTTGCTAGCCAATCAGGTCAAGTACAGAATGTGAGGTCCCATTCCAGCCAACGGAAGCCAGACACAGCAGTAGGGTGGCATATCAGGTTATAAATGACCCTGTCTCCTTTGTTCGTGTGTGCTCTCATGGCAAGACTGCTAGCAAGCGGCCCTCTTTCTGCAGAAAGTAAACTAGCCTTGCTGAGAGATCCTTTGTCTCAGTGTTGATTTTTGTGACACCGAGCACCCATTCCCAACAATGGGATGTGGGGAGCCTTTCTCTCCCTGAGGGGGAGACTTGTGAGCTGATGGGACTGCTGGACAAGATCCCTTCACGGCTGACAAGCAGCTGCCTGAACTTCTGATTCAGTGTCGCCAAGCTGGTTGAGTCTTTCTCCAGCCTGCCAGCCCTCCTTGCCTCCCCCATCCCTCCTGCAGGCAATGCTTTTCTCCCTTCCCTTCTTGCTTTCTCTCCTTTTCACTTCCTAACTTTTCTGTCACTTAGGGTGCCTTGTCTCTCCTCTCCTAATCCTTAGTGGTTTGGGTCACGTGAACAGATATCTGTGAGGGACAGGTTGAAATCGTTGACTACCTGGATCTGATCAACTCAGCAGGCAGTGGGACAGAGTGTACCTTTTCCCTGGCCTAAGTTGGTTTGGGTTCCAGTCCCAAGAAACAATTCTATCCATCCCTCCCTCCCTTTCTCCCTCCTTCCCTTTCTTCTTCTTTCCTCTCCCTCTCCCTCCCTTTCTCCCTCCTTCCCTTTCTTCTTCTTTCCTCTCCCTCTCCCTCCCTCTCTCCCTCTATCGTTTTCCCTCCCTCTTCCTCTCCTTCTCTCTCCCCTTCTCTGTCATACTGGCCCTCAATCCTGTAACTCTATTCAAAACCCCTCACCACTTCACTTTCTCTTTGCCACACCATGTGAGGAGGGGAAGCCTGTGGACTTTTCTGTCATCTGTCTGTTTGGGTGTGTGAGTCTATCAACTTTGGGTGCTGGCTTTTTAAGGAGAGAACTGACAGCACGTGGAACCAAAGTTTGTGTCACTTATGTCCCAATGAATTGTTTTCTTTCTGTGCATTTAATTCAATATCTTATTTTCCCATGCAACCCACTGGTTGGCCTCTTGTAAAAAGGAGAGACTTTTGCCTATGGTTCCATGAAATGGAAAGGGATCATTTTCTTTTGTAACGTGGCTTGGCCCCCACAGCTATGCCACAGGGAGCAAGGTCACCAAAGTTGCTCAGAAAAAGAGAACCCAAAACCGTAGCATGCCAGCAAAAGGGTAAGAATTTCTTACCAGCCAGGCTTCTGGACTTTCTCTGTGTGTGTGTGAAAACTGGTTAAGTGAATGACAAAATTCACTGTTTCCCTCCTCTGCAAGGCTTTAACCCATTTCCTGTTGGCCAAGAATATTCTTATCTTTAATACTAATGTAAAATCATATACATTTCTGCTACGTTAATACTAGAGACAAGTTCTGTTTAGAAACAACTCCAAGAACAGTTTTGTTTTTGTTGTTGTTGTTTGAGAGGGAGTCTCGCTCTGCTCCCCAGGCTGGAGTGCAGTAGCATAATATTGGCTCACTGCAACCTCCACCTCCTGGGTTCAAGCGACTCTCCCACTTCAGCCTCCCGAGTAGCTGAGACTACAAGCATAGGCCACCATGCCCGGCTAACTTTTGTATTTTTAGTAGAGACAGGGTTTCACCATATTAGCCAGGCTGGTCTTAAACTCCTGGCCTCAAGTGATCTGCCTGCTTCAGCCACCCAAAGTGCTGCGATTACAGGCATGAGCCAAGAAGGGGTTTTTATGTTTTATTTTCACACTGAAAATCAGTCATATTCGCTTCAGCCTCGAAGAGCATGTTTACGTAAAATTAAATGGGTGTTGACAGCAAACTAGACCTAATAAAAAAAGAAGTCGATAAACCTCTGAGACAGAAAGTATTAAAACATTAGAATGCTCATGCTTTCCAAAGCCAAACAATGTTTACAAAAAAATTTCATCTGAATTCCCATTTTTAAATTTTGCTATTTTTTAGGAGGAGGGTTTAGAAAATTACTTGGGAGCTCTTAAAGCTGACTGCACAAATATTGTCGAGTAAAGCTTAATGTAGTGTAATAAGGAGAGAAGTTTTTGTCTATTATTAAAATTTAAAACAAAGCTACTGTAAATGAACCAGACACTACCTAGAAAAATTACACATAAATCAATTGAACAGAGTCCATCAACAGATAAAGCTAATAATGGAAAACTGAGATATAAGAAAAGTAACATTGTACATTAGAAGAAAAGGGATGAAACTAGTCAACAAGTAATTTCAGATTCAATAGGACATTCATTAGCAAGAAAATTAACTTAGACTCAGCATCACATCTTATAGAAAAAGTTATATGTGAATAAAAATGACTAAAAAGAAAGTAAAAATATAGAACTATTCATAGAACTTTAAGTTGGAGATGGCCTCCTTACGTAAGCGGAAGCCAAAAAGTGGAAAGAAGATGTAGGGCAGTGGTAAAAGACACTGCTGCATAAAAATTTAAAATATCTCAAAAAAGAAGACTCCACCAGCATTACTGAGAAACAAACACAAAGGCGAGGAAAACATATAACAGACAAAAGGTTAGTATCTCCCATATAAAAAGAGCATTTATAAATTAATAAGAAGGAAGCAAACAACCCAAAACAATTATTCTGAATAGTGTATCATTTACAGAAAAGGAACTATACATCATTAAACATAAAAATAATGAGAAATACTGGGAACCTTCATCCAAGCTCATAAATTTCTTCTAATCTTAGTTCTTGCTCACTTTATTTTTTAATTTGGAACCTACCAAAGATAATAAATTCCTCTTTTTGCCACAGCTTAAGCTAGTTTAAACTGGCAAGCAACCACTTGCAAGTAACCAGTTTATAAACATAATGAAAAGGTGCTTCCAAGAACCTCAATAAACAGCATGTAGACAAACAAATGCCATATTTTAAATAACATGGTATGTTCTTTAACTCATCATCTGATGCTTGCTGGGGGAACTAAAATATTTATCAAAACTCTAAAGAAGTTATTGCCCTGTGAGATAATGAAAAAGGCTGTTTCATAGGAAACGTGTACTTCACCCACTTAGTTCAGGAGATCATACCCTGTAGTATTTGGTTTAAATAAACAGTGAACCTGAACCCTTGAAACTGCATGCAGTCCATCTCACATGCAATTACACCCACAGGCTCAAAATAAAGGGATGGAGGAAAATCTACCAAGCAAATGGAAAACAGAAAAAAGCAGGAGTTGCAATCCTAATCTCAGATGACTTTAAACCAACAAAGATAAAAAAAGACAAAGAAGGGTATTATGTAATAGTAAAGGGTTCAATTCAACAAGAAGGCCTAACTATCCTAAATACATATGCACCCAACACAAGAGCACCCAGATTCAGAGAGCAAGCTCTTTGAGACCTTCAAAGAGATCTAGACATCCATACAATAATAGTGGGAAACTTCAATACCTCACTGACAGTATTAGACAGATCATCAGGTCAGAAAATTAACAAAGATATTCAGGACCTGAACTCAGCACTGGATCAAATGGGCCTGATAGACATCTGCAGAACTCTCCACACAAAAGCAATAGAATATACATTCTTCTCACCACCACATGGCACACATTGAAAAATCGACCACATAATCAGACACGAAACACTCCTCAGCAAACACAAAAGAACCGAAATCATAACAACCACTCTCTCAGACCATAGCACAATCAAATTAGAAATCAAGACTAAGGAATTTGCTCAAAACCATACAATTACATGGAAATTGAATAACCTGCCCCTGAATGACTTTGGGGTAAATAATGAAATTGAGGCAGAAATCAAGAAGCTATTTGAAACCAATGAGAACAAAGATACAATATACCAGAATCTCTGGAACACAGCTAAGGCAGGAGTAAGAGGGAAATTTATAGTACTAATTGCCCACTTCAGAGAGTCAGAACTCAGCTTCACAACCTAACATCACAACTAAAAGAACTAGAGAACCCAGAGCAAACAAACCCCAAAGCCGGCAGAAGACAAGAAATAATCAAAATCAAAACTGAACTGAAGGAGACAGAGACACACACACACACACACACACACACACACACACACACACACACAAAAGATCAACAAATCCAAGAGTTGGTTTTTTGAAAAAAATTAATAAAATAGATAGAACACTAGCTAGATTAAAAAAGAAGAGGGAAGATCCGAATAAATACCATTAGAAATGTAAAGGGGGATATTATCACTAACCCCACAGAAATAATAACCATCAGAGAATATTATCAACACCTCTATGCACATAAACCAGAAAATCTACAAGAAACTGATATATTTTTGGACATATACACTCCCAAGATTGGACCAGGAAGAGATTCGGTCCCTGAATAGACCAATAACAAGTTCTGAAATTGAATCAGCAATAAATAGCCTACCAACCAAAAAATTTCCAAGACCAGATGGATTCACAGTTGAATTCTACCAGATGTACAAAGAAGAGCTGGTACCATTCCTACTGAAAGTATTCCAAAAAATTGAGAAGGAGGGACTCCTCCCTAACTTATTCTATGAGGCCAGCATCATCCTGATATCAAAACCTGGCAGACACACAACAAGAAAAGAAAGCTTCAGGCCAATATCCTTGATGAACATCAATGCAAAAAATCCTCAAGAAATCCCGGCAAACTGAATCCAGCAGCACATGAAAAGCTAATCCACCATGATCAAGCAGGCTTTATTCCTGGGATGCAAGGTTGGTTCAACATATGCAAATCAATAAATGTGATTCATTGCAGAAACAGAACTAAAGACAAAAACCACATAATTATCTCAGTAGATGCAGAAAAGGCTTTTGAGAAAAATTCAACACCTCTTCATGTTAAAAACTCTCAATAAACTAGGTATTGAAGAAATATACTTCAAAATAACAAGAGCCATCTGTGACAAACTCACAGCCAACATTATACAGAATGGGCAAAAGCTGGAAGAATTCACCTTGAAAACTGGTACAAGATAAGGATGCCCTCTTTCACTGCTCCTATTCAACATAGTATAGGAAGTCCTGGCCAGAGCAATCAAGCAAGAGAAAGAAATAAAGGGCATCTAAATAAAAAGAGAGTACATCAAACTATCCCTGTTTGCAGATGACATGATCCTGTATCTAGAAAACCCTACAGTCTCCACAAAAGCTCCTTCAGCTGATAAGCAACTTCAGCGAAGTTGCAGGATATAAAATCAATGTACAAATGTACATTTTTTGTACAATGTACAAAAATCACTAGCATTCCCATACACCAACAACAGTAAAGCCAAATCAGGACTGCAATTCCCATTCACAATTGCCACAAAAAGAGTAAAATACCTAGGAATATAGCTAACCAGGGAGGTGAAAGATCTCTACAAGGAGAACTACAAAATAATGCTCAAACAAATCAGAGATGACACAAAAAAGTGGGAAAACATTCCATGCTCATGGATAGGAAGAATCAATATTGTTAAAAATGGCCATACTTCCCAAAGTGTTATGGGATCCTTGGGGTGTCGCTTCACCAACCAGAAACTTCTGTGGCCAGTGGCTCCTTTGCTCAAGTAACCAAATACCACCTGTACCCCAATAACTTACGAAAAAATTAAAAGTAGATTTTTTAACATTTTAAAAAAGTAAAATTAGTGACTCTAAAAAAAAAGAAATTGCATGCAGTCTGTCTGTTGTCTATCAATCTAACATCTATCTAATATCCAACCACCCATCCATCCATCATCTATCTATCTACCTACCTACCTATCTACCCACCTACCTACCTACCTATACATCTTACCTATCTACCTATACATCCGTTTAAGAACAATTTTCTGGGAGGATTGATAATTTTCATTAAATCAGCAAAAATTGTCCGGGACCTAAATTATGTTGAAACTTAGTGCCAGACAGAAAGTTATTTCTTCCTTCAAGAAAATTTAGACTAAGAATGATTGCCTATGACCTAAATTGTCAATAGTTCATGGAACAAGATGTGTATATTTTGTTCTTTCTTTCTTATTCTCTTTCTCTCCTTCCTTCCTTCTTCTTTCTTTGCAACAGCATCTCACTCAGTCACCCAGGCTGGATTACAGTGGTGCCATCACAGCTCACCACAGCCTTCCGAGTAGCTGGGACTGCAGGCATGTACCACCATGCCCAACTAATTTTATTTTTGTTTTCTGGTACAGACAGGGTCTCGCTTTGTTGCCCAGGCTGGTCTTGAACTCCTGGCTTTAAGCTGTTCTCCCACCTCAGCCTCCCAAAGTGCCAGGATTACAGGTGTCAGCCACTGTGCCCAGACTATTTTGCAGCTTTCTTAAGAAAGCACAGTTGAGGAGAGAAAATACGAAAAGCTTGACACACTCCAGCTACTGTGCTGGGAGCTTTTCAAGTGTGTCTTCATCTGATCCTCATAAATATACTAAGTTTCAAATTGGAATGACTCTCCTCCACTCAGAGATGTACATATATATTCTACATTCCCATACCCTTGAACTAGTGATGCATCGTATCATCAATAGGGTCTTGCAATAGCTATCAGACAAGCAGAGTGACATAGCTGCTGCCAGTTGTACAGGGACGAACTAAGTCTTCAGGTTAATATTCTTGACACTTCAATTAAGTTGTGTGGATTGCTTATGTTTCATGTGTTGAGTGTAACTGTCATTTTAAATATCAGAAAACACCATGATTTGGCTTGTGTGTTGTGTGTGCAGAATGACACATTAATAGAAGACGATGACGTAAATTTACTGTTAATGAAGCACATGCTCATTGTTTTAGGAATGAACCCAAGTACATATTTTCTTGCAGATCAACAACCAAGTGCTTTATGGGGCACAAGAAGATAAAGAGATGAAGAGTATCACATTTTGTTTCTGAGACAGGCACAGAAGGATTGCCTAGCACAAGGAAAACAACATAATGAAAGGCAGAAGGAGTTGTCAAAATCTCTAGGAATAGATGAAAGAAAATTCAAAGAAAGAAGGGGCTAGTGTCACCAGTTCAATGATAACTTGCAGTATGGGTGTCAGCAGCTTAGAATAAAACCAAACTTTGCATGACCAATGCTGTTGGTAGAACTGAGAATGATGTTGTGTAAGAAAGCACAGGAACCAATCTGGGGTTGAAAGATGATTCACAGGAGGCAGTCTCCAAATGTGGAGACATTTTAAGAAATCTTTAACAGATTTATTTCCCATATATTTTTATTTTTCTATTCGCCTTCCAAAAGTCTACGTCTCAACATGTTGCAAGAAGCTCTGTTAATAAACATTCTAAGTGATGAGATTGCATCTTAGAGTTGCAAAACAACAGTGTATCTTTCAATAACATCTTAGTGTTAATGAGATACAACATAAGGATTTCTCTAAATGATTATCATTATAAAATGCATTAAAAATTATCCCTTCAAGCTGCCCCTTGCCACTTCTGTAAGATGAAAAATTAAGTACACATTAACTTCCCAATGCCCAATAGTAAAGCTGAAGTTTCATTTGGAATAAGAATGATAATTGTATATTAAAGATATTATTATTTGTCCTTTGTATTTTACCTAATCAAACTCAAACGTTTCTTTTTAACATTTGGTAGTAAACAAGCTGACAGCCTGGGCTCACTAGGAATCTTCACATTGTTGGCCTTCTTAGGTTCCGGGGTAGGGGAGAGCAGCCTTGTGCATCCAAACCACACCCCACACCTCCGCACATGTACAGGAAGCTAAGAATGAAGCTCAGAAAAGGAGAACCATTTCAAAGGCTATGGTACAGGCTGGATGAACTTAAGTCAGCAACTCTTCCCTATGCTGTGCCAGCAAGTGGAGGATGGAAAGTCTGGCCAATCCTTAGACATTTTCTGATTGAATCATCACACATCCATGAAGACTGAGGTCCTTTCCACAGCTTCGGGATTATTTGAATTTGTCCAAGCCCTTCCCTAGCTGGCACTTGCCTGGCAGGCCTCAGTTTGCCCTGCCCTTCCCTCTGTCTGCACACCTAAGTACTACACACTCCTAAGTACTACATCACTTATCATTGGCCACTAATATAATATGATTATGAAAAGCAGGTGTTTAGTACTTTCCCTGACCATGTAACTAAGATGCTGGAGGTCTCTGAATCCTCACACCAAGCACACCAGGAGATTTGGGCCATTGCTATTCTCCACCCCTACCCCCTTTATTGGAGTTTCCAGAGCCGTGGCTCAACTGCTAGAGCAGGTGGCAACTCTAATGACTCCAGAGCAAAAAATAAAGTGGCTTCATAAACGGTCCCCTTGACATTTCCAGAGACATCGTGCTTGGGGAATATAGAAGAAGCAAGTATTAGGAAGGGGAGGATGTGAAACCAGATGGGGAAGTGGCTGAAGCATTCTCTCTGATTGGAGCTTAGTTGGGCACTGTCTCCTCAATGTCGGAGCTTGAAAACTCTTAGAAGCCTAACTTGGAGTAGGACCAACCTACACTCATTCACCCTGAGGTCTGCAATAGTATATGGAGAATGCAATGAGTCAGTCTGCAACATTCGGCTCTGTGGTCCCTTACGCCACCCAGTCTCCTCCTTAAAGAAACTAATGAATGTGCTTGGGAGACTTTGGTTATCTTCAAGGAATGTGCTTGGGAGACTGCAGGTGGCATGATCAGCAGCCATCCAATCAGTAAACTTACCAGGTTAACAGACAACCCCATTTAGGCTGTCTCCATAAGTTCCAGCCTTTTACCACTCTTCTTCAATTCTCCTAGAGCATCTTTGGAAGCATGAGGCCACGATGCTGCATCTTGGGCAAGTAGGACCCCAAATCCAAACATCATCTCATCTCATTCCCAGTGCAGCTCCCAAACCTCAACCCGATTTATTCCTCTTTATCTCTAACATTATTCCAGCCTCCTGTGCCCTACTAGTCACCTCAAAGGGTGACTGAGCGTGCTGCTCAGGGCCTGCCTGAACGGGATCCCATACAGACTTAGCCCCAAGTGATAATCTCCACCTTTAAACCACCCTAACCTCTGTTTGTTTGTTTGTTTGTTTTTTCCATACTTGTCACATTCTCAGCTCCATGTTCAACCTTTTTCCTTTCTCCCTTAGCTCTTGTCTGCTGGATAACAGTCTTCCTCCTCCAGTGTTCAAAAGGAACTACAGGTAAGGACAGGACAGGGAAAAATGAGGAGGGAAGAGGTGGTGTTGGGAAAAGAGACTGGGAATTGAGTATCTGTTCTTCCTTGGATGTACACCATCAATGTCTGCCCCCAGACGCTCCTGTTGGCTCAGGACTGTGGCTGTGCCAGCCGACACCCAGGTGTGGGAACAAGATCTACAACCCTTCAGAGCAGTGCTGTTATGATGATGCCATCTTATCCTTAAAGGAGACCCGCCGCTGTGGCTCCACCTGCACCTTCTGGCCCTGCTTTGAGCTCTGCTGTCCCGAGTCTTTTGGCCCCCAGCAGAAGTTTCTTGTGAAGTTGAGGGTTCTGGGTATGAAGTCTCAGTGTCACTTATCTCCCATCTCCCGGAGCTGTACCAGGTAAAGGTCCCTACCTTGCTCTTAACTAAAGGAATGAGGGAGGGATGAGGGATACAGAGGGCTTGAAGAGGAACTCCTGTTTGTGGAGTTCTAACGGCAAAAGAGTCAGGCTGGTGGCAGCAGGGGAAAGCAAAAAGAAGAAGCAGATAAGCTATAAGTCTGCCTTTCTTCATGGTCGAGGACAAACAGTCCTCCTGCATAAATAACTCACAATCTTCTTGCACCCAGCTATCACCAGACACTCAGCTGGTAGAAAAATGCAAGCAGTGCAGTTGCCTTCCTGATGTAAAAAAACATGCTAAATAATCCAGTGTCAGGAAGACAAAGATGTTTTGCTTCTCTGAAGAAGCTTATAATAATATACAGTATATGTATATGCAGGGAACAATTGGTCAAAAGTGGCTTTTTTGTTTCCCCAAGGGGAAAGACTGGCTTTGTAATTATAATTTTTTCCTTACTTTACTTAAAACTGGTAGAGTCTAAGTATTGTATGAAGTGTCCATGATTCTGTCAGTAAATTTGAGCATATTTTTATTAGTTAATGTCAGTTTAAGTAGTCCTTTTGTTTCTATTTTTAAGATGAATTTTAAATTCTATCTGAAATCAGTAAGATACCTGGAGAAAAACTGCAGTGAGAGGAGGTCAGTATCCTTTTTCAGGAGGAACTGATATCTCTGGCTAAATATCTGTCCTTTTATTATGGTTTCTAAATCGGTTATTTTCTTCAGCTTTAAGTTCATAAAATTAAAAAAACTATTAAAAAATTCCTGTAGCTGTTGGAATAATTAAAAATTCTGGTGCAGTGGTGGTATACCAATCTTTAGAATTCTTAAGTAATCTAATGTTTCAAGTTGAGGTCATGCTTGGGAAAATCATGTCATAGCATTTACATTATTTTCAAATGTCATTTTTTTTACCCTGGAAAGAAGTAATAATGTTCATCATAACCCTAGCAGTCTGGATAGTGAGCTAAACAAACCCTTGGAAGATTACATTTTAATCAAGTAGACTAGGAATACAAAAAACAAGTCCTTCCTCCCCTTCCTCCCACCTTTACAATCTTACTGGAAGGGTGTTCAGAAATTAAAATTTGTGTTTGCTAAGACTTTATTCTGTTGGGGGTTTTAAGAGGTAATACGTGTAATGTAAAATGTATGTAAACCATTGCAGTTTTTTGGGGCATTTTTCCATGCAACAGTAAGTTGTCTGACAGTAACCGAATGTAACTTACAGAAAGTAATTAAAAGTTATATTCAGAATAACAGCAATCAGGCCTTGGATGTTCTTTATTAAACTCTTTTCAGGCAGTAAACTTTACCAAAAAAATCTGTCATTTTCTAAAGTCCTTGTGCTAAAACTGTTGACTATGGAAAACAAACAACAAAAAGGAATGTTTTTAGTCTGCTGCTATTATTAACATTTATTATCTGTATCTTTTGGCTCAGGAAATGACTTCACCTATTTGTTCCATAAGCTGATCTTTAACAGGGTCAGCTAGCTAACTAGGCTGTGTAAACAGATGTGCTGGGAGAAAATTATAATATTTAGTATTTGTCCTAAATATCAAAAATATTTTGACAAGTTTCTTTTTAAGATAGTTTCTAAAACCTTACCCTGGCTAAAGATGTTTTGTGCAAATTATATATAGCCTGCCTGATCTACCAACATGGCACAGAGAATCACAATCAACAATGTGGGGAAAGTCAGGGCAATGGAAGTGGATGTACACTTTTTATTTTGAGGGCTTCAACCAAATTGTCTTGGAATTAAAGGTGTATTTCTGCAGCTTTCAGTACAGAGAAAAAGAAGAAAGTGAAGCTGTGTCAGTTTTAACATTAGCTATATCACAGCATGTTTTAAAAAGATAGATGAAGTCATTTGCATAAAGGTACAGCATTGAAATACTATGTTGTGTTTGTTTTTACATTTTTACATTTTAAAAATGCAGTAAAAGCCAAGTTAAATTTCATTAAAAAAGAAATATGCAAATCAGCTCACTGCAACCTTACCATTATCAGTACTCTAAGTAGCTCTCTCCAGCACAAGCACCAACCTATAAAATCCCCAGCAAGCCTTTGTCTCTTTGCAGTCAGCTCCGCACTTGCTGTTTTGCCTTTGCTTTCTTGCAACAATTTTTCTACGTTTTCTAAAAAATCTGCCTTTCTTTACCTACATTTTCTAAAAAATCTGCCTTTCTTTACAACTGTCTTGGTGAATTCTTTTTACTACTCACGTGACACTAACCTCAGATAGTCGTCACGTGCGACACCGTTGTTTTATCTCTGGCTAATTCTGACATCTTTCCTCTCTTCTTGTCTTTGTCTCATAATTCCTCAATTTTTCTTTCTCCACAGCTGAGAGAAAATACTACTCCTCTCAGTGGGCTGTTGAGATGCATCTTGGGAAGATGCTCAGGCTATGAGTGTTGGAGTAAGTAGGATGGGAGGAAAATCTTAGAAATTTTCTTTTCTTCTTCTTTTTTTTTTTTTTTCAAGACAGGATCTCACTTTGTCACCCAGGCTGGAGTGCAGTGGCATGATCTCAGTTCACTGCAGCTGCAGCCTCAACCTCCTGGGCTCAAGTGATCGTCCTACCTCGGTCTCCTGAGTAGCTGGGACTACATGCACATGCCACCACATCTGGCTAACTTTGGTTTTTTGGTTTTTTTTTGGTAGAGACAGGTTTTCATTATGTTACCCAGATTGGATTCAAACCCCTGAGCTCAAGCAATTTGCCTGCCTTGACCTCCCAAAGTGCTGGGACTATAGGAGTGAGCCACCACTATAGTGGTGCCTGGAACTTTCTAAGCGCTGAAAAATGTACATGTTCCATCAAATATGTATCTTGAAATGCAAATAAATTATTTTAAAAAGGGCTACAAGTTGGATATGAATTAAAAATAAACCTAAGGCTTCTTAAGTTTATTTTTTAATTTTTTAATTTAAATTGACAAATTATAGTTGTATTTATGGGGTACAGCATGACTGATGAATTCAATGTGGAATAATTAAACTCAAGGAAATTAACATATCTATTACCTTCAATATTTCTCATTTTTCTGTGGTAAGAACACTTGAAATTTACTCTCTTAATAGTTTTGAAATATACATTTTTTTACTATATGCATCATGCTATGCAATAACCAAATTATAGAAGTTTATAATATCTGTATCTCCTTGGTAAATTTCTCATTCATATCCCAAACTGAATTTCTGATATCTCTGTATTGGTTTTCAGATTTCTATTGCATTGCATTTTCTTTAAGATCAATATTTTTAATTCTTTATCTGGCATTTTGAGGAATTCTTTGTTATTGGGATCTGTTGCTGGAAAATTGTTATGATCTTTCATGTGGTGTCCTATCTTCCTGCTTTTTCATGGTGACTGTGTCCTTCTGTTGATATCTACACATCTGGTGTAGCAGTCAAGTCTGTTAAAGTCAAGTTTGTTAAAATTGCTTTTGTAGGGGATAATTTTTTCCTGAGAATATATGTTGTTAAGACACTTTGATTTGGGGCACTGTGATAGGAACAGGAGGCACGTCCTGTACCCATAAAAACCCCAGGCTCCACTGGCAGACGGCAGACAAGGGGAGAAGAGACGAAGCAGCTGGACATCGGAGACTACAGTTGAACTTCGGAGAGAAGCAACTTGACTTCAGAGGGATGGCTCAATGACATAGCTTTGGAGAGGAGCCCAGCTGGGGATGGCCAGACTTCAGGGGAAGAATGCCTTCCTGCTTCATCCCCTTTCCAGCTCCCCTTCCCGCTGAGAGCCACTTTCATCGGCAATAAAATCCCCCACATTTACCATCTTCAATTCGTTCATGCAACCTGATTCTTCCTGGACACTGAGCAGGAGCTCAGGATACAGAGGGCTGTCACACCGAGCTGTTCAACACCTAAGCCATTCATGGATGGCAGAGCCAAAAGAGCACTGACTGTAACACTCCCTCTGAGGCTTCATGAGTTGTGGGCATCCCCCAGATGCTGCTGCAGGGCCAGTACACAGTTGTGCTCCTGCCAGTGCCCAAAACACACCTACCCGGGCTCCTGCATCCCCTTGCCGGCAAGCTGCACCCCCACCCCACCCCACCCACTGGTGAGCAATTGAGCACTACAGGCTGAGCGAGTGAGGCACCTCTGTCACAAGTCTTGTGAAGGGGTTAGGGAAATTATCCCAATTGACCTGCAGTAGAGTGGTCTTTGCATGACTTCTTTGGCAGTATTCAGGGTCAGTGGTATCTGTGATTTCCTCAGTGGCTTAAGCTACAGCTATTAGTTGAGGTTGTAGTAAAGTTTAACTGGGAACTTGGACGTCAACTAAGCCAGTCTTTGGCCCCAGTAGTAGCAGCAGTGGGATGAGAATGACTGTTTTTAGGCCCCAGAGCAGCATACCCTGGCTCCAGTCAGTAGGTTCTAGGGGCTGATTCTTGGGCCTCCAGATGTCTGGCTTAGAAGCTTGCAGTGGGAACGATGATCCCTGTGTGTGGGCAGGTTCTCAGACCTCTGGGCAGCTGGTGTGGCATGGGAGATAGCAGTAGCAGTGGTAGAACAGCTCACTGGGACCCAAGCCCTCCATGTTGGTGTTACAAGAAGATGCGATCAGTTGGCAGGCTTGTCCCCAGTCCCACAGTCACTTGTAGTACTGCAGTGGTCACTGTCCTAAGTGTGGTGTACCCTGGAGAGCTTGGACTACCCTGTTTGGTAAGAGAGCTTAGTCTACCCTGTTCCTCTCCCAGCAGGGTGTGGAACTCATCACCTCAAACTCACCTGGAGGGCGGGGCACAGCCAAGTGTTAAACTCTCAAAATGGTGCCAGCTGTGGGCTTGTGACCAGACAAAACAGAGATCCCTCCCAGAAAAGCATCATCCCATAGCAGGGTGTTGAGTATTATCTTGAGTATGTATAAGGGAGTCTGGACTCCCTGTCCCTCCTAAACCGGGCCACAGCTGCAGCCATGTCAACTCAAACTGAGGCCAAGGGCAGGGCACAGCCTGAACTTAAACTATGGAAACTGCACCTTGGGCCTGCAACCAGAGAGGCTGAGGTCCCTCGCAGGCAAGCAGCATGGGCAAGAAGCTATGGGGAATGCAGTCTGCTCACGTGTAAGTCTCAACTTCAGCCTTCAGCAGGGAGGCAGTAACTCTCCCAGGGGTGCATGGGAGTGCCTGGTCTCCCCTCTGCCTCCTTGCAGCAGTAAAGTGGCAGCAGCTGTCTGTAGATACCTGATGTCTGGGCTCTCAAAATGGTGCCCATCTGAGGCTGCCCAGGGTTCAGATGCCTGTGGGAGTGTGTGGGGGTTCCCTTTCTGGAGCAACATCTTTGGGCAGCTTCATATGTCAGGCCGGAGGCCCTAATGAGTCCGGGGTTTCTCCCACAGCCAAGATTATAAAAGCCTGTCTAGGAGTGTGGAGCCCAGGGGCTTTCTCTCTTACTGCTTCCCCACACATTCCAGGAGCCTCTCCCAGCTCAGTCAATCCCAGGTGGGCAAGCTGCCTCAAACCCTTTTCTTACTTCTGGTGCTTCCCATCTCTTCTCTGGTGAACCTCAGCATTCTCTCCTAGACCATTTGTTTGAAATGTGAGTATCTACTTGCTATTCTGGTTTTCTCTGTGGGGGAGACAAACATACCTGCATCTATTCAGCCGTTATGATTCATCTCCAAAGTCTATTCCAATTTATAGAAGTTTGAAAGGCTGCCTCTAGACTATCGGTGGTTTAATGTTAAAGACATTTATGAACACTAAACTTCTCTTTAAAATTTTTTATTGTTTTAATTGCCTCCTGTTTACCTTGTTTATAAGAAAAGGATGCCCACCCTAGGGCTGTGGGGATGGCAAAACACAGGACGTTAATTCTGGGTGGATAAAATCAACAGTAGATTATTAGCCCCACGTATGCTCACAGCCTGAGGGAGGACACTGCATGCTAAGTATGGCCACAAAGGTTGCATTTAGGAGCACCTAACAAGCAGGGGCTAAGGAAGGCAGGCTCTGTAGTGTCAAGAGAGTGAGGTGGTCCCTGGTTCCTGCAGGAAGAAGTGCTATCTCCATTCTGGGGCCTGTAGTCCCAAGCAAGATTCATTTTAAAAATGAACAGATGGTAGTCCGGGCGCGGTGGCTCACACCTGTAATCCCACCACTTTGGGAGGCTAAGGTGGGTGGATCACGAGGTCAAGAGATCGAGGCCATCCTGGCCAACATGGTGAAACCCCGTCTCTACTAAAAATACAAAAAAATTAGCCAGGCTTGATGGCACATGCATGTAGTCCCAGCTACTTGAGAGGCTGACGTGGGAGGATCCCTTGGGCCCAGGAGTTTGAGGCTGCAGTGAGCTATGATTATACCACTGCACTTTAGCCTGGGTGACAGCACAAATTCTGTCTCTAAAAAAATCAAGCAAGCAAGCAAACAAACAAACAAAAAACAACAAAAAAGAAGGGACTGGAAACCACCAATTCAATCAGAAAAAAAAATTGACTTTTAAGAGAATTCTTCTTGGCCTGGTGCAATGACTCACACCTGTAATCCTAGCACTTTGAGAGGCAGAAGTAAAATGATCACTTGAGGCCAGGAGTTCAAGACCAGCCTGGGCAACATAGTGACACCTCATACCTACAAAATATCTACAAAATATAAAAATTTAAAAAGAGAGAAATCTTCCTAACTGCAGCCTCAATTAACCTTTATTCTCTAGGTATACTGAAAAACTTACTGAATAGGCTTAGCTCAATTAAAGCTTAAAATTATTTTAAAAATAAATAATAAAGTACCTTACATAATGAGAAAAAAATAGTCAAAATAAAGCTCAAGATTTTAAGGCTTCATTTTAGAATCAAATCCTTGCCTACTTTTACTCCAATCAATTAAGTTTATGCCAAACCAGTATATAAAATTTTTACTAGTTATTATAATTGCCTAATTTAATATAAGATAAACAAGTTAATTAATTTAACTTGTGTAAGTTGTACAATATAAATAATTTAATATAAGTTAAATTCGAGTGTGAAAAGATTTACTGGCTCTATTAAAACTAAAAATAATAAGCAAGGTAATGGGTATGTTAATTAGCTTGATTTAATCTTTCCACAAAGGTACCACTGTAGGTTGGTATGACTTTCCCAGAACTCCGTTACATGAATTAGAACATCACATTGTATCAAATAAATGCACACAATTATAACTTGTCCATTAAAAAAATACTAATTGGCCCGCTTCAGTAGCAAGCACATGTAATCCCCACAACCCAGGAGGCTGAGGTAGGAGGATTCCTTGGGGCCAGAATTTCGAGACTAGCCTGTGCAACAGAGTGAAACCTCATCTGTAAAAATTTAAAAATTGTTCTAATTAGAATAATACTAATCAAAAATTGCTTTAACTAAAGCAAATGCTTTGGAAAGATTCAATATATCTGAATCAGCAAAGAGACATTGTTCTTATTTGCTAGAGGCAAAGCAATGTATTTTTTTAATTACTAAAATCTAGGATTTCCCAGTCAGACTATTAGGTAAATGTCCTTAAACTCACAGCATTTTTACAGAAAACCACAAGTAGATATTGCCAGCAATGCATTATCAACGGTGTTGCTGCCAGAAAGACAACGAGAGCTCTTTTCTGTAAGCTCACACTCACAGAGAAAATTATTTGGTATGTCTTAAAAGACTGGGAAATGAGGAGATATACCTAATGTAAATTACGAGTTAATGGGTGCAGCACACCAACATGGCACATGTATACATATGTAACAAACCTGCATGTTGTGCACATGTACCCTAGAACTTAAAGTATAATAATAAAAAAAAAGATTGGGAAATGAACAATCCAAAAATAGAATTAACAGTCCCACTTATAACATCAACAAAAGGAAAAATGGACCCATCATCAGTCACCAAGACCTGAGAACAGAGAGTGGCAGCCCCTTCACACAGGCGGCAGAGCAAGGAAGCTGTCAGCCGGCGAGCCTCCTGGAGTATACCTGAGATGGGCAGAACTGGGGACATCAGTTCTCTACAGCAGCCCTGCAATGAGGGGCTGGAGTGGTATAGAAAAAATTCCAACGCTTTTTGCTGGTAAGTGGCTCTACTCATTCATTTATCCCTGTCGCTGGTTCCCTTCTTGAAGCTTGAAAATAATCTGAACTTTCCATGTCAAGAGCAGCTGGCCTCCTCCCATACATTAATTTTCTGTATTGGCTAGGTATTGGCTGCAAACACAAGATTAAATTACACAGAGAGTCGGGTAGTGAAACTGCTCCCACTCAGGCTGAGTCACCAGATTCACCCTGAGGTGAATCTGAATCAGGCTGAGGTTTCTGGGGTTGGCTGTTAGCTTGGGTCTGCATAGCTACCTCTCAGAGAACACACTGGCCACAGCTCCCAAGCTGTAGCTGTTTCTGCCTCCCCTGACCCAGAACTGCTACTTCCCTCAACATTTCCAGTGATTCGCTGCATTTCATTTTGTCTTGTGTTTTCTACTGACGCCGCCTTATTTTTGTTTTATGTGCCTTACCTGATATTTTGGGGGTTATTCACATTTTTAAAATGTATTTTCATTTTCCCTGTAAGAGAGAGCCTGTGTTTCTGGCTTGCAAACCAGGCTGGAGATGGCACCTTCCCCAGAGCTCAGGAATTCTGGGTGAGGATTGAGTGTGGGGAATGTCATGAGATTTAGCCTGCTCCTGTAGGCAAAAGGACCTTTTGAAACACACAAGTGGGGATAGTTAGGTATTTCATACACATAACATAGTTGTGATACGAAAACCAGAGAAAGATAATCACCAAATATTCTAGGACACTGGTCCTCAATATTAGCATGCACAAGAGTCACTAGGGCTATGGATGAACATAGGTGTGATACAAATGCCAGAGAAAGATAATCACCAAATATTCTAGGACACTGGTCCTCAATATTAGTATGCATGAGAGCCACTAGGGCTATGGATGAAAATGCAAATTTCTGGGCCTTACTCCCAGAGATTCTGATTCTGTAAACCTGTGGGGAGTCCAGGAAACTGCATTTTCAAAAAGCACCTGTATTAGTCAATTTTCACACTGCTATGAAGAGCTGCCTGAGACTGGGTAATTTATAAAGAAAAGTGGTTTAATTGGCTCACAGTTCCGCTTGGCTGGGAAGGTCTCTGGAAATTTAAAATCATGGCAGAAGGCAAAGGGGAACCAAGGCGTATCTTACATGGTGGCAGGAGAGAGAGAAGGAGAAAGTGCCACACTTTTTAACCATCAGATCTCAGGAGAACTCACTCACTATCACGAGAAAAGAATGAGGGAAACTGCCCCCATGATCCAATCACCTCCCACCATGTCCCTCCCTAACATGTGGGGTAATTCAAGGTAAGATTTGGGTGGGGACACAGAGCCAAACCATATCAGCACCCATGACTTTAATAAATGGAGTTCGCCAATAACTTCTGTGAAAACAAAGACTAACCAAATAAGAAAGTAAAGGCTATCTATTCTACAACAAAGAAGTCAGCCACCATCACTTCCATTTTGGGAGAGACTCAAAGACCAGCAGAGGAGTAGGAAAGCTTTATAGTGGAAAAGGTATCACCCTTTTTTTCGCATGTTCCCTGATTGGAGGCTGTTGGCATGGGGAAGCTGAGGATAGCTAACTAGATGCACAGCATCCTATGGGATTGGTTTAGGGTACGTATTTGGCTTTCCTACGTTGCTCCTAAGTTAGAAACAGGAACAAAAATTTGGGAAGTTGTCAGTTATTAATAAAGTCCTGGCCATTTGGAGCTGACTGTTACTGGAGTTACTGTTTAGTTTCCTGGATTGTTACCAGAGAAAGTCTGACTTCCTACAAGTGTGACTTACAGCAAGTGGCTTCCTGGGCTGTTTATTGTAGAAAAGTGGGTTGATTTCCTAGGCAGGCTGCTGTAGGTTATGGGTCAGAGTTCTGTTTTTATATGTGGTCTGGCCATTGTCTGTATATTTTGTCTCTCATCTCTAAGAAATACAGCCATAAACCAAGCTCTTTTTGTAACACAGAGCAGAACTTCAATACAGGGGACTGCTTTCTTCATTATTGCTGTCATCTATTTATTGCTGTTTTTTGACAGTGATGATCTCAAGGCTAAAACGGCTGAACACCCCATTTAATTAGGGTAGTTCAGGGCTCTAACTTACATGCTTTACACAACCATTGCCTTCTTAGACATGGCAGATAACAAGCATGGAATATTATTGCTAGTCTTGGCTTTGTGGTGTAAAGCTGGTTTTCATACAGCTCCCAGAAAGCTCTCTATAGACATCAGTGGAGCCAAAAGTCTTCAAGCTTTATCCCATCTTATTTCCTGCTTCTCTTGTGCCCATGGGTCATTGTCTTTCCTGTGACAACTGAGGTTAAAGATAAATCTTGGATTTCTCCCTTTATGGCTTCCACAATGCTTATCTTCTTTGTCGTAATCCTGGATATCTACGTGGATTCCATTTGTTCAGTCAAAATGGAAGTTTCCAAATGTCCCCATGATTGATCCTTTCCTGTTTTTATTAGTGCTTTGGAAATTTCTGAATACATCCAACAACAGTCTGACTTCAGGCTATGAACAAAATGGCATACCAGGAAAGTGCAGAACACATCCTGTCTGGAGGAGTGATAGTGAGTACTAGGTCTTCATTTTGTCTACCAACGTCTTTTCATCTCCCTCTAAGAGAGGACGGAACGCTTTTTGCCTCTGTAGAATCATTCTATGATGTGTTGACCAGCAGTCTGGGTCTCATCTCAGATGTATTTCACACACTCTATGACAGATGTGTTTTAGTCATGATATTTATTGCTGCCCTGATGAAAAGATGGAATGCAATGGGATTTTTCTCCTATGGGTGCACCCAAATAGAAATTCTCTCTCAATTTATTAATAGACTTTTTCTTTTCTCCAAGAAAATTCCATTTGTATTTCAATTGGTATTAAAACAAACTTACAAGTGTTTTGAAGGAATTGACCTCTTTCCTAACATGCACCTTTCCACTCTGAGCAGCAGCTCTAATGTACTGTATTTCCTTGACACCATTACCAAGTATGAGCCACATCATCAATTTGATAGCAGATTTGTAAAAACCAAACCAAAACATTACATTACATCCAGAATGTGATGATTCTTCCAAATCACTTTCAGCCACTGGCAGCCATCACAGCGACAAGCTGTCTACTCCCACTCCTCCTCTGCAGGCTTAAGCTATTAGAAAATCTATTCTCTAACATATTTGAAAGTTCTAAGGTCAAACAAGTTTTAGGGCTGTTTGATTCAGC
Organism: Homo sapiens; assembly: GCF_000001405.40. Taxonomy (NCBI): domain Eukaryota; kingdom Metazoa; phylum Chordata; class Mammalia; order Primates; family Hominidae; genus Homo; species Homo sapiens. The sequence goes on along the minus strand of NC_000019.10, from coordinate 46,112,612 downwards.
CACTCATCCATGTCCTCAAGGTCCCAGCTTGTGTTCATCTATGCTTTGTGGTCCTGACTGTACTGGTTTCGCCTCCAGGCTCCTGGCACATGGATGGAACAGTTCTGGTATCACATCCAAACACAGCAATGTCCAGAGATCCAAAGAGATTCTCAGTCTTTTTCTTAGGAAGGAGGGACCTTCCTAGAAGCCCCACAGCTTTTTTCCTTTCTCATTGGAAAAACAGGGTCACTAGTCCACTCTGAAACCAATTTCTGACATGGGGTGGGGGCCACTATAATTATTTAAGGCCAAACAGAATGTACCCTCAGGTGGTGGTGGTGGTTTTTGTCATAATTGCAGATCTTGGACCTCCAAAATAAATGTGAAGCACAACAAAGAATACTTGCCTATTAGTTAAATTGCCTAATTTAAACTCTCAGTTTTGTTGAATTACTATTATTGGAAATTAAACTGCCTTTTGAAAGTTAGCTGGGAGCTTCTGACACACAGATGTTCGGCATCTCAGGGATAATTCTTCATAAAAGGAATAAACTGGTCACTCCAATTTCTCCTAGCTTTGAAAGTCGTAGAGTCTATTCTGCAGGACTATTTAATGAAGCAGTTTTGAATGCAACAGGAAAAGTTCCATGTAACAAAGCTTTCTGTTTCACCATTTCATCATAATGTAATCTTTTTTATTTGTACAGACTCGGGGTGTACATTTACAGGTTGTTACATGGATATACTTCATAATGGTGAGGTTTGGGTTTCTATTAATAGATTTTTCTAATGGCAAAACTTGTTTTTGTGTTAGTCAGTGGTTCAATTGATCCTCTAGGACTAGATACACATATTAACACCAGTCTCAGCTACGGGGCTGGTAGTAAACCTGATTGGTATCTATGCCCATAACAATACCTATTGAGCTACTCAATGAAGATGTGACTCATCTAATCATAGCCATTAGTATCATATACGTGGACACCATGACTGTGAAACAGTTACAGCCATTAATGAGGCATGAGTGCTAGAAGAAAGATGTATTTCCATATGTTTTGGCAGACACACTTGGCAATGTGGGTGTGATCATATCCATTATGCTCACAGAGCGGTGTGGGTGGCTTATTGCTTAACTCTTCTATTCTCTTTTTATTGCCATATGAATACCTCTCAGTGTTGTCCCATTAATTAAAGATGCCTGTCAGTTTATCAGGTCATCCTTTTGAGACTACCACCAGAATATCCAACAGATATACATACTTATTTTAAAAACTGAGGCTTCATATTACACTGAGACCTTCACTTTTTGATATCATTCTGCCACTATTGGGACAGGACCAACTGATATAGAGGTGACATCCAATGTGCTGGAACAAAGAATGGTACTGCAAGTTGTAGGAGTAAAGATGCTAGATTAAACAATTTAACAATTCAAGTGGAAAAAGGGTTACTTTCAACATATGTCTGATCTAAGAACTGGATTTTATAATGTTCTGGCTATAACAAAACAAACGAAGAGTATAAAGTACTGCAAAAGACGGTACTTACATCATGTAAGATAACTCAACAACTACCCTGGGGTATGAGCAATAAAGAATAAATGACTCAGTATTTATGTTGCTAGAAGTAAAAAAAATTGTACATAATTATAAAGAAACATGTCACCATATTTTAAAAAAATAACAAAGCTCCTCATTATTAAATCAAGGAATATTTCTTACAGGAAATTTAAATACAGAATGAAACATTAATTGTATAAGTAAAATAACTTATTTAAATTACATATAGAAACAGAATTTTAAAATATAAGATCATGATGTATCGTATCATCTTGGAAAACAGACAAATAGTAATGAGTTCTAATGAAGACAAAAATCACTTCTGGGTGTTTACTTCTTGTCAGAAGGTATCTCCACTATAAACTGTATTGCATGCTTAAAACAAACACCTACAGTAAACATTGAACAACTTTTTGCATAGCCAAAGGATAAAATAGCAAAAAAGTTGTATTTTTATGGATTCTCTGTGTATAAAACTGGTTCCTAATTATAACAAGTCCATTAAGTAAACTCTACATTGCCACTTTAATTGTATACTAAATTATTTGGAAAAATTGCTGCCACTGATATGAAACAAGCAATGAGAATATGAAAGTATAATATTAGTTTTTGATGTATCATAAAACCAACACTGGAGAGCCACAGGGGACAAGGGGAGCCCCCATCCTCAGCCAAAAAAGGCAGTGAGTGATTGTGTTGTTGCAGGAATCAGGAGGACCAGAGAGACCTGAGGGTGAAATACAGGAGCATCTTTATTGAGTACACTCAGACCCAGCAGACTTAACATCCAAAAACTGCGCCCTGAACAAAGACAGGGTCTTGCTTATACACCTTCTTCTGAGTGGCATGAAAAGTGAATGTACAGAAGCAGAACAAAGGCAGTTTATCAAACAGTGACAGGTTCATAACTCAGGTTTACGTGTGTCTCTTGCTATGTGGCCCCGATGGCTGTTATCTAGCTTATGCTCAAAGGAATCTTGTCCAAACTTATGTCCTTTGCTGTGGTGCCTGGAGGGCTACAATCTAGGCTTACTCGAACATGTCTTGTGACCTTTGTTATGCAGCTCAGACGAAAAACAGAAACTTACAGTTATTAGTGTCAGGCCTCTGAGTCCAAGCTAAGCCATCATATCCCCTGTGACCCGCATGTATACATCCAGATGGCCTGAAGCAACTAAAGATCCACAAAAGAAGTGAAAATAGCCAGTTCCTGCCTTAACTGATGACATTCCACCATTGTGATTTGTTCCTGCCCCACCCTAACTGATCAATTGACTTTCTGACAATACACCCTCCCCACCCTTGTGATAACTACTTTGTGATATTCCCCCACCCTTGTGAATGTACTTTGTATGATACACCCTCCCCACCCTTGAGAAGGTAATTTGTAATATCCTCCCCTACCCTTAACAAGGTACTTTGTAATATTCTCCCCCACCCTTAAGAAGGTACTTTGGGCCGGGCGCGGTGTCTCACGCCTGTAATCCCAGCACTTTGGGAGGCCGAGGTGGGTGGATCACGAGGTCAGGAGATTGAGACCATCCTGGCTAACATGGTGAAACCCCATCTCTACTAAAAATACAAAAAAAATTAGCTGGGTGTGGTGGCGGGCACCTGTAGTCCCAGCTACTCGGGAGGCTGAGGCAGAAGAATGGCGTCAACCTGGGAGGTGGAGCTTGCAGTGAGCCAAGATTGCGCCACTGCACTCCAGCCTGGGCAACGGAGCAAGACTCCGTCAAAAAAAAAAAAAAGTACTTTGTAATATTCTCCCCATCCTTGAGAATGTACTTGGTAAGATCCACCCCCTGCCCACAAAACATTGCTCCTAACTCCATTGCCTATTCCAAACCTATAAGAACTAATGATAATCCCACCACCCTTTGCTGACTCTCTTTTTGGGCTCAGCCCACCTGTACCCAGGTGATTAAAAAGCTTTATTGCTCACACAAAGCCTGTTTGGTGGTCTCTTCATACAGACACACGTGACATTTGGTGCCAAAGACCCGGGGGAGGGGGACTCCTTCGGGAGACCAGTCCCCTGTCCTCACCCTCACTCCATGAGGAGATCCACCTACCATCTTGGGTCCTCAGACCAACCAGCCCAAGGAACATCTCACCAATTTCAAATCAGGTAAGCGGTCTTTTCACTCTCTTCTCCAACCTCTCTTGCTGTTGCTCCACCCTTCAATCTCTCCCTTCCTTAATTTTGGTTCCTTTCCCTTTCTGGTAGAGACAGAAGAGACGTGTTTTATCCATAAACTCAAAACTCCAGCGCTGGTCACTCCAGACAGTCTTCCGTTGGTGTTTAATCACTGTGGGGATGCCTGCCTGATTATTCACCCACATTTCAGGGATGTCTGATCACTGCGGGGATGCCTGCCTTGATCCTTCACCTTGGTGGCAAGTACCACCTCCCCTGGGTGGCAAGCACCACCTCCCCTGGGTGGCAAGTACCACTCCCTCCTCCTCCATGTCTCTACCCTCTCTTTTCTCTGGGCTTGCCTCCTTCACTATGGGCAACCTTCCACCCTCCATTCCTCCTTCTTCTCCCTTAGCCTGTGTTCTTAAGAACTTAAAACCTCTTCAACTCTCACCTGACCTAAAACCTAAGCATTTTATTTTCTTCTGCAACATTACTTGGTGTCAATACAAACTTGATAATGGCTCTAAATGGCCAGAAAATGGCACTTTTGATTTCTCCATTCTACAAGACCTAGATAATTTTTGTCAAAAAATGGGCAAACGGTCTGAGATGCCTGATGTCCAGGCATTCTTTTACACCTCGGTTCCTCCCTAGTCTCTGCTCACAATGCGACCCATCCCAAATCCTTCTTTCTCTCCTGACTGTTCCTTCAGTCTCCACCCCAAGCTCTGAGTCCTTTGAATCCTCCTTTACTACAGACTCATCTGACCTCTCCCCTCCTCCCCAGGCTGCTCCTCGCCAGGCTGAGCCAGGTCCCAATTCTTCCTCGGCCTCCACTCCCCCACCCTATAATCCTTCTATCACCTCCCCTCCTCACACCTGGTCTGGCTTACAGTTTTGTACCGCAACTAGCCCTCCGCCACCTGCCCAACAATTTCCTCTCAAAGAGGTGGCTGGAGCTAAAGGCATAGTCAAGGTTAATGCTCCTTTTTCTCTATCAGACCTTTCCCAAATCAGTTAGCATTTAGGCTCTTTTTCACCAAATATAAAAACCCAGCCCAGTTCATGGCCCATTTGGCAACAACCCTTGGATGCTTTACTGCCCTAGACCCAGAGGGGCCAGAAGGCTGTCTTATTCTCAATATGCATTTTATTATCCAATCCAGTCCCGATATTAGAAAAAGTTCCAAAAATTAGATTCCGGCCCTCAAACCCCACAAAAGAACTTAATTAACCTCGCCTTCAAGGTGTACAATAATAAAAAAGAGGCAGCCAAGTGCCAACATATTTCTGAGTTGCAATTACTTGCCTCCACTGTGAGAGAAACCCCACCCACACATTTCTAGCACACAAGAACTTTGAAACTCCTAAACCACAGCAGCCAGGCATTCCTCCAGGACCTCCTCCCCCAGGATCTTGCTTCAAGTGCTGGAAATCTGGCCACTGGGCCAACGAATGCCCACAGCCTGGGATTCCTCCTAAGCCATGTCCCATCTGTGCGGACCCCACTGGAAATCAGACTGTCCAATTCGCCTAGCAGCCACTCCCAGAGCCCCTGGAACTCTGGCCCAAGGCTCTCTGACTGACTCCTTCCCAGATCTTCTCAGCTTAGTGGCTGAAGACTGACGCTGCCCGATCACCTTGGAAACCTCCTGGACCATCACAGCTTTAGGTAACTCTTACAGTGGAGGGTAAGTCCATCCCCTTCTTGATCAATATGGAGGCTACCCACTCCACATTACCTTCTTTTCAAGGGCCTGTTCCCCTTACCTCCATAACTGTTGTGGGTATTGACGGCCAGGCTGCGAGACCCCTTAAAACTCCCCCACTCTGGTGCCAACTTGGACAACATTCTTTTATCCACTCCTTTTTAGTTATCCCCACTTGCCCAGTTACCTTATTAGGTCAAGACATTTTAACTAAATTATCTGCTTCCCTGACTATTCCTGGGCTACAGCCACACCTCACTGCCACCCTTTTCCCCAGTTCATAGCCTCCTTCGAATCCTCCCCTTGTATCTCCCTACCTTAATCCACAAGCATGGGATCCCTCTACTCCCTCCTTGGCGACTGATCATGCACCCCTTATCATCCCATTAAAATCTAATCACCCTTACCATGCTCAACGCCAATATCCCATCCCACAGCAGGCTTTAAAAAGGTTAAAGCCTGTTACCACCAGCCTGTTACAACATGGCCTCTTAAAGCCTACAAACTCTCCTTACAACTCTCCTATCCTACCTGTCCAAAAACCAGACAAGTCTTACAGGCTGGTCCAAGATCTTTGCCTTATCAACCAAATTGTCTTGCCTATCCACCCCATAGTGCCAAACCCATATACTCTCCTATCCTCAATACCTCCCTCCACAACCCATTATTCTGTTCTGGATCTGAAACATGCTTTCTTTACTATTCCTTTACACCCTTCATCCCAGCCTCTCTTCACTTTCACTTGGACTGACCCTGACACCCATCAGTCCCAGCAACTTACCTGGGCTGTACTGCCACAAGGCTTCAGGGACAGCCCCCATTACTTCAGTCAAGCCCTTTCTCATGATTTACTTTCTTTCTGTCCATCTGCTTCTCACCTTATTCAAAATTTTGACAACCTTCTCCTTTATAGCCCACCCTACAAGTCTTCCCAACAGGGCACCCTCCTGCTCCTCCAACATCTATTCTCAAAAGGATATTGCATATCCCCCTCCAAAGCCCAAATTTCTTCCTCATCCGTTACCTATCTCAGCACCTTTCTTCATAAAAACACACGTGCTCTCCCTGCTGATTGTGTCCGGCTAATCTCCCAAACCCCAACCCCTTCTACAAACAACAACTCCTTTCCTTCCTAGGCATGGTTAAGGTACTTTCTCCTTTGGATATCTGGTTTTGCCATCCTGACTAAACCATTATATAAACTCACAAAAGGAAACTTAGCTGACCCCATAAATCCTAAATCCTTTCCCCATTCCCCTTTCCATTCCTTAAAAAACAACCCTAAAAGCTGCTCTCCCTAACTCATCCCAACCCTTTTCATTACACACAGCTGAAGTACAGGGCTGTGCAGTCAGAATTCTTACACAAGAGCTGGGACTGCACCCTGTAGCCTTTCTGTCCAAACAACTTGACCTTACTGTTTTAGACTAGCCCTCATCTCTGTGTGCAGCAGCTGCTGCTGCTCTAATACTTTTAGAGGCCTTCAAAATCACAAACTATGCTTAACTCACTCCCTACAGTTCTCATAACTTCCAAAATCTATTTTCTTCCTCACACCTGATGCATATACTTTCTGCCCCTGGCTCCTTCAGCTATATTCACTCTTTGTTGAGTCTGCAACGATTACCATTGTTCCTGGCCCGGACTTCAATCCAGCCTCCCACATTATTCCTGATACCCCACCTGACCCCCATAACTGTATCTCTCTGATCTAACTTGTATTCACTCCATTTCCCCATATTTCCTTCTTTCCTGTTCCTCACCCTGATCACACTTGGTTTATTGATGGCAGTTCCACCAAGCCTAATCACCAATCACTAGCAAAGGCAGGCTATGCTATAGTATCTTCCACATCTATCATTGAGGCTACTGCTCTGCCCCACTCCACTACCTCTCAGCAAGCCAAACTCATTGCCTTAACTCGAGCCCTCACTCTTGCAAAAGGACTACGCATCAATATTTATACAGACTCTAAATATGCCTTCCATATCCTGCACCATCATGCTGTTATATGGGCTGAAAGAGGTTTCCTCATTACACAAGGGTCCTCCATCATTAATGCATCTTTAATAAAAACTCTTCTCAAGGCCGCTTTACTTCCAAAGGAAGCTGGAGTCATTCACTGCAAGGGCCATCAAAAGGCATCAGATCCCATTGCTTAGGGCAACGCTTATGCTGATTAGGTAGCTGAAGAAGCAGCTAGCATTCCAACTTCTGTCCCTCATGGCCAGTTTTTCTCCTTCTCATCAGTCACTCCCACCTACTCTCCCACTGTAACTTCCACCTATCAATCTCCTCTCACACAAGGCAAATGGTTCTTGGACCAAGGAACATATCTCCTTCCAGCCTCACAGGCCCATTCTATTCTGTCATCTTTTCAGAACCTCTTCCATGTAGGTTACAAGCCACTAGCCTGCCTCTTAGAACCTCTCATTTCCTTTCCATCGTGGAAATCTATCCTCAAGGAAATCACTTCTTAGTGTTCCATCTGCTATTCTACTACTACTCAGGGATTGTTCAGGCCCGCTCCCTTCCCTACACATCAAGCTCAGGGATTTGCCCCTGTCCAGGACTGGCAAATTGATTTACTTACATGCCCTGAGTCAGGCAACTAAAATACCTCTTGGTCTGGGTAGACACTTTCACTGGATGGATAGAGGCCTTTCCCACAGGATCTGAGAAGGCTACCGCAGTCATTTCTTCCCTTTTTCCAGACATAATTCCTTGGTTTGGCCTTCCTACCTCTATACAGTCTCATCACAGACCAGCTTTTATTAGTCAAATCACCCAAGCAGTTTCTCAGGCTCTATTCAGTGGAAGCTTCATACCCCTTACCGTCCTCAATCTTCAGGAAAGGTAGAACGGACTAATGGTCTTTTAAAGACACACCTCACCAAGCTCAGCCTCCAACTTAAAAAGGACTGGACAGTACTTTTACCTCTTGCCCTTCTCAGAATTAGAGCCTGTCCTCGAGATGCTACAGGGTACAGTCCATTTGAACTTTTATATGGATGCACTTTCTTGCTCGGACCCAACCTTGCCCCAGACACCAGCCCTCTAGGCGACTATCTTCCAGTCTTCCAGCAGGCTAGACAGGAAATTTGCCAGGCTGCTCATCTTCTCTTGCCTACTCCAGATTCCCAGCCATATGAAGACACCCTAGCTGGATGATAAGTTCTTGTTAAAAATCTGACCCTTCAAACTCTACAACCTCGATGGACTGGACCCTACTTAGTCATCTCTAGTACCCCAACTGCTGTCCGCCTGCAGGACCCTCCCCATTGGGTTCACCATTCCAGAATAAAGCTTTGTCTGTCAGACAGACAGCCTGATCTCTCCTCTTCCTCCTGGAAGTCGCAAGTACTCAACCCTACTTCCCTTAAACTCACCCGCATTCCTAAATGATAATAGTAACCCTTATAAGCCTAATACATCCTATCATTTTTATTAGGTCTCTTCGTCCTTACCCTACTCTTCCCAACAAAGCTTTACGCATTCACCCCTCCCACTTGGATTGCACCCCAAAAACTTGTCATCCCTACTATCTTCTGTCTAGTCATATTCCTATTCACCATTCTCAACTACTCATAAGTGTCGTGCCCCTGTTTACACTGCCAGTTTACATTTTTCCTCCAAACCATCACAGCGGATATCTCCTAGTACTATCCCCAATCCGCCACTCTTGACTCCCTCTTGGAGTGGATAGATGATCTTTGCTCACAGGGCACACTCCAATACTTTCACCCTGATGAAGTCCTATTCTTTACTTTTACACTCACTCTTATTCTCATTCCCGTTCTTGTGCCACCCTCTACCTCTCCCCAGCTACCTCCACCACACTATCAATCTCACTCACTCTCTCCTAGCCGTTTCTAAACCTTCTTTAACAAACGATTGTTGGCTTTGCATTTCTTTTTCCTCCAAAATCGCCGAGGCTTTGACTTACTGCTAAAAAAAAAGGGGACTCTGTATATTTTTTAAAAGAAGAGTGTTGCTTTTACCTAAATCAATCTGGCCTGGTATATGACAACATCAAAAACTCAAGGATTGAGCCCAAAAACTCACCAACCAAGCAAATAATTACACTGAACCCCCTTGGGCACTCTCTAATTGGATGTCCTGGGTCCTCCCATTTCTTAGTCTTTTAATATCTGTTTTTCTCCTTCTCTTATTTGGACCTTGTGTCTTCTGTTTAGTTTCTCAATTCATACAAAACTGCATCCAGGCCATCACCATTCTATATGACAAATGTTCCTTCTAATAAACCCACAATATCACCCCTTACCCCAAAATCTTTCTTTAATCTTTCCCACTCCAGGTTCCCATGCTGCCCCTAATCCTGCTCAAAGCAGCCATGAGAAAAATTGCCCATTATCTCTCCATACCACCCCCAAAAATATTTTGCCGCCCCAACACTTCACCGCTATTTTGTTCTATTTTTCTTATTAATATAAGAAGACAGAAATGTCAGGTCTCTCAGCTGAATCTAAGCCATCATATCCCCTGTGACCTGCACATATACATCCAGATGGCCTGAAGCAACTTAAGATTCACAAAAGAAGTGAAAACAGCCAGTTCCTGCCTTAACTGATGACATTCCACCGTTGTGATTTGTTCCTGCCCCACCCTAACTGATCAATTGACTTTGTGACAATACACCCTCCCCGCCCTCGCAATAATGTACTTTGTGATATTCCCTTGCCTTTGTGAATGTACTTTGTACTATACACCCTCCCCACCATTAAGAAGGTACTTTGTAATATTCTCCCCCACACTTAAGAAGGTACTTTGTAATATTCTCCACATCCTTGAGAATATACTTTGTAAGATCCACCCGCTGCCCGCAACAAAATTGCTCCTAACTCCACCGCCTATCCCAAACGTATAAGAACTAATGACAATCCCACCACCCTTTGCTGACTCTCTTTTCGGACTCAGGCTGCCTGCACCCAGGTGATTAAAAAGCTTTATTGCTTACACAAAGCCTGTTTGGTGATCTCTTCACACAGACGCGCGCATGAAATTAGCTACAGAAAAACAGGACCTCATAAAACTTGCAGAGTGGGTACAATCACACACTGGAGGGGGTTCAAAGGGACTTTTACTTATGCTAAAGACACAGGGAAAATTTACTTCTTTGTTACCCCTGGGAAAGTCTCCAGAGCACATTCCTTCCAGCTCCAGCCACTTAGATAATGTTATCAGGTCCTCACCTGGGTCCAGGCTATGCCTGTTACTGCCCTTGGGATGTGTCAGCATAGTACAGAAAGCTTGCCTTTTTTAAACTTATTTTTCTCTCTCTAACGTTCTCTCTTTATTTGCCCACCTCAATGTTACCTAGCCTTGGAAACTGCTTTTTTCATGGATGTGCAACCTGTGAATCAGGAGATCTCACTCATGAGCCCACACCACCAGGGCCTTAGGTCCCAACCACAGAGCTGCACAGTCTCAACAGCGGTTGGGCCGGAGTCTGCCTAAGACTACCGAGTTCTGGGGAGGAGGGCCAGCCATCATCACTGCAACTGCAGCTGCCTGCTGCTTACGACGTCTGAGCTCCCATCACTGCGGCTGCCTAAAAGGCTGAACCCCCACTGGGGAAGGGCAACAGCCATCACTACAGCTCGGGGCTGCCGTTTTTCCCCTGCTGGTGCCAGGGAGATTGGATGTCTTGGACCCAGAAGGTATTCCCCACAGTGGAGCACACCAGTTGTGGCAGATTGTGGACTCTGCCTCTTTAGGCTGGACCCTGACCCATCCCTCCTCACTGGGCGAGGCCTCCCTGCAGGAACTTCAGCTACCCCAGCCAGGGCCTTAGGGAAAAGATTCTGATCTCCCTGAGCCTGAGCCCCTAGTGGGAGGGGTGGCCATGGCCTTCACAAACCAGCAGACTTACTTTCCTCCACTAGCTCTGAGGAATCCAGGCAGCCCAGATGAGTGGGTTTCCCCCCAGCACAGCACATCCCCTCCACCAAGGGACAACTAGAGTGTTTCATTAAGTGGGTCCCGGATCCTGTGCCCCGCGACTGGGTGAGACCCCCACCAACCAGGGGTCACCAGACACCTTATACAGAAGCGTTCCTACCAGCATCAGGTCAGTGCCCCTCGAGGACAGAGATCCCAGAGGAAGGAGCAGGCATCCATCTTTGCTGTTCTCCAGCTTCCTCGGGTGACATCTCCAGCTGCAGAAGGGACCCAGGTGAATAGGGCCTGAAGTGAACCCTCAGCAAACTGCAGCAGTCCTACAGAAGAGGGGCCTGACTGTTAAAGAAAAACAAACTAACAGAAAGCAACAACAGCATCAACAAAGAAGTCACCACAAAAACTTCATCCAAAGGTCAGCAGCCTCAAACTAGACAAACTTATGAAGATGAGAAAGAATGAATGAAAAAAAACACTGAAAGGAAATTAAATTTTGGGACCCCAAATGCATCTGGCTAAAAGGAAGAGTCAAGCTGGGAACTGGGTCATGCAAACTTGCCTCCCACTTTCAGTTCCTAAATAAGATGGCTACAAGATGAAAAGCTACATGCCTCCCCCATATTTGCCCACAAGGATATTCCTAGTGAATGGTTAAAACTTCACCATGGCAATGCAAATTGATAGCTTATCTTTCCAGGTGCTGTCATCCTGGCCCACAGACACTAATGCATATCTGATTGTTTCCCTACCACATTCTGTTTGTGTTATCTTATGTAAAATGCTGATTCCCCACATTTTTCCTCTGCCCCTTTTATGTCCTTGTATGTAAAAATGCAGATTCACTTGCATGAAAACTGTATACTTCTCAATATCCCACCCTTTCCCCTTTAAATTTGGAGCCCTTAAAATCATCTTCAGAGAAAGGCATAGACCTGTTTCCCGGGTGCATCCTTAACTTTGGCAAATAAATCTCCTAAAATGATTGAGACTTTTCTTGTCATTTTCCTTGATTAACAGTCAGCAGCCTCAAAGATTGAAACTAGACAAACTCATATAGATGAGAAAGAATCAATGAAAAAACGCTGAAAACTGAAAAGGCCAGAGTGCCTCTCCTCCTCCAAATGATCACAACTCCTCTCCAGCAAGGGTACAGAACTGGGTGGAGGCTGAGATGGATGAGTTGACAGAAGGCTTCAGAAAGTAGGTAATAAACTTTGCTAAGCTAAAGGAGCATGTTTAACCCAATGCAAAGAAGCCAAGAACCATGATAAAGGGTCATAGGAGCTGCTAACTAGAATAACCAGTTTAGAGAGGAACATAAATGACCCGATGGAGCTGAAGAACACAGCACAAGAACTTCGTGATGCGAACACAGGTATCAAGCAGAAGGATAAATATCAGAGCTTGAATACTATCTTGCTGAAATAAGGCAAGCAGACAAGACTGAGAAAAAAAGAATGAAAAGGAATGAACAAGCACAGGCTCGGTGACTCATCCCTGTAATCCCAGCACTTTGGAAGGCTGAGGCAGGTGGATCACGAGGTCAGGAGTTCAAGACCAGCCTGGATAAGATGGTGAAACCCCGTTTCTACTAAAAATACAAAAATTAGCCAGGCGCAGTGGCAGGCGCCTGTAATACCAGCTACTTGGGAGGCTAAGGCAGGAGATCACTTGAACTCGGGGGGCAGAGGTTGCAGTGAGCTGAGATTGTGCCACTGCACTCCAGCCTGGGTGACAGAGTGAGACTCCGTCTCAAAAAAAAAAAAAGAAAGAAAGAAAAAGAGCAAACAAAACCTCCGAGAACTATGAGACTATGTAAAAAGACCAAACCTATGACTGATAGGAGTACATGAAAGAGATGGGGAGAAAGGAACCAAGTTGAAAAACACACTTCAGGCTATCATCCAGAAGAACTTCCCCAACCCAGCAAGAGAGGCCAACATTCAAATTCAGGAAATCCAGAAAATCCCAGTAGGATACTCCATGAGAAGATCAACCCAAAGACACATAATCATCAGATTCTCCAAGAATGTAATGAAGGAAAAAATGTTAAAACAGCCAGAGAGAAAGGCCAGGTCACCTACAAAGGGAAGCCCATCAGACTAACAGTGGACCTCTCAGCAGAAACCCTACAAGCCAGAAGAGAGTGGAGGCCAATATTCATCATTCTTAAAGAAAATAATTTCCAACCCAGAATTTCATATTTGGCTAAACTAAGCTTCATAAGCAAAGGAGAAATAAAATCCTTTTCAGACAAGCAAATGCTGAGAGAATTCATCACCACCAGGCCTGCCTTGCAAGAGCTCCTGAAGGAAGCACTAAATATGGAAAGGAAAAACCACTATCAGCCACTGCAAAGACATGCTGAAGTACAAAGACCAACGACACTATGAAGAAACTGCATCAACTAGTCTGCAAAATAACCAGCTAGCATCATGATGACAGGATCAAACACACATAACAATATTAACCTTAAATGTAAATGGGCTAAATGCTCCAATTAAAAGACACAGATTGGGCCTGGCACAGTGGTTCATGCATGTTGTGTAATCCCAGTACTTTGGGAGGCCGAGGCGGGTGGATCACCTGAGGTCAGAAGTTCGAGACCAGCCTGACCAATATGGTGAAACCACATATCTACTAAAAATACAAAAATTAGCCAGGCATGGTGGCATGCACCTGTAGTCCCAGCTACTTGGGAGGCTGACGCAGGAGAATCACTTGAATCCAAGAGGCAGAAGTGCAGTGAGCTGAGATCATACCACTGCACTCCAGCCTGGGTGGCAGAACGAGACTCCATCTCAAAAAAAAAAAAAAAAAAAGACACAGATTGGCAATGTGGATAAAGAGTCAAGACCCATTGGTGTGCTGTATTCAAGATTCAAGAAGCCCATCTCCATGCAATGATACACATAGGCTCAAAATAAAGGGATGAAGGAAAATTTACCAAGCAAATGAAAAGCAGGAAAAAGCAGGGGTTGCAATCCTAGTTTCTGACAAAACAGACTTTAAACCAGCAAGGTTCAAAAAAGACAAAGAAGGGCATTACATAATCGTAAAGGGATCAATACAGCAAGAAAAGCTAACAATCCTAAATATATATGCACCCAATACAAGAGCACCCAAATTCATAAAACAAGCTCTTAGAGACCTACAAAGAGACTTAGACTCCCACACAATAATAGCGGGAGACTTTAACACCCACTGTCAATATCAGACTATCATTAAGACAGTAAATTAACAAGGGTATTCAGGACTTGAACTCAGCTCTGCATCAGGTGGACCTGATAGATATCTACAGAACTCTCTACCCCAAAACAACAGAATAAGCATTCTTCTCAGTGCCACATGGCACTTACTCAAAAACTGATCTCATAATTGGAAGTAAAACACTCTTTAGCAAATGCAAAGGAACTGAAATCACAACAGTCTCTCAGACCACAGTGCAATCAAATTAGAACTCAAGGTTTAAAAACTCACTCAAAACCACATAACTACATGAAAATTCAACAACCTTCTCCTGAATGACTCCTGGGTAAACAATGAAATTAAGACAGAAGTAAAGAAGTCCTCTAAAAACAATGAGAACAAGAGACAATGTACCAGAATCTCTGGGATGCAGCTAAAGCAGTATTAAGAGGGAAATTTATAGCACTAAATCCCTACATCAGAAAGCTAGAAAGCTCTCAAATCGACACCCTAATATTGCAACTAAAAGAACTAGAAAACCAAGAACAAATCCCAAAGCTAACAGAACACAAGAAATAACCAAGATCAGAATGGAACTGAAGGAGATAGAGACACAAAAAACTCTCCAAAAAAATCAATGAATCTAGGAGCTGGTTTGAAAAGAAATTAATAAAATCAATAGACTGCTAGCTAGACTAAAAAAGAAGAGAGAAGAATCAAACAGACACAATAAAAAATGATAAAGAGGATAGCACCACTGACCCTGCAGAAATACAAACAGCCATCAGAAAAACATTATAAACACCTCTACGCAAATAAACTAGAAAATTTAGAAGAAATGGACAAATTTCTGGACACATACACCCTTCCAACACTAAACCAGGAAGAAGTCAAATCTCTGTATAGACCACTAACAAGTTCTGAAGTCGAGGCAGTAATAAATAGTCTACCAACCAAAAAAAGCCCAGGACCAGATGGATTCACAGCTGAATTCTACCAGAGGTACAAAGAGGAGCTGGTACCATTTCTTCTGAAACTATTCCAAACAATTGAAAAGGAGGGACTTCTCTCTAACTCATTTATGAGGCCAGCATCATCCTGATACCAAAATCTGGCAGAGATACAACAAAAAAGTAAAACTTCAGGCCAATATCCCTGATGAATACCAACGCAAAAATCCTCAAAATACTAGCAAACCAAATCCAGCAGCATATCAGAAAGCTTATCCACCACAATCAAGCTGGCTTCATCCATGGGATGCAAGGCTGGTTCAACATATGCAAATCAGTAAATGTAATTCATCACATAAACAGAACTAATGACAAAAACCACACAATTATCTCAATAGATGCAGAAAAACGCCTCTCATAGAATTAAATATCCCTTCATGTTAAAAAACTCTCAGTAAACTAGGTATTGATAAAACATAGCTCAAAATAAGAGCCATTTATGATAAACCCACAGCCAATATCATACTGAATTGGCAAACCTGGAAGTATTCCCTTCGAAAACTGGCACAAGACAAGGATACCCTCTCTCACCACTCCTGTTCAACATAGTATTGGAAGCTATGGCCAGGGCAATCAGGCAAGAGAAAGAAATAAAGAGTATTCAAATAGGAAGAGAGAAAGTCAAATTGTCTATGTTTGCAGATGACATGATCCTATAACTAGAAAACCCCATTGTCTCAGCCCAAAAGCTCCTTAAGCTGACAAGCAACTTCAGCAAAGTCTCAGGATATAAAATCATTGTGCAAAAATCACAAGCATTCCTATACACCAACAACAGACAAGCAGAGAGACAAATCATGGATGAACTCCCATTCACAATTGCTACAAAGAGAATAAAATACCTAGAAATACAGCTAACAAGGGATGTGAAGAACCCCTTCAAGGAGTACTACTAACCACTGCTCAAGGAAATCAGAGAGGACACAAACAAATAGAAAAACATTCCACACTTGTGGATAGGAAGAATCAGTATCATGAAAATGGCCATACTGCCCAAAGTAATTTATAGATTCAATGATATTCCCATCAAACTACCATTGACATTCTTCACAGAATTAGAAAAAAACTGCTTTAAAATTCATATGGAACCAAAAAAGAGCCCATATAGCCAAGACAATCCTAAGCAAAAAGAACAAAGCTAGAAGTATCACACTACCTGACTTCAAACTATATGACAAGGCTACAGCATGGTACTGGTACCAAAACAGACACACAGACCAATGGAACAGAATAGAGATCTCAAAAATAAGTCCACACATCTACAACCATCTAATCTTTGACAAACCTGACACAGACAAGCAATGGGGAAAGGATTCCCTATTTAATAAATGGTGCTGGGAAAACTGGCTACCCATATGCAGAAAATTGAAACTGGACCCCTTCCTTACATCTTACACAAAAATTAACTCAAGATGGATTGGATTCGAGACTTAAGTGTGAAACCCAAAACTATAAAAACCCTAGAAGAAAATCTAGGCAACACCATTCAGGACATAAGCATGGGAAAAGATTTCATGACCAAAACACCAAAAGCAGTTGCAACCAAAGCAAAATTGACAAATGGCACCTAATTAAACTAAAGAGTTTCTGCACAGCAAAAGAAATTATCATCAGCATGAACAGACAACCTGCAGAATGGGAGAATGTTTTTGCAATCTATCCATCTGACAAAGGTCTAGTATCTAGAATCTACAAGGAACTTAAACAAATTTACAAGAAAAAAAAACAACCCATCAAAAAGTAGGCAAAGGATATAAACAGACACTTCTCAAAAGAAGACATTTATGTGACACACAAACATATGGAAAAAAGCTCAACATCACTGATCATTAGAGAAATGCAAATCAAAATCACAACAAGATACTATCTCATGCCAGTCAGAATGGTGATTATTTAAAAAGTCAAGAAACAACAGTTGCTGGCAAGGCTGTGGAGAAACAGGAATGCTTTTATACTGTTGGTGGGAATGTAAATTAGTTCAACCATTGTAGAAAACAGTGGCAATTCCTCAAGGATCAAGAACCAGAAATACCATTTGACCCAGCATTCCCATTACTGGGTATATACACAAAGGAATATAAATCATTCTATTATAAAGATACATGCACATGTATGTTTACTGCAGCACTACTCACAATAGCAAAGACATGGAATCAGCCCAAATGCCCATCAACGATAGACTAGACAAAGAAAACATGGCACATATACACCATGGAATACTATGTAGCCATAAAAAGGAATGAGATCATGTCCTTTGCAGGGACATAGATGAAGCTGGAAGCCATTATCCTCAGCAAACTAACACAGGAACAGAAAACCAAATACTGCATGTTCTCACTTGTAAGTGAGAGCTGAACAATTAGAACACATGGACACAGAGAGGGGAACAACACACACTGGGGCCTGTCAGTGGGGGCAGGGGAGGGGAAAGCATCAGGATAAATAGCTAACGCATGCAGGGCTTAATACTAGGTGATGGGTTGATAGGTGCAGCAAACCACCATGGCACACGTTTACCTGTGTGACAAACCTGCATGTCCTGAACATGTATCCCAGAACTTAAAATACAATAAAATTTAAAAACACACAAAAAAAAAAGAAAAAGAAAAAAACAAAATTACAGCACAACAAAAACAGATTGGGGTGAGGTAATGGAGACTTTCACTTTCAGCTCTATAGACTTCTATCATTTTGAATAGGACATATATATTCATACATTGCTTATCCAATAAAATCAATCTAAATATTTTTTTAAAACCAACCCCTCTGCAAAATAAGTTTTCTTACTTTTGATAAAAAGTAAAACTCAATTGGCCATTTTTGTGTGGGTCTATTTCTGGATATTCCATTACATTCCATCAATCTATATGTTCTTCCATTCACCAATAAGATACTGTCTTGATTACTACACCTTTATAAAAAGCCTCAGAATCAGGTCCCTAAACTTTGCTCTTCTTTTACAAAATTGTCTTAGCTATTCTAGTTCTTTGGCCTTTCCTTACACATTTTAGAATCAGCTTTACAATACTGACCCCCTACCCCTGGCAAAAAAAAAAAAAAAAAAAAATCCTCCAAGGCTGTTAAGTTTGCTTTGAATGTACATATCAAGGTGAAGAATACTGACATCTAACAATGAGTCTTCCAGTCCATGGCTACAGTATATCTCTCCTTTTATTTAGATCTTTATGTCATCAGTTTTTTAACTTTCATGCATACAGATCCACACATATTTTGTTTGATTCAGGCCTAGATATTTAATTTTTGATACAATTTTAAATTGCTTTTAATTTCAAATTTGAATTGTTCAAACAGACAGACAGTGAACAATTCAAATTTGAATTGTGCCATAGACTATTGTTTATAGTCTACAGAAATACATTTTATTATTTTATATTAATTGACTTGGTAGTCTGTGAACTTGCTAACCTAATTTATTTGTCCTATGAATTCTTTATAGACTCCTTGGGATTTTCTACATCGGCAATAATGTCTGTAAATAGACAGTTCATCACTTATTTTCCAATCTGCATGCGTTTTTGCCTCATTACACTAGCTAGGACTTCCAGGACAAAGATGAATAGAAGTAGTGAAAATAGACTCCCTTGCCTTGTTCCCGACCTTAGGAGGAAAACATTCCATCTTTACCATTAAATATGACATTAGCTGTAGGATTTTTGTAGATGTCTTTTACAAAGTTAAGCAAGGTCCCTGATATTTCTAGTTTTCTGAGAATGCATTTTATTCTGCTTATGAATGTTTTAATTACTCAGAAACCCATATACACTTCCAGTGAGATATTAATGTCTTAAGTTTTATATTTTGATCACCATTAGAGAAATTATCTTTATTAACAGATGCATTTTATAAAGCTGAGATTTTCATAATCATAAAGGCAATTTCCTCATCAAGTGTCCAACTATTTCAAATATCAAGGTCTTTAAGCAAAGATCTTCAAAAATTTTATAATTAAAAATAAATCACCAATAAAGAGAGGCAACTTCTACTAAATATTTAGTTGTTATTAAACTAATATTTAATTTTAATTTCCTTACAGACTTAAGTTTATTAGCTTGAGGCGAACTTTAATAGTTAAAAATTATTTATCATTTTGAAGTCTTAAAAATATCATTTTGTCAATTTTAAATTGTCACTTTTCTGGTTAAGGCTACCTTGTATATAAAAGTATCAAACTTCCCAAAAACATTTTGGAGCCATTTCTACTTAGAGAGACAGTATGCCCTTTTAAAAGATCAACTACATTATAACTTAGATTATCTGATAAAATAACAATTTCAATAAATGGTCAAAAATTAGGTATTACAGACAGGCATGATGGCTCACACCTGTAATCCTGGCACTTTGGGAGGCTGAGGCAGGAGGATAACTTGAGGCCAGGAGTTCAAGACAAGCCTAGGCAACACAGTGAGATCCCATCTCTACAAAAAAAAAAAATTTTTTTTTTGAGACAGGGTCTCACTCTGTCACCCAGGCTGGAGTACTAGAGTACAGTGGTGCAATCTCAGCTCACTGCAGCCTCAGCCGCTCAGGTTCAAGTGATTCTCCCACCTTAGCCTCCTGAGTAGCTGGGACTACCAGCGCACATCACCAAGCCCAGCTAATTTTTGTATTTTTTGGTACAGGCAGGGTTTTACCATGTTGACCAGACTGGTCTCAAACTCCCAACCTCAAGTGATCCACCTGTCTCAGCCTCCCAACGTGCTGGGATTACAGGTGTGAGCCACTGTGGCTGGCCAAAAAAAAAAAATTTTTTTTAATTAGCCAGGAGTGGTGCTGTGTGCCTGTAGTCCCAGATACTCAGGGGACTGAGGCAGAAGAATCGCTTGAGCCCAGGAGTTTGAGGGTGCAGTGAGCCATCACCACACCACTGCAGGCCAGCCTAGGTGACAGAACAAGACCCCAATCTCTAACAAACAACAACACAAAGTTAGTATTGCATTAAGAAAAGAAACAACCTCAAAATGTGAATCAAGAAAGAGCCTTGACAGTGAATGAAAGTAATTATTTAACTTATCTTGAAATCCAGGTTTGAACGTAAAAAATGTTTACCAAATGTGATTAATTTCTCCCCATTATAGAAGAAATGTGACACTTCAAACTTTTGATTATGGTATATACACTTAATGCATTGCATTTTTATAGATTTTAGTTTAACCAGTAATTCAGAAAGGCATTAAAAAATAAATTGAAACTTTATTTTTATATAAAAATTTATCATGCTGTTTGAGTTCATTTTTTAAAAATGCTTTTGTATTTGTCATTGAAACTGTTGAGGCTCTCAAATTCCATAGCTAATGACTGTGTTTCTTTAGCTAAATAATTCTTTCAACTAAAGACATTAAGTGCACAGTCATCTTTCAGCTCTTGTAGCTGCTTCTGTATATCAGCAACAAGAGTAAGAAATCAGAAACATTAGGACTCTAAGTTGAACAAAGGCTTTCATTTCATGGTAAGCCTGTTTTACACCTACAATGAATGACATCAGTCTTTCTTACAAAACATATTATAAATAAACTAGGATATAACAATAGGTTATCTCAGCAACAGAAATACAACTCCTAAGGAGAAACACAAACATGGAAAACACAAGTGTCTCTTCTAACAGAATAATTTGTATACTGATTAAAGTTTTTGACTGTGTACTAATTTGAAAGAAATATGTAGGCCAAGCACCTTACATGCCAAGCACCTTACAGAACTGAAGACATTCTAAGTAACAGTTTGCCTATATTCTTTCATAAATATCCCCACTTAATGGCCTCCTCACACTAAAACGTGCTGTTTAAAAACATAAATGTGGACCACTTCTCAGTGGAATCCTTCCCTAGATATCTACTTCTTACAAATGTTTTTCTATGAGGCTACAGGCATTTGGGAAGAAGGGCAGAGCAAGATGGTGCATTAGGACTCTCTAGTAATCATTGCCCACACGGAAACATCAATTTGAATGATTCATGCACAAAAATACCTTCAAAAGAGCTAAGGAAACCAGGTGAGAGATCACAGTACCTAGTTATAGCATAATAAGAAAAGATGCATTGAAGAGAGTAGGAAGAACAATTTTATGTCACCCAAATTACCCTTCACTCAACCCCAGGCAGCATAGCACAGAGAGAGATACATACTGTCTGCTTGGTGGAAAGAGAGGAAAGTAAACAAAATTTTGCCTTGGACCCTAATACTGGATCTTCCACAGTAAAACCCTGCATTAGGCAGACCCCTGCAACCGCTCAACCCATATCAGTACCTATGGACTAAGCTTCCAGAGCTGCCCGGGAACCAGATGGGAACCCACAGCCCCTGCAAGGCCAGCTCAATCCACAGTTTGCATCACTGCTAGCCTGGGCCCTGGGCTACAGACAAATCTTGGCAGTAGGCAGGCACCAGCAGCCACAGGCTTCAGGCATATGCCAGCTCTGTGCCAGCCTCAGAAGCCATGAGATTCCAGCCGGGCAACGTGCTTGTCATCACGTACCAGCATAGGTCACCCTCTAGAGTTGTAATGGCCACAGTGGCACAGAGATCACACCAGTCTGTCCAGGCTATCTAGACAGGCTTATTGTTGAAGGGCGTTCCCAGACAAAGCCAGTTTACAAAGACTGGAAATAAGTACCTACTTCTTAAAATATGCAGATGTTGACGTGTGGCCACAAGATCAAGAACAATCAGAGAAATATGACATTAGCGGGGAGACAAAATAAAGCACCAGTGACTAACAATAAAGAGATGGATAAATATGAACTCCTTACTAAACAATTCAAAATAACTTTTTAAAGGAAGCTCAGCAAACTTAAAGAAAATACAGAGAAACAATTCAAAGAAATGAGGAAAACAGTAAGTGGCTAGAATAAGAAATTTAGCAAAGACTGAAATAATTTTAAAAAACTCAAACAGAAATCCCAGAGCTGAAAAATACAATGAACAAAATTTTACATGCAATACAGAGTCTAAACAGCAGAACTAATCAAGTAGAAAAAAGAATCTGTGAACTTGAAGACAAGTTATTTGAAAATGTACCATCAGAGGGGAAAAAAGAAAAAAATAATAAAAAGAAATGAAGAAAGCTTATGGGATTTATGAGACAGCATCAGAAGAGCAAATGTTTGGGTCACTGGAATTAAAGAGGGAGACCAAGAGGTAGAAAGCTTATTTAAACAAATAATAGCAGAAAGTTTTCCAAACCTGGAGAAAGATGTAAATATCCAGGTACAAGAAGGTCAAAGGACTCTAGCCAGATTCAATCCAAATAAGATTACCCCAAGCCATATTATAAGTAAACTGCCAAAAATCAAAGACAAAGATAGGATCCTGAAAGCAACAAGAAAAAAGAAGCAAATAACATATAAGGGAGTTTCAATATGCTCACCAGCAGACTTCTCGGAAACTTTACAGACCTGAGAGAGTTCAAAGTGCAGAAGGGAAAAAAAAAAACCTACCACCAAGAATACTATACCCTAAAAGGATCTTCTTCAGAAATGAAGGAGAGATAAGACTTGCTCAGACAAACAAGTGCTGGGGGAGTTTACCTCCACCAGAGCCATCTTACAAAAAATGCTAAAGGGAGTTTTTCAAGCTGAAAGAAAAAAATGCTAATGAGTAACACAAAAACATCTGAAAGTACAAAATTCACTGGTAAAAGTAAGTATACAGTCAAATTTAGAATTATACTGTAACAGTGGTGTATAAATCACATGTATTTCACATGAAGGTTTAAAAACTATTAAAAATAATCACAATAATTTGTTAAGAGATATGCGACATAAAAAGATGTAAATGATTACATCAAAATTCAAAATACAAGGTGCAGAGCAGTAAAAGTGTAGAGGTGGGCTTTTTTGTTATCAAAGTTGTTATCAGCTTAAAATAACATATGATAACTATAAGGTTTTCTTGTAACTATAAAGTTTTTTTTGGTAACTACAAACCAAAAACCTATAGTAGATAAAAACACAAAAATAAAAAGTAAGGAATCAAAATATACTGCTAGAGAGAATCACTTAACCACAAAGGAACAGTAAGACAGGAAGAAAGAAACAAAGGATCTATAAAACAATAAACAAAATAGCAGTAGAAAGTCCTTACCTATAAATAACTTTTAAGATCTACCAGAGTCTACATTAGCGCCTTTAACCCAGTCATGTTCATAGAATGACTTCCTTTTCCTATTTCAATCCTTTATAGCTTTGCTGATTATTTCCTCTGTCTGGGACATCCTTGTTTTGTTTTGTTTTTCAATCTTCTCAAACCCCAATCAACATACAACAGTAGGCTATGATATTACTTCATCTGTGAGGTCTCAAATGACATGATCACTCCAGAAGAGCTCTAGATATGTCTTTATCTTTGTATTCTCATCGCCTCTTCTCACATTGTTTTGTAACTTCATTTATTGTCACCCAAATGCCTCAACTCCAGAACAGATATTATCTTGTTATTTTTATATTTCTAGTGCACAATTAAGCTCTTAATATATAGAAAGTGTTCAATAAATCTTTGTAAATCAATGACAAGAAGCTGAATGGAAGAGTTTTAATTTCTGGTTAGCAGTTAGCCAAGTAGATGAATGATGGCACCATTCAACAATATAATGAACACGAAGTGTAAATATATATGTTACAATTGAAGGTTGTGTCTTAAATTTTAGTTGTTTTGATATTGAGACTCAGTGGTGCTGAATAAAGTCTGACAATTAAACATATGGGTTCATTAGTTAGTACAGAAAAAAAGCCCTTATCTTAAATAATAAACAATGTAAATGGATCAAATTATCCAATCAAAAGACACAGAATAAAGGAAAGACTTTAACACAGCTGACTAGATGCACTGGGTACTTGCCTCTTTTATGGAGAGGAAACAAAATAGTCCATAGATAATGACACTTCAAATAGATCATCTGAAAGAGGACATTAGAATTCAACAGAGAAGTAATGGGAGGCACCAAAAGCAAGGAAGGAGAGAAAAGTGAAGTGGCCTGCCGAGCCAGAATCAACTGGGCGAATGGTGAGAGACCCCCAGTGGTCCACATTTCTACCACAGATTCCTACAGTCCTAGCCACAGGAGAGCCCCTCAGCCCTCACAGGTCCTGAGACTAACATAGGGAGCTGTCTGGAGACTGCACTATGGCATTGCTCCAATGAGATGGAGTCCCACAAACTCCTAAGTCCTAATCAGCTGCATCAAGGCACCATTGTATGAGCTCCACCTCCACTAGACTGCATCCTTCCCTGGGCCAAACAGCCCTCACATCCCGATATCCCTGGAGCCCAACTGACATTCCCCACCCACTGCCAGGACCAAAGTGGAAACTGATGACAGCAACCCTTTCCCATCAGTAGAGGGGCAGTCATGCATTTTCTCATGCCCCAAGGACAAATTCCACTGCCTGCTGCCACTTGCAGGCTACTGCAGGGTTGAGGCACAGGCAAAGCACACATGCCCCAGCCACCTGCCTAACGCTGCTCCCACTAAAAGCAGTCTCACTGTTCCCAGTAGCATGGCCGCAGTGCAGCTCCTGCTGCCCTCAACTGAGCATTCCACTGGCAGCCTGAGGATCACCCTATCCCTGATTACCAGAGCCAGTGCCTACATACATCATCTGGGGGCCTGAGAACAGGTCTGCCTGGCACAGCTCCACCTCCCCAGTACCTGAGCACCCATCAAAGGGGCCTGCAGATCACGCAACCTGGTCTACTACTGATAGCACCTGAACACTTCTCTTAACATCTGAGGTTAGGCCCAACCAGCCTGCCACTACCACCACAGCCAGCACCCACCTGCAGGTGCCACCTGTGAGCCTGAGGAATGGCCTGCCTAGTGCACCCCAGCTACCACCAACATCAGCACAGACTGCTTGGGTCTCAGAGGATTGTCCCATCACTGCTACTGCCATTGCCCATGCTACTTATGCCCAGGGCCCAAGAACCTGTCCACCCATCCAAATACCACTGCTATTCTCAATACCTGATCAAGCGACCTGGAGGACCAACGATTGGCCTGCCTGGACCTGCTAACACTGATGCCAGTGTATGCCACCCTG
This sequence comes from Homo sapiens, assembly GCF_000001405.40. Taxonomy (NCBI): domain Eukaryota; kingdom Metazoa; phylum Chordata; class Mammalia; order Primates; family Hominidae; genus Homo; species Homo sapiens. The sequence continues at coordinate 46,087,046 of NC_000019.10, read as the reverse complement.
GGGCCCAAAGACAGGCACATTCAGCCCACTACTGCCACCGTGGCCCAAAACCTGGCCTACCTGGCATCCCAGTCTCCAGCAAAACTTCATAATAGCCTTCACTAACAATTGCACCCTAAGCCACTGAGAAAATGAAAGACACCACTGATGCTGTTTATAGCCAAAATAAATCACACAGAGACTACACTACTGCATGTACCCACAATCAAAGCCAAAATTCCCTACCCAACCAACATCATAGATACAACTTCAGGAAAAAAATCCTCCCCATGAGAGCAAATTCAAAAAATTGGAAGAAGCCACTCTTACACCAGATGTGCAGATATCAACGTAAGAACACAAGAAACATGAAAAAGTAAGGAAATATCCAAAGGAACACAATAATTCACTAGCAACAGATCCCAATCAAAAAGGAATTTATGAGGTCAGGTGTGGTGGCGAATGCCTGTAATCCCAGCACTTTGGGAGGCCGAAGTAGGCAGATCACTTGAGGTCAGGAGCTTGAGATGAGCCTGGCCAACATGGTGGAACCCTGTCTCTACTAAAAATACAAAAATTAGCCAGGCATGGTGGTGCGCACCTGTAATTCCAGGTACTCAGGAGGCTGACATACAAGAATTTCTTGAACACAGGAGAAGGAGATTGGAGTGGACAGTGGAATACCACTGCACTCCAACCTGGGAGACAGAGCGAGACTCCATCTCCAAAAAACAAGAAAAAAAAGGAATTTATGAAATCCCAGAAAAAATTCAATATGTTGTTATTAAAGAAGTGAGTTGTTCTCAATGACATACAATACAAAAAAACCAACAATATTAGAAAAACAATTCGGGCTATGAATGAGAAATTTATCACCAAAGAGATAGGTATCATTAAAGAGAACCAAAGATAAATTCTAGAACTGAAGAATCCATTGAATGAAATAGAAAATACACTCAAAGGCTTCAAAAATAGACCATATCAAGCAGAAGAAAGAATCCCAGAACTTAAAGATGGGTCTTTTGAAGTAACCTAGTCAGACAAAAACAAAGAAAAAATAATTTAAAAGAATGAGTGGAGCCTACATGAAATATGAAGCACTATTAAAGCAATAAAATATTTGAATTGTTGGTGTCCCAGAAGGCAACCAATGTTCCTGTATGGTTTCTTTGTTGTTGCAAAGAACAAAAATGCAAAGGAGAAAAGAAAATCCTTTTCATACAAGCAAATGCTAAGGGACTTCATTACTGCCAGACCTGCCTTACAAGAGTTCCTTAAGGGAGTGTTAAACATGGAAACAAAACGCCATTACCAGCCACCACAAAAACACACTTAAGTATATGGCCCACTGTCACTATAAAGCAACTATACAATCAGGTCTACATAACAACCAGCTAACAACATGATGACAGGATCAAACCCTCACATATCAATATTAAACTTGAATGTAAACAGGCTAAATGCCCCACTTAAAAGACAGAGGAGCATGTTAGATAAAGAAGCAAGACCCAACTGTATACTGTATTCAAGAGACCCATCTCAAATTAAATGGCTCAAAGTAAAGGGATGGAGAAAGATCTATCAAGCAAACAGAGAACAAAAAAGAGCAGGGGTTGCTATTCTTATTCTAGACAAAACAGACTTTAAACCAATAATGATCAAAAAGGAAAAAGAAGGGCATTACATAATGATAGAGGGTCAGATTCAACAAGAAGACTTAACTATATGAAATACACATGCACCCAACACTACAGTCTGGAGTCAAGAGAGACTATTTTGGAGCTTTAAGTTTTTTTGTTTTGTTTTGTTTTCTTTTGGTGTTTTTTGTTTTCCTTTTTTTTTGAGCTGGAGTCTCACTCTGTTGCCCAGGCTGGAGTGCAGTGGCGCAATCTCGGCTCACTGCAGGAGCTTTAAGTTTTAATGACTGCCCTGCTGGGTTTCAAACTTGCATTGGGGCCTGTAGCCCCTTTCTTTTGGTCAACTTCTCCCTTTTGGAGAGCGACCCAATAGCTGTACTCCCATGGTATGTTGGCAGTAAATAACTTGTTTTGATTTTACGGGCTCATAGGTGGAAGGAATTCATGTCCAGATGAGACTTGAGACTTTTGACTGAGTTGATGCCGGAATGAGTAAAGACTTTTCAGGACTGTTGGGAAGGCATGGTTGTATTTTGCAACGTGAAAAGGACACGAGATGTGGAGACAGGGGTGGAATGATATGGTCTGGATCTTTGTATTCCCACCAAATCTCATGTTGAAATGTAATACCCAGTGTTGGAGGGGGCACCAGTGGGAAGTGCTTGTATCATGGGGACATATCCCTCATGAATGGCTTAGTGCCATCCCTTGGTGATAAGTTCTTGTAAGATCTGGTTTTTTAAAAGTGTGTGACACCTCCCACACACACTCTCTCTCTAGCTTCTGCTCCCACTGTGCCTTCTGCCATGATTGTAAGCTTCCTGAGGCCTCCTCAGAAGCAGATGTTGGCACCATGCTTCCTGTACAGCTTGCATAATTGTGAGTCAATGAAAGCTCTTTTTTTATATAAATTATCCAGTCTCAGCTATTTCTTTATGGCAATGTAGGAATGGCCTAACATATTAATATATCTGAAGAGAGAGACAGATGCAGTAATAGTAAAGAGAGAGAGCAATGCAGTAATAGTAGGGGACTTCAACACCCCACTTTCAGCAATGGACAGATCAACCAGACAAAACAAAATCAATAAAGAAACATCAGATTCAAACTATACTCTAGACCAAATGAACTTAATAGATTTATACAAAACAGTTCATCCAACAGCTGCAGAATACACATTCTTCTCAACTGCACATGAGCATTCTCCAGGATATATCATATGTATGCCACAAAACAAGTCTTAACAAATTTAAGAAGACTGAAATCATATCAAGTATCTTTTCTAACTCAATGGTATAATACTAGAAATCCGTAACAGGAGGAACTTCAGAAACAGTACAAAGACATGGGAATTAAACAACATGTTCCTGACCAATCATTGGGTCAGTGAAGAAATTAAAAGGGAAATTTAAAAATTTCTTGAGACAAACAAAATGGAAACACAACATACCAAAATCTGTAGGAAAAAGCAAAAGCAGGTCTAAGAGGGAAGTTTATAGCAGTAAATGCCCACCATTGCACAAAACTGGTAGCACCAGAATACCCTTACATAATTGACTATTCCCAAACAACCGAGGATCAGAGGACTTTGTTCCAGGGCCTACCCCAGAAGCCAAGTCAACCACTGTCAATGCGCAAAATCTCTAATCACTACCTCTTCCAACTTACTCTCCTCTCAACTTTCTGTGGCTAAGGTCCTTCCCTTTCTCTCCTCCCACTCTTTGTGACTCTTCTGTCCTCTCTGTCACTGTCTCTTTCTGTCTCCTTGTCTCTCTCTCCTTTCAGTCTATACATATGGCTGAAAATAATAATTCAAATAATAAAGTAATATATTTTCTTGAAAAATGTTGTGTATGTTCAGAAATAGAGATTATACAGCCATGGTTGGTATTCTCTCATCGCACCTCCTCTCCTCCCCAAAGTAACTGTGTTTACAACATAGTGTCTGAATTTTTCTATATTCTACACATTTGCATACATATTAATATAAATGTACACACGTACCACACTTTAGTCTTTATGGGATAATGTTATACACACCCCTTTAAATCCCTAAGAGCACATATCCATTTCTTACAGCTGCCTAGATTTCCATTTTGTGAATAAGTTTCAGTAATTTATTTCATTAGTCTTCTGTTGAAAACGATTTAAGTTGTTCCCAACTTTTCACCATTGCTCTAAAATATCACAAAAAAATAGTCTTATACGTATGTCTTTGTGCACTGCATCCAGTCAGTAACAGCCCTGGAAGTAGAAATTCTAAAGCAAATTGTTTATGATGCACTCAGTTATATGTTAAGGAAAAACTAATTGAAAACTAAAACAATAAACAAATTATCTTATGTAACAAGAATTATGAGCTACCGTGCGTCCAGGGTTTCAGTTCTAGGAATTTAAACACATAGGACAGTTGCCAATAAAATGCACTGAATCCAAATGCCCCAAAAGAGAAAATGTCATGTTTATCGGAGGTTTTCTTTCTGGAGATGTCACCCATGGTTATGTAATTGTGCAAGTCCTTCTTAGCCATCCCACACCCAGGGGAAAATTACCACCTACTAAGAGGACAAAAGAGATTCCTATGCAGTTTGTCAAGGAGAGCTACCCATATGACTAACTGACTACATCAGAGAGTTACATCTATAGGCTCATCAGCTGTCCCACATTTTGTCAAAATAACGTTCCTATCAAAAATGAAGACACGACTTCAGCCCAGAAGATCAAGGCTGCAGTGAGCCATGACTGCACCACTGCGCTCCAGCTGCGTGACAGAGTGGAGTGTCTTCAAAAAAAAAAAAAAATGGAGACACAGTTAACAGTTCAGGGAGCCAGAAGTCCCTGCTTCTACCCTCTCTCTTACAGGGCGGCTTGATCCCACTTATCTTGGTTGTGTACAATATGCCTGTCTGTATCAGCTCCGCATTTCTCCTCAATGTGTCTTCCCTCTCTTCAGTGGCACACAAGCAAGTTCAGAGGTTTAGTATGCACTGAACTAGGAAACCAGCCAAGTTTACCTCCACCCTGTGGGGATCAAGAGAATTACAGTCTCTCTAAAGAGAAACACCTTGCCCCAAAAGGCTACCCTCTTTTGCCTTCCAGTTCTCCCCTTATACTTGTAGACAGTTAAACTTCTCTCCCACCTAGGAACCCAGGAGAGTTTAACTGTCTTAATAATGATAGTAGTAATAGTAAATACATCTTCATGGACCCAGGTATGGGGAAACAGAAAAGGAAAGTAACAGTAATTTGAACTGAAGAGAAGATGGTGTGAAAACTAGACTCCTGAAAGCATGACTGGCCTGCTAACCAAGGACATGAATAGTACTAACAAGGAATTTCCTCATTAAAGAGTGAAAGAATGAAACAGCCAATGTAGAAGTGTATACTCTGCTAAAATAGCCTTCAAAATGAAAGTGAGGATTCTCCCATTTCTAGCCATGATGGTGTTAACTGAAACTAGACTAGCTCTCTTGACATTAACAACTATAAAACTGCACACAGAATAAAGTATATGAAGCCACTGTGTTTAGGTACCAGACAACAGGTAGCACAAGACTGCAATTCCACAAGGGATGGACATTTACAGGGTGAGCCCTTAGATAAACAAGTTGTCAAAGAACAATTTCCCAAGTGCAATGCAGATAGCTGGGATCTGAGCACAGGACAGCAGTTCTGCAGCACTGAGGGCATTCAGGGCAGCTGGTGAGCCTGGAGTCTCTGAGGTATGGTATCAAAGAAGAACTGTGCAGAGGTAAGCACCACATGTCCTTGTGGAGTCTTCCCCAAATTCCTGGCTGAGGGCTAGGCTGCATATACACAGACAAGACTATCTGTCTGATAAGACAAGGCTTATCAGACAGGTAAGGCTTAAGGAAGAACTATCCTAGAATAGAGGAGAGTAAGGAAACACAATAACGAATTGCAACACTGAATTCTGGATTGCATCCTAGACCAGAAAGCGGACACGAGTGGGACAACTGATGAAACTCAAATAAGGTCTGCAGATCAGTTAATAGTATTATGTCAGTATTAGTTTTCTGGTTTCAATAATTTTATTAAGGCTATGCAACATTAGAGGAAGCTGAGTGAAAAAGACAAATTCACCATACTGTTTTTGCAACTTCTTTGTAAGTCTAAAATTATTTTAAAGTAATAAGTTAGACAATATTTTAAATGTTACATATAAAAACGCAATCACGATAATGAACACTTCCTAAAGATGCAATCAGGGTGCCTTCACATGCTCCCTCACACCTGAAATAAGCGTTATGTATCTAAGGCTCCCCTGACCTTTGGTGTGGCCTGGTTTAGCCAGTCCAAACCAGATGCAGATAGTTGTGTGGGAAGCCTGGCGACACAGACAGTTGCACTATCACCCACAAGATAACTGGCCAATTGTGGGCTGGGTTTAAAAGGTGGGCTGATGATCCCCAGTGCGTGATGAGCATGGCAGTAAAAGCACAGGGAGATCAGGTTCCCGTCCATCAATGGGAAGCCTGCGCTACAGTGTCCACCTGGACAGGAAGTGATGGACACAGTCCTGAAAGCACAGCAGGCACTGCTCCCACTCACCAATGGGCAGCCTGCCCGGAGAGTCAGCCCTGGACATCAAGGCTGGAATTCCCTTTCTGGCTCAGCAAAATTACCACAGACCAAACCACAGACACCACAGAACTCCTTTTCCTAGTCAACACTGTCTGACTCTTTCCTGACAGAAGTCTGAAACCAAGACCACCAACAGGGACAGGGCCACACATCTCAACACTGACACCACACCCCCTTGACACTCACAATGCTTAAGTCCTGAATCAGAAGATCTCAACCTCTTTTTGGAAAGTTATTTCTTTAACTCATGATTTACACAGATACAAAGACTTGGTCAGAAGGACCAAAATACTTTCTGAAATTAGAAACAAAATTATTATAACATTCAAATAGAATCATTCCCATGAACAAGCCATGACTCACAGAATTTAATTACTAAGTAGCTGTCGTTTTCACACCTCTTTCCTTTTAAATTTATTCTTTTTTTTATTTTAAAAAATAAATAGAGATGGGATCTCCCTAAGTTGACTCGCTATGTTGATGAGAATGGTCTCAAACTCCTGGCCTCAAGTGATTCTCCCATCTTGGCCTCCCAAAGTGCTGGAATTACAGGCAGGAGCCACGGCTCGCAGCTTAAATGTATTCTGCAGTGCTAGTTCTTCCCCTGCCCCAGGATAAAAGTTAGGTCAAATCCCATTAATTTTTTGGTCATTTTATTTAATAAATATCTGCCCGTGACTCATTTAAAATGGCTTTAAGTATGTAAAAGTGAAAACGACAATCTTTATTTAAACTTACATTTTCACTGTCTCTTCCAGCTCTGACCTGCAGTCAGGTGGTAGCCTGAACTCGAGGAAGGGATGTGGCCCTCTGACGCACGTTTTCCAACTTATCACGGTTAAGAATCTTCCTCCATTTGCTGACTTAGTTTCTGAATCTACTGTGTTTAGGGCTCAAGGAGAGACGCCAGGGAGCAATAGGGTTCTTCCTTGATGGGCAGCATTGTAGTGATCTAAAATTGACACTGTTCTGAGTTTGCAAATACTTGAAACTGACTCTTTCCTTGAGGGAAGGCTTTTTTGGCTTCTATGCAGAAATCTGTCATCTGAGCTTCCTTTGATGAGGGCAATTTCATCTGGAGTCGCTTTGGATATTTACAACCCTCATCCACCATGAAAAGTTTCTGACTCAAATCCAGGCTGCAATCGAGCTGGCAGAAGTGGTGCAGACTATGATGTAGCTAAAGCAGATGAGTACCTGCCATTCAGGTACAGGCGACGTACAGGCGTTTCCAAAGCGCCTGAGGCCTGGAAACTCGGGTGGCTGGCTGGGGGATCATGGCCAGGGGCAAAGAACTTCTGAGCCCGTGTGACTTGGGTCTCATTCGGGCTATAGGGGTGCAAACAGGCTCCAATCCGCGAGGAGGATGCACTAAAGTGACCCGCTTAGGCTGCAAAACCAGGTGCACCATGGTACGCACGACTCGCTGAGCTCCATTTTCTAGGCGGGGAACTCTTGAGGCCTGACGCCCACGAGGGGAGCGGCAGCGACTTGACGCACCTCCTGGGCAGCCAAAACAAACCATTGCAGAGGATTCTTGTCCCACCCAACGAGCAGCCCCAGCCATGAACTCTGCAGCATCCCAATTGTCCAGAACGCCCGAAACTGGCAATGACTACTGACACCAAGGCAGTTACTGCGACGAAAACATGGCGGCCAAAGCCGCCTCACCCATCGCCTGCGCGATGTCTACTGACGACGCCTGCGCGATGTCTACTGACGACGCCTGCGCGATGTCTACTGACGACGCCTGCGCGATGTCTACTGACGACGCCTGCGCGATGTCTACTGACGACGCCTGCGCGATGTCTACTGACGACGCCTGCGCGATGTCTACTGACGACGCCTGCGCGATGTCTACTGACGACGCCTGCGCGATGTCTACTGACGACGCCTGCGCGATGTCTACTGACGACGCCTGCGCGATGTCTACTGACGACGCCTGCGCGATGTCTACTGACGACGCCTGCGCGATGTCTACTGACGACGCCTGCGCGATGTCTACTGACGACGCCTGCGCACTGCAAGGTGGGCGCCGCTCTCCATTTTCTGAGCAGTCTCCTACTGCCATCTAGTGTTGACTACTGGGATATCGGCTCAAATACCCCCAGAGAGAGTGCGTCACAGGCCTTTTGACGGACTGTGGTGAATTGATACATAGCTATGTTTGATGCATTTTAAAGTGAGCCTTGACTCCACACTTGAATGCTGTTATAACCCCTACAAAAAATAATGGACAAAAAAGACCAATGGGTTAGGGAGTGAAGGCCTTTAGGTAATACAGGAGCAGGTGGTTAGTAGCCAGCTCCATTGTATCAAAATACCTCATTTTGTTTATCCATTCATCTGTCGATGGACCCTTGGGTTATTTCCATCTTTCGGCTACTATAAATAATGCTGATATGAACATTGATGTCAAATATCTTTTTGCGTCCCTATTTCAATTGTGTGGAGTACATACCTACTATTGGGATTGCTGGGTCGTATATTAATTAATTCTATATTTACCTTTTTGAGAAACTCCCATTGTTTTCCACAGCAGCTGAACCATTTTACATTACCACCAGCAATGCACAACACCTGTTAATTTCTCCGCATCTTTACCCACACCTGTTAATTTCTGTTTTTTTGTTAATAGCCATGCTAGTTGGAGTGAAGTACTATCTCCATGTTATTTTGATTTGCATTTCCCTAATGATCAATGATGTTGCGCATCTTTTCATGTAATTATTGGCCATTTATGTATTTTATTTAGAGAAATGTCTATTCAAATCCTTCTCTTGTCTCTTAAATGAGTTATTTGTTCCCGTTGTTGAGTTCAGGAGTTATTTATATATTCTGGATATTAATCTCTTATCAGAAATACGATTTTTAAACATTCTCTCCATTCTGGGGGTTGTCTTTTCCAATTACTTTTTATATGGGTTATGTGATTTAATCACAGTGTCAAAGGCACGTTTAGCGTGCACCCACCATAGCACTGTATGACTTTTATAGGCTCTCGAAACATCTATCCTGCGACCCCTGCAGGCAAGAAGATAGAGAGGGTACTCCAGCCGGTATCCCCGTATTCCTCCCTAGATGGCAGTAGGAGACTGCTCAGAGAAGAGAGCGGCGGATTCCGCAGTGGAGCGCTCCCGCAGGCGCTCCCGCGGGCGCCTCCAGCAGAGCTCGCGCAGGGGCGCACGGGGGCGGCAGTGTAAGTAGTCGCCATGTTTCTGTCGCTATCACTTTCTTGGGGGTGTCACTGATCACTGGCTATTGCGACTACCAGACGCTCTGGACACTTGGAACGCTCCTGAGTTTGCGGCTGGGTCCACTTCCTGAATGATACTAGGATCCCCGCCTCTGGTTTCTTTTGGCTGCCCCCGAGCTACCTCAGTCTTTTTCAATGTCAGGCGGTCCAAGTTCCCTGTGGTGAAAATGGAGCCCAGTGAGTCGTGCCCATGGCAGCGCACCTGGTTTTGCAGCCTGGGCAGGTCACAGGTGCATCTTCCACGGGGATTTGAGCCAGCGTGCACCCCCATAGCGCGACTGAGATTCCAAGTCACACCCAGGTTTTGGCCTCGCAAATCCGCCTCTGCTCCCAGCTGGCACCTGAGTATGCAGGTCGCAGCCCGCGATTTAGAAACACCGGCACCCGGGTGAACGCCCACGGCTCCTCAGCTTTCGCTGCACCGACGTCTGCACCACGCCCGTCAAGCTCAGCTGCATCCTGACTCTGGGTTGGAAACTTCGTGGTGGATGATGCCTGTAACTACCCAGATGAAATCAAGACGCAACAGCCCTCATCGAGGGATGCTCAGGTGAGAGATCCTCAGCATTTGTGTCTCTAAAGAAGCCAAAGGGGGCCTTTGAGGTAATCCGCTTTACATATTTGAAAAGCCCATGGATAATCACAATAACGTTAGGAATCTCACACCCTCTTTGTGCTTCCAGCACCAAAAGAACAGAAGCTAGGTCAGTGAACAGGGAAGACGCATAGGTAGAAGTGCCGGGCAGCCAGGAAAGATAGAGTGAAACGTATCTTTAAATCAAGAGTTTTGTTTTCACTTTTACATATTTCTGGGCATTTTAAGTTGACAACACCAGGATATTTATTATTTATATTTATTATAAATAATGTATTTATATTTATTATAAATAATGTATTTATAATAAAACTAAATAATATATTTATATTTACTAAATAAAACTAACCGGGAAAATGTATACAATTTGACCTAAACTTTTAGGATCAAGGAAGAACTAGAACCACGGAATAAATTTAAAAGGAAAGAAGTGTAAAAAAGGACTGCACAGTCCTTGGAGAAATGGCACATTCTAGATCTGGAACAGAAAATATACACGATGAATCTGGAACATCTTGTGCCAGAAAATAAGGAAGTGCTGAAAATAACAATTACAATAATGATATAACCCCACATTGATCACAATATGTCAAAGGGGCACAAGGGCCAACAGAAGAGCTCCCAGTGGCCAAAGCTGGAACAATTTGAGCAAGAAATGAATTCGGTGGTATTGGGTTATGACCCTACTGTGGTCTGAATTTTTGTGTCCCTCCAAGATTCACGTTGAAACTTAATCCTCAATGCAACAGTGTTAAGAGGTAGGTTTATAGGAGATGATTAGGTCACGAAGGCTCCTCCCTCATGAGTGGGATTAGTGCCCATATAAAAGTGCTGGAGGAAGTCTGTTCTTGTTTCCCCTTTCTGCCATGTGAAGATACAGTGAAAGATGTCATCTTTGAAGCAGAGAGCAGCCCTCACCAAACACTGACTCTGCAGGTGTTTGAAAGTTTGGACTTTCAAACTTCCGGAAACTGTGAGAGATAAATTTTTGTTGTTTATAAATTACCCAGTCTAAGGTATTTTGTTATAGCAGCAGGAATGGACTAAGATAAACCCAAAGTTTAAAATAAATACTCATGAGTTCCTACTGGTATAAATAAATGATTGAATAAATAAGTGGGGAGAAGAGACAAATCTCTAATACAGAAGAATTCGAAGTAATATATATAAATACAGCACCATCAAGGAAGGAAAGCCCAACTCCTCACTTTTTAAAATGCAGGCTGCAAATAATGACCTGGCTCCAAAGAGTTCAATGTGGAAAGGGGAGAAAAAGAGTAACTTTACGCTGGAGAAAAATACCACATCAGCCAGGTAATCGGTGTCATAATCATCAATGATAAATCATGTTGACAGTATCTCCTTGATAGGATGTGATAGAAATGGTACTTTACCTCTGTTATCTTGCTCCCCAAAACCAATAATGTCAGTCTAATCATTAGAGGGAAAAATCACACAAATTCCAGTAGGGATATTCTACAACCTTACCAGTGCCCTTCAGACCCTGGTAAGGATCTGAAGCATCTTGTGCCAGAAAATAAGCAAGTTCCTTACCAGTACTGCTCATAACTGTGAAGGTCATCAAAAACAAGGAAAAATCTGAGAAACTGTCACAGTCAAGAGGAGGCTAAAGAGACAGGACAACTAAATGCAATGTGTCCTGAATAGGATTCTGGAACAGAAAGAGAACATCTGGTGAAAATGAAGAAAACCTAGATAAACTATGGACTTTAGTTACTAACGGGGTATAAATATCCTTTCATTAATTATAATAAAATACTAATGTAAGAAGCTAAAAATAGGGGAAGCTGGTTTCAAGGTATTTGGAAGCTTTTTATACTAGCTTCTTAATTTTTCTGTAAATCTAATGCTGTTCTAAAAATAAATTATTCTTTAAACTATTGAAAACTCTAAGTGGTAGGTTTAAGATAGCCACAAATTCTTTCTGTTCTTCCCATTGAAAGGTGGAATTGAATCCCTTCCTCTTCAATCTGGGCTTACCTTGTGACTTCCTTGACCAGTAGAATGTGGTGAAAGTGTCTTGATTTCCATGTCAGGGACATGATTTTCATCAGCTTCTTGGAATACTTGCATGCGGAGCTTGGCTTCTGTAATGGTTAATACTGACTGTCAACTCGATTGGATTGAAGGATGCAAAGTATTGATGCTAGGTGTGCCTGTGAAGGTATTGCCAAAGAAGATTAACATTTGGGTCAGTGGGTTGGGAAAGGCAGACCCGATGTTAATCTGGGTGGGCACCATCTAATCAGCTGCCAGCTTGGCTAGAATAGAAAGCAGACAGAAAAATGTGAAAAGACTAGACTGTCTCAGCCTCCCAGCCTACATCTTTCCCTCATGCTGGATGCTTCCTGCCCTCAAACATCGGACTCCAAGTTCTCAAATATCAGACTCCAAGTTCTTCAGCTTTGGGACTCGGACTGGCTTCCTTGCTCCTCAGCTTGCAAACAGCCTATTGTGGGACCTTGTGATCCTGTGAGTTAATACTATTTAATAAACTCCCATATGTGTATATATACATACACATATATACATATGTAGATATACATACATTAATTATAATAAGTATACATATACATATATGGGAGTTTATTAAGTAGTGTTAACTCACACGATCACAAGGTCCCACAATAATAAGATATATATATGTGTGTGTGTATATATATATATGTATATATATATCTCCTGCTCGTTCTGTCCCTCTAGACAACCCTGACTAATACAGATTTCTTGGGAGGAAGCCCAAGTAGCCCTGTGGAGGCACTAATATGAAGAGGAACTAAGACCCCCCTAGCCAATTCCCTGAACTGAGCTCCCAAATGACACCCAGCACCAGTTTCTCAAGCACATAAATGAGCCATTCTGGAAGCAAATCCTCCAGGCTCAGTCAGGCCATCGTAGCTAACACTGTGCGAAGGAGAAATGAGCCTTCCCCACTGAGACATTCCCAAGTAATGTATTAGAGAAGGAAAGAAATGTTGATTTTTTAAGCTACTAAGAAAGGAAAGAATATGCCTTGTAATTATGTGCCATCAATCAAGTTTTTCAGCAAAATCATTTTATGTGTTACAATAATTTGGCTTCTCATTACAAAAAAATACTTTCAGTCATTCTGACCATTCTATCTTTAAAGACTTCCAGTGTCCAGAAAAGAAGTTGAGATTGTGAGTCTATAATCCAGGATTGAGGATCCTGACTGTAGAAGAGAATGTGATGTCAGAGTGTTGAGATATTTGCCAAGTTCTCGAGAATGATCCCAGAATGATTCTCTGTCAGGGAAGTTCCAGGCAGCATGGACTGGGTGGAAGAGTGCTGTTACTCTTGTGTTAGCAGAGACTGTGCCAGTTCAGTCTCTGGCCATTTTTCTGGGCCACATAGGGTGTGGTAACTTTGTCTCCCTTTGGTTACGGGACCGCATCCATCACACAGAGGGCCTAGACCTGGTGCAGCACCTGGCTGGTTATCTTGTGGGTGATAGTGTTATTCTGCTAGGGCCCCAAGGCTTCCTATGAAACTACATGTGTATGAGTCAGACATTATACCCCAGGCTAGAAATAGCTCAAGGGAGCTCCAGTTACATAATATTAAGGAAAGAAGGAACTCTAATTGCAATTACAAGAATAAGGAGGCCTATTAGGGCATCCTGATCATATCTTTAGTGAGTGTTCACTATCACTATCATGATAGTATTTTGTAGGTATCATTTAAAATACTTTTTAACCTGCCATTTTGAAATAATTTTAGATTTACAAGAATGTTGTAAAGCCAGTACAGAGTTTTGATCTTTCACCCAACTTCGTCTAATGTTAACATCTTAAATGATCCTAATACAATTATTGAAAGTAGGAAATGAATGTTGAATCTACAGGCTTTATTTTAGTTTTGTTGGTAGTCCCCTCCTGTCCACTTCCTGCTCCAGGATCCAATCCAGAATCCCACATTACTTTTGATAATGTCTCCTTTGTGCTCTCCCAACTGGGATAGTGCTTTGTGTTTTCTTGAGTCTGTATTTCTCTATTTGGTATCCATTAACTACGGGGTTTAACTCATGGCCAAAGGTATCTGCATCTCCCCCGAGATCCAGAGCCCCCGCTCTGAACCATCTCCTTTATCTCTCTTACACACCAAGCCAACATTTTCTCTGCCCTAAGTCAACCCAGGGCCAGGTACCAGACAACTAGAGGCTGCCACTATATTTCACACCCTGCCAATATTATTCAAACTGACCAGTTGTGAGCTGCATCTCCTGCCCTGTTCTGCCTTTCCCACAGAACACATCATAAGGGCTCTGGCCTAGGTTTTTGCTCACTCCTGCCTCTGTCTCCTGATCACACCTGGGGCTTCCCCACATGCCCCTGCTTCACATTCTGTGCCTCTAATTTCTACCGAAACTGTGAGTGACATTAAACATATTTCAATGGCATTGGCATCTCCCTGTCATTACCTCCATTGATTAAAATCCCATGGGTATAAATGAGACAAATACTTCTTAAGACTTACCTCTCTGCTAAGCTTTGGGTGGTCTAGAATGTGCATGTGCAGACCAGTCTTCATCCAGGAACTTTGGTGGACCCCACGTGGATTTGGGGGGCTCGCACTTCTTCACTGATGCCACACCTAAGGGATTCCAGTTCCATCAAGCCATCCAGAACCTTAGTTCTGCGGAACTGCTGTGCTATACTCAGATCCTTGCTACTTGCACTTCCGTTGGGAAACTGTCCCCAGGCAGAGTCCAAATATCCAGGTGTTCACTCTGTGACTTTACTTTCAGAGATTGATATTTTATCCTGTCTTCGTTCACCACCTGAAAACAGTGGCCTCATTTGGTTCATCCAGTTTTACTGTTGTCAATAGCAGGAAAAGTAGTCTCGTTGAAGTCACTGCCCTTAATGGCTGTAAGTTGGAGAATCCTCAGCTTCATTTTTTTCTGTTTTGAGACAGGGTCTCACTCTGTAGCCCAGGCTAGAATGCAGTGGTGTCATCTCAGCTCACTGCAACCTCTGCCTTCCAAGTTCAAGCCATCCTCCCACCTCAGACTCCCGAGTAGCTGGGACTACAGGCATGTGCCACCATGCCTGGCTAATTTTTTATTTTGTAGAGATGGAGTTTCACCATGTTGCCCAGGAGTTGCTGGTCTCAAACTCCTGGACTCATGTGATCCACCTGTCTTGGCCTCTCAAAGTGTTGGGATTACGGGCGTGAGCCACCGTGCCCAACCTCCTTACCATTTTTGAAGGCTATTTTAGAAAGGTCTTTGTTGGCTGTTATTTTCTTTTACCTCTGTAAAAATATTATTCCACCACTTGAACTTATGAATTCATTCTGCTGGTGTCCATGATCAGCAGACCAGGCTTACAGTTTCAGGAGTCGTGGTTTCACACTACCTCCTGTCTAATGCAAGTCACTACTGTCTTTGTCTTACACCTCCCCATCCCCACTTCAATGAAGATTATTTATTTGGTTCCAGGACCACACCCATTTATTCGTGTGTTTATGTTTATTTGATATGAAACTTCTCCAGATCCCTGGATGGGAGAGAAGCAGAACCAACTAGTGATACTAGTGATATAAGAGGAGTACTGGAAACCAGAAAGAGGGTGGCCTTTCAGGGAAGAGTATTGTGCTTGCAGAGAGGCTGTGTCTTCTCCTTACCCCCAACATAGTCAAGGGAGAGGCAAATAAGACTTGTGTCCTCATTCAGTGCATACTGAGCCCCTGAACTTTGCTGACTTGCTGGTGTGCCGCTGGCGTGAGGGAAAGCACATTGAGGAGGTTGGCTGAGCTGATACACATAGGCAGAGAAAAAAAGAAAAAAAAAAAAACAGGATCATGTCTTTTGAGTTCCTGATTCCTGAGAGTCATGGAAGGTGAATCCCATGCAGGCAAACAAACGCCATCTTGGGATTCTAGAGAGCATCATGAATGGAGGACCGCAGGCTTGTTGGGAGCTGTACTCCACTGGGCAAATATCGCAGACCTCTGGAGAGTATGGTGCCATGCCATCACCTGGGGTCACCTGGTGATTAGGCGATTCAATTTGAGGATGATTAATTTTTCCCCCAAATACAAAACATCGACCAAGAAAAACCCTTCAAAACACTTTGCACACACCCAAAATAGAGTCCAGATGCCCTGATAAGGAGTACTTCAGGCCCACCCATGTAAGAGAGAGGGTGAAGTAGGTACTTCTGGCTCCATGAACTGCCGATGTGCCTCCATGTTTGAGAGGAGCTTTATTTTGACAAAATGTAGGACAGCTGATGAGCCTGTAGATTTGACCCTCTGATGTTGTAAGTGAGGGTGCTTCTCCTTTAAATATCTGTATGGTCATCACTTTTCACCTAAGAGGGGATTGGGCGTTTTGAGCTGGGTGATGGGTAGTTAAGTCAGCAGCTTTCTGGACTCTGCACAATCACACAACCATTAGTAACACCACCAGAAATAAAATTCCTTTTTTTTTTTAGTTATTAAAATACATTTAATGCTTGGTATTGTGAGCATGCAGAAGAAAGAAAATAAGACTACAAAATGAAATAAGGGCTAGAATTTAAAGCCAATGTAAAGGAAATGTTCTAAATTGTGCAAGTGATTAACAGCCAGATGTTCCCCTATGATTCCGAACATGAGTCTCCAGTGCCAAGTTCCAGCCCGAAGTCTGTTGGACTCTCAGAGAAAATGTATAGTAACAAAAGCAGCCAAGACTTGCATGACGTCAGCTCTTATTTCTCCTTGAGTTTTTGTCCCGTGGATGTGAATCACTAAGAACACATGCATTCCTCAAGTTTTAGGAGATAAGGCAAAAAAAAAAAAATCTTAGAGATTTGCTTCAATTCGTATTTGAGCTTCATGGGATGCAAACATAGGAGACTAAAGCAGAAATGAGTATTGCTTCAGTAATCATGAGTCCACCCAGCTTAGTGAACAAAACAAGCGTTACCCTCCTAACCTTCCTGATAACAGGAATGTCTTGTTTGAAGTGTTTGGAGTCAGTGCATTTTACTGGCTGCCATTCAAAATATGTTTCAATTCTTAAAACTGAAACCCTGAACCTGTTCATTCATGTTTATTGCTTTAGTCTAATCTATTGTTTAGATTTTTCCCTATGCATATGGCTCAGAGCATCTTACACAATTTGCTTCAGAATTTTCACATCTATTGCTGTTGACTAAACACTCTAATTAAAGTGCCCAAATATGTACATACAAGAATATTTGTTGCAGAATTTTTAGGGTAAGGCTGAAATATTGCAAACAACCTACATAATTTTCAAAAAGAAGACAAATGAAATAAATTACAATTTATCCATAAAATAGAAATCTAGGCAGCCATGAGAATTATCTGTGATCTGTGGGCTTTTAGGGCTTCAAGGGGGGGATGTATGATATCTTATTTATAAGAAGGGAAAAGTGTGGCATATATGTAGACTTATATGTATTCAACTATACAGAATTTATGGAAAAATACAAACACTACATCTTAAATGCAGTTACCTTTGGGGAGGGTAGGAAGCATGATAAAAATTATCAATGCTCACCATGTAATCTTTACTTCTCAGACTGAACATTTTCATTAGAATACATTTGTTTCTTATCTGTATTATTATTTTAGGTGATATTTGAAAATTGAGTGAGAAAAGTCAGTCAGATGAGAGAGAAGAATACAGAGGGTAGGAAGAGACAGAGCAAATGACCTCAGCAACACAGAATCCAGATGGAGAGAAAATTGGGGGAAAGAGGTGGAAGATTTTGCTCATGGCATTGGCAGTGCCTGGCCTCTGAGGTGGGCTCTAGAACAAAGTCCTCCACTCCCTCTCATGTCTGGGGACATTCAACCATGTGAAAAGGTTTTCCAGGGAGGCATTTTCTCTGACCACCTGTTCTATACAGTACTGATAGGACAGCTTTCCCACGTACTGCCAGCAGCCCCGATCCAGAACTCAGCACTGCCCCTCCAGTCAGAATCAGAGGACCGAGGGGAAACATGCTCTCCTGTCCCTAATCACAAATGAAACTGTCTTTAGCATGAAGATATTCACTTGGTGAGAACTTAAGTCAACTGGACAAAGAGATGTAGGTCTCCAGTGCTCAGAGTGAATGTGTCTTTTGCAAAATCCCGAATGTGATTGCCCTGAGGCTGACATGGGGCCAGAAATGCCTGAGTCATCTCTACCTCTTCCTCTATGAAACCACATAATTGCCTCAGACTGAGCTCCCAATGCATTTAATTGTTTTGATCAAAGTCTTTCCCGGCGGTTCCTCAGAAGGAAGGATTGGGCCTGGAGGCCTACCCAGGGAGGGAGTCAGAGGCCGCCCACAGATGAACAATTCTATCTGTGTGTGCACCACCCTCCTACCAGACTTTGAAACCCTTCAACAAACAAGGGCTTTGGGATCCCCAAAATGAATCCCAAGCCCCTGGTTACAGAATCAACAAAGCGGGATGACAAATAAGGGAAAAGTTCAAATCTGGTAAACGTATCCCACAATTTGCAAGCAAAAAAATTGAGAACTATTTTTTTCAATTCCGCACACAATTAAGCATCATGTTTGCATTCAGTCTTGTTTTATGTTGGATTCCATCATGATGAGATTCGACACTCAGAGCTCGAGGTCTTTAATATCTTAATGTACCCTGTATCCCAGGACCTCAGATTACTGTCTAAGCCACTGCAAGGAAACATCAGCTCTGTCTGCCCTGGTGGGTCTTTCTTCATCTGGAGAGATAAAGAGATTGTTTAAGATTTGTGTTCAGAGACACATGGTGACACATGGTGGCGGAATTGGTTGAAGAGCATCTGTGACAAAAGGTGGAGAGATGGAGAACAGAGCAGGGTCCCCTCTTGGGAGGACCCAGTTATTGAAATTCCTTTTCTGCTGCTCTCTCCCCGCTTCAGCCTGGAGCATGGCAGGGATTCCTACCTGGATCCTTCTTTGATTATGGGGGAAGGTGCAGTCAGAGTTCACACCTGAAACCTTTTGACTCAAAGTCTTTTGATCCAAGGGACCAAAGAATGTTTGTCATCATTGCTGGAAGTGGAGCATAGGAGCAGGTGAATCCACACCTGGGTAAATGGCACTAGGGCTTACTCATGGGCTTATCCATGGAGCAGTTCTCCATGATGTCACAGATCTGGTTTCCACACCTGGGGGCTGGCTGACTGACTCTTTCCTGAGGGATAGATCAGATGTGGGTCCCAGAGAGAAACAAACCTGGCTGCCAACCTGGGGCCCTGTCAGAGCCCCATCCTGCAACCCCACAAATTCCTCCTCCATTCTGCTTGTTCATCACTCTTTCCTCACCTGAAACTCACTCTGAGCCTGAGCACACGTGGATGAGGATGCAGACAAGCCCCTGTGGGAAACGAATGGGGTCGGCAATGAGACTTATGTGCAGTCATCTGTTTCCTGCCTGGGGAATTTTCTAGGCTAGCTTTTGTTCTGGCTAAAGCTCAGCATTACTTTGGGGCTAATTCTTCTGGGATCAGGCTCATCGGGGTAGGGGCACTATTCCTGGGAGCTGGTCTTGGGCTCTCTGGAACCCAGGAAGGTGAAGGCATGCAAGGAAGCTCATAAAAGAGCCAAGATGAGAATCCAGGGAAGGGAGTGAGCTTCCTGGATGGGTGGAGGGCAAACTGGGACTGAGGTGCCACAGAGGCAATGAGGAAAACAGCGAGGGCCTGGGCTGAAAGCGGATGTCCAGATAGTAGTGTTAGGTATAGGCAAAGGTGGATATGCTGGGGCTGGGGTTGGAATTGAGATTGGGATCATCCTTACTAAAGGTTTGGCTTCTGTTTGCTGTGGCTTTGAAGCAGGCACAAGGAGAGTGGATGGGAGAGTGTCAGAGGATCTGAAATGGGGACTACGATTGAAGCTTGAAGCCCCTGTGAGCCTCTGGGAGGTTCTTTTATTGACCACAGCAAGATTGCAGAGTTCCCACTCCCAAATCTCTCCAGTGAGAACCAGATTGGACATGAGGACATGCCCTTGGCTGAAGGAGAGGAGCTGAGATGGTTTTAGGAGTACGATTGGGTGAACATAATTCATGCTTACTTGCTCTTAAATGTTTTCATTCCTCAACTTTAAATTTAAATGGTTGATATAGGTTGAATGTCCTCTCCAAATCTCATGTTGAAATATAATCACCAGTATTGGAGGTGGGGCCTGGCAGGAGGTGTTTGGGTCATGGGGAAGATCCCTCATAGCTTGGTGCTGTCCTCACAATAGTGGGTTCTTGCAAGATCTGGTCATTTAAAAATGTGTGACACTTCCTCTCAGTCTCATTCCCACTCTAGCCATGTGACATGCTTGCTCCTGCTTCACATTCTGCCATGAGTAACAGGTCACTGAGGCCTCACCAGAAGCCAACCAGATGCCAGCACCATGCTTCCTATATAGCCTGAAGAAGCATGAGCCAAATAAGCGTCTTTTCTCTGTAAATTACCTAGCCTTGGGTATTTCCTTATAGCAATGCAAAAGTGGCTTAATACACTGGTCCCTGAAGAAGTATTGGTACTTCTTTGGCTTTGAGTCTGCAGGAAAGTAGAGAGAGCTTTCATGGATGCTGGGAGTTGGGTGTTCCTAGTTATGGTTGCCAGTTTAGCAAATAAAAACATAAGAATGCCCACTTAAATTTGACATTCAGATAATTTAAACATTTTAGTATGTTTTGGGTAACACTTGGGACATACTTACACTAAATATTTCTTTGTTGCTCATCTGAAATTCAAACTTAACTAGAAGTCTTGTATTTTATCTGGCAGCTGGATTCCTTGATATATGGTGTCAAGATGTTTAAAGATCTTTGGCATCAGGCTTTCAAGAAGATGGTAGGTGCTGGCTCCCTGTGGCTTTACAAGCTCACGCTTCACCAGAAATCAAGAGAAAAAATCACCTGGCTGAGAGGGCCATGCTGAGCTAAGTTCCACTTTCAGCCTTAAGGGTCTCTCAGGGGCTACTTTGATGGGATTCTTTGGTTCTCACTTACTTTGCTTCATGGCCGTTTTGACATTCAAACCCACATACCCTCTGCCTGCTCCCAGGATTTTTTTCCAAACTCCTAGCAACTGGTTCCTGGCTGCTTCCATGGATCTTCTGACACATCACATTTTACCCTCTAGAGAGCAGCCCTGAGAAATATATCAATATAGGGCAAGAACTGGAGAGAAACAGATTCTACAGAAAATCCCCTAAGTGAGAAAGAGGCGTAATCATTGTGCTCCACATTTCTGTGGACAATATCCTGGGGCTAAGGCCCGGATTGGAATCTGACTCATTCTTTCTTGGAAAGGCTTTCAGCACATTTGCTTAATATCTGCAGAGGGATCTGTAGCAGCACCCAATAAATAAATGCCAGCCAGGCGCGGTGGCTCAGGCCTGTAATCCTAGCACTTTGGGAGGCCAAGGCAGGCAGATCACAAGGTCAAGAGATTGAGACCAGCCTGGCCAACACGTTGAAACCCCGTCTCTACTAAAAATACAAAAATTAGCTGGGCATGGTGCCATGCACCTGTATTTCCAGCTACTTGGGAGAATCACTTGAACACAGGACGCAGAGGTTGCAGTGAGTGAGATCACGCCGCTGCACTCCAGCCTGGGCGACAGAGCGAGACTCCCTCTCAAAAAAGAAAAGAAAAGAAAAGAAAAGAAAAGCTTCTGCACAGCAAAGGAAACAATCAATGAAGTGAAGAGACAACACACAGAATAAGAAAAATATTTGCAAACCCATATGATGAAAAATTAGTAAAAAAAGAAAAGAAAAGAAAAATTAGTAACCACAATACCTAAGGAGCTCAAACAACTCTATAGGAAAAAAATATAATAATCTGATCAAAAGAATCGGTGAAAGATCTGAATAGACATATATCAAAAGAAGACATACAAATGGCAAACAGGCATATGAAAAGGTGTTCAATATCATTGATCTTCAGAGAAATGCTAATCAAAACTGCAATGAGATATCATCTCACCCCAGTTAAAATGGTTTATATCCTTAAGACAGGCAATAACAAGTGCTGGCAGGGATGTGGAGAAAAGGGAACCCTCATACACTGTTGGTAGGAATGTAAATTAATGCAACCTCTGTGGAAAACGGTTTGAAGATTCCTCAAAAAACTAAAAATAGAGCTACCATATGATCCTACTGCTGGATATATACCCAAAAGAAAGGAAGTTAATATATTGAAGAGATACCTGCACTTCCATATTTGTTGTAGCACTGTTCATAATAGCCAAAATTTGGAAACAACCTAAGTATCTATGGGGTACTTACACAAAATGGAGTACTATTTAGTCATAAAAAGGAATGAGATCCTGCCATTTGCAACAACATGGATAGAACTGGCGGTCATACCAAGTGAAATAAGCCAGACACAGAAAGACAAACATCACCTGTTCTCACTTATTTGTGGGATCTAAAAATCAAAACAATTGAACTCATGGAGATAGAGATTAGAAGGATGGTTACTGGAGGCTGGAAAGGGTATGGGTAGGGGGCGTGGTTAATGGGAAAGTGTATTGAGGGTAGGAGGGATGGTTAATGGGTACAAAAATATAATAAATGAATAAGATCTAGTATTTGATAGCATAGCAGAGTGACTATAGTCAATAATAATTTAATTCTACATTTTTAAATAACCAAGAGTGTAATTGGATTATTTGTAACACAAAGGATAAATGCTTGAGGAGATGGAAACCCCACTTACATGATTATTATGCATTGCATGCTTGTATTAAAACATCTCATGTACCCCATAAATATATACACCTACTATGTACCCACAAATATTAAAATTAAGAATAAATATTTTGGCTTTTCTAGGTCCTGTAACAAGAATCAGCATGTAAACTTCCAGGAAGAAAAAAGCTGTTGGAATTTTTTTTTTTTTTTCAGGTGGAGTCTCGTTCTGTCACCCAGGCTGGAGTACAGTGGTGCTATCTTGGCTCACTGCAACTTCCGCCTCCCGGGTTCAAGCGATTCTCCTGTCTCAGCCTCCCAAGTAGCTGGGATTACAGGCACGTGCCACTATGCCTGCCTACAGACTTTGATTTTGATTGCACCAAATCTATACCTCATTTAAGGAGAATCACTTATTAAAGATATTAAGAAATCCAATCCATGAGCATGGAATAGCTCTGTTTATTTCAAAATTCTTGAATTTATTGCAGCAATGTTTTGTAACTGTCAGTGTTAAGATCTTGTACACTTTTATTAGATTTATTCCCAAGTATGGGTCTTTCCTGACCCATCTTATTTAATTGAATTTGGTTTACTTCCACTCAGTGCCTCAATTTGGCTATTGATGTTGAAGTCAATAAATATGGAGCATCTCCTCTGCGCAGGGCTCTGTGCTAGATGCAGAGTGTATGGCAAGACATTTCTATTGTAGTGCAGGACATGAAATGGACATTGAAAGGATAATTATTGAAATACCATCTCTTTTAAAGTGCATGTAGGGAAAGTAAAGATTTCAAATGGGAGTTGATAAAAGGGAACCTTGACAAAATCTGGGGAGTGAGTGAGTGAATGCTTCTGAGGAAGTGCTCTTTGAACTGAGTTAGTGATGACATAAAAGAGGACAGAGGGATCGTGTATGTGTGTGTGTGTGTGTGTGTGTGTGTGTGTGCATGCGTGTGTGTTCTAAATGTTCTTTTGAATAGAGAAAAGGGAGGCTTTGGTGATAGCTCTGGAGGGCATCTGTAATGATTGCAATGAATTTAAATAATAGAGTAAGTGCCCCATCACTCCGTGCCAATTCAGGGTTTATATTCACTTTGCTGAACTACTAGCTCCAAGCTCTTTCTACCACAATAAAAATAATCATACATGAGTAAAGGTCGTTCTTAATTAAAGGCAAGGACGCTTGACCGAACTTGGGTTCAAGGCCCATCTTAGGCAGATTAGAATCCTTCCTAAGACTTAAGAGGATGGAGGCCCCTCTCAGTAAAGTCCCTCTCTATGTGCTAAGAACAGGTTTGGCACTACAGGATGTTAAGTGCTATTCTCTTTGGATTAATCTGCCTTGCACTCTTTGCTGATGGCTGTGGGTGACAGGATTAGGCATGTACAGGATCATGGGACAATAGGACATGGGGAACTTTTCTTCTCCCCAAAGGGGGAAACTTGAGAGCTGATGGGACTGCTGGAAAAGATTCCTTCGCAACCAAGAAGGGGCGGCCTAAACTTTTGATTCAGTGTGGCTGCAATGGGTGAGTCTTTCTCTGGCCTCCCTGAGTTCTTTGCCTTCCCTACCCTGCCACAGGCAATGCTTTTCTCCCTTTCTCTCCTTTCTCTTTTCTCTCTTTTCTGTTACTCAGGACAACTGTCTGCTCCTTCATCTTGCCCAGAGACCACATGTTGAAAGATGTCCTTGGGAGCTTAACCTTGTAACGATGTGGCAGTACTTTCTCCTGGCTCTACCTTCCAGGGAACATGAATTTAGGGGTTCATATCACAGTTAACTCTAAAAACTATCTTGAGCACTTAAAAGCCTGTGCAAGCTCAAAATTGGCTGCTCTAGGCTCCTTCTGGGAAAAGCAGCAGAAACTGCTCAGTGCTGTAGCTCAGTAGGTAAGGCTGTGCCATTCTCCAATGGTGTCCTGGGTTCAATCCTGGCTTAGGGAATCAGTGCTTTCTGGTTTATATCTGTGTGACCTTCATCATTTGTTGATTCTTTTCCCCTCCACCAACCATCTTGAATTTTCCTTTCTCGGAGCATTTGGAAGGTTTTCCTTTGGTAAAGTTCAAAAGCCAGAAATATTGGCAGTTTGGCCTGGCTAAAGTTGGGTAATAAGAAATTTTAAAGGATTTTTTAAGAGCACTATGGTTAAAAGTCAGCTTTTTCAAGCTCTAGCATCATGGAACTCCTTGGGAAAAACAGGAAGTGCTACAGACCACGTTTTGGGAAAAACCTGTTTTCCTCATGAAACCCTAGGAATTAAAAGTGGATAGATTCCTCTCAAAATCGAAGACTCTGTTCTGTTTCGCATTGTGTTATGTGATGGTTTTGATTTGGGGGAATATCAGAAATTACTTTGCATTATGAGAGAACTCTGGTGTGTAATAACTAGATAGGAAATATACTTTGGTAAATAACTAATGGCAGTGGTTTGGGAATATATGGCGCTTTGCTTTTTCTTGGAACAGAAAAGCATGCTCTTGACCACCTAAAAAGTATGGAAATGCCCTTTCCCCCCACCCAGACATAAGACTCCTATGGGGGATGGGTTAATCACAGAATGGGCTGATTGACTTTGGGTTGCCTAGCAATTAAATGCATGGTAAAATTATTGTACTGTCTTGTTCTATAGCATTTCTTTTGGGGATCCAGGACCTGGTGTAAAAATGAGGCCCTTAATTTTTGGGGATCTGTTTTTGCCTTCCAGCTGTGCCTGCTTGTTAGGCTGTAGAAACTGCATGCTTTCCTGGCCCTGTTCCTCCAAAGGCTCCACCCTGCCAGTAATCCAATTAACAAACTGGCAAATGAACAATCTTACAACTACTGGATCTTCTTCTGTCTGTCTGTGTATTTACATGTGTTGTGTGTAATGTTTATATAAAAGAGCTTTAATTAATTGGTTTAAAAATAATAAGAGCTTATATCAAATATTTTCTCAGAAAAACAAAAACTATAATGCCTTTTAGTTCATGTGACTTATGTAATCTTCAGGAAAAAAAGTTTTACATGCAAGGTGTGTAAAAAAGTGAAATGTGTTTTTGGTAAAAGATTATAAGAAGGCATGGGAATGTGGATTGTTTTTGCCTAGATTAAAGGGTTGAAGGATTGTTTTAAGTTTTAAGATAGAATAAAGCTGAAGGTTTAAGCAAGTTATGAAAGGTTTGTGAAAAATTGATCTTGTGAAAGAAATTCTGTGTATGAACATGTTGGCTAAAGTTAAAGGGGTATTACTCAGTTTTTTCCATGAATTGAACATTGGAATAAAAGTACAAAAGGTTTATCTTAGAGCACTGATCTGCTTTTTAAAGAAAATCTGTTAAGGGTTAATAAAAAGTTTACGAGAATCTTACCTTATGGTCAAACTGATTAAGGTTAAATAGATTTGTCTATAAAATTTTATTAAGAATTAGGTTTAACATTAATAGTACACTAATGCAAAGGTGGCATTTGGCTTATTTGATACAAAAATCATACAAGAAACACTGTCAAATATGAAATGATGTTTGGCTTTCTTTGGGCTGTATTTGTGTAAATATGTATTGGTATGTGTTCCCAAATCATGAGAAACTCTTATTATTCTAATATAACTTAGTGTACATTATCAGTAATAATTACAATTGTTATGTTAAATTATTGTGTGCCACAAGGTAACCAAATATCTTTGTCAATCGTATCTTTGACTATGGCTGTCCTAAGACTTTATGTCATCCACAGATCATTGCTTTCTTGTTTTAATCCTCTTCAAAAGGTGGTTTGTAATCAGCTATAGGACTCTAGCAGATATTCTTAAATGCAGGTTTTCTGATAACTTTGGAGATTGTGACATTAGAATACAGGAAAAAACTTTCAGGACTCTCATGGAGAGCTGAAATGTTCATGAATATCAAACAGAACAGAAGTTATCTGTATGGACTGAACTAATAGAGGACTGAGGTGATCTTTTTCGGCTTTTTGCTTAAAATGTTGCGGATCCTTTGTTTTGTTTTTCAGAGTCAAGGAAACTTTTCTTTTGAGCTACTGACAGCTTAACTCCTGTGAACAAAATTTGGAGCATATTTGTTTCTCTCTGCCTGATTTCTCCAAAATTTGGAAACTATTTGTGAGTATTCTTAACTTATAGCAATATAGTTATTTGCATAAGTACAATAAGGATCTGTTTTCTTTTGCAAACAGACACAATTGGAGAAACTGGTGATTTTACCAAAGCTTTGATTGGAATGGTATGTTTTCCTTTAAGGAATCAAACTTGACTTATAAAGCCAATAAAAGCCCCTTGGGAAACCTGGCCTCATGCCTTGTCTACACAGTCCCTGTACAGGGTTCCCGACCTGTGGTAAGTAAAGAATGTCACTTTCTGATTGGCCCAGGAGCCCCAGGTTATCTTGGGACCTCAAGAGGAGAGGAATTTACCCAACTCAGGTATTTGAGGGTGCAAACTCACGGCTGGGCTCAGCTTTTAAAAAGTCTTATCTGAGATTCATTTTATGAAACACAGTTCCATCAAAGTCAATTTTAAAAGCCTCTGTGAAAAATAATTATTATTGCTGCACTTTATACAAATAATTAGGCCAAGTATAATAAAGCAAATTGGTTTTGCCATGATTTGTCTTTAGTAAAAAATGGGAGACTGGAGAGAGAAAAATTATGTTTCAAGAACTATGGTACACCTGTTATTAGATTCTAATCTCATCAGTTGTTTTTGAGGGTTTTCTTCTGCAATTTAGACTGACTGCTTATTCCTGTGAGCCAACCAGTGATCTCTGGTTGCAGTTCAGAATAAACAAGACAGATACCACCTTTTGTCAGAACTCGGAGTTACAAGTGACCCTCACCATAATTATGCTTTCTGAGCTCCTCTCTACCCTGAATACAAGAGACCCTAACAGTTAGGCAGGAAAGCATTGCCCCTATTCAGCCTGAAGAAGTTACAGAATATGGATCTTCATCCTTCCACAACCCTTAGGATTAAGAGTTGCCTTGTAAAAGGGAGGGGGGAAATGTCAGAGACATTTGAATCAGAACAACTCCACCTTGAATAGGGTCTGGGTAAAACAAGGCTGAGAACTGCTGGGTTGCATTCCCAGATGGTTAAGGCATTCTAACTCACCGGATGAGATAGGAGGTCAGAACAAGATACAGCTTATAAAGACCTTGCCGATAAAACAGGTTGTAGTAAGAAAAGCCGGCCAAAACCAAGATAGCAACAAAAGTGACTTCTAATTGTCCTCACTGCTCATTATATGCTAATTACAGTGCATTAGCATGCTAAAAGACACTCCTACCCACACCAAAACAGTTTACAAATTCCATAGCAACATCAGAAAATTACCCTATATAGTCTAAAAAGGGGAGGAACCCCCAGTTCTGGGAATTGCCCACTCTTCCTGGAAAATTCATGAATAATCCACCCCTTGTGATATGATTTGGCTGTGTGTAGCCTAGGGACTTGATATCCTGCATCCCAGTTGCTCTAGCCATGGATAAAAGGGGCCAAGGTACAGCTGGGGCCATGGCTTGAAAGGGTGCAAGCTCCAAGCCTAGGCAGCATCCACATGGTGTTGAGCCTGCGGGTGCACAGAGGTCAAGAATTGAGGTTTGGGAACCTCCGCCTAGATTTCAGAGGATGTAGAGAAATGCCTGGATGTCCAGTCAGAAGTTTGCTTCAGGAACAGCGCCCTCATGGAGAACCTTTGCTAGGGCAATGAAGAAGGGAAATGTGGGCTTGAAACCCCACACAGAGTCCCCACTGAGGCACCGCCTAGTGGGGCTGTGAGGAGAGGGCCAGCGTCCTCCAGACCCCAGAATGGTAGATCCACCAACAGCTTACACTGTGCACCTGGAAGAGCCATAGACACTCAACACCAGGAGTGAAAGCAGCCACAAAGACACAGAGGCAGAGCTGCCCAAGACCATGGGAACCCACCTCTTGCAGCATAACTTGGATGTGAGAAATGGTGTCCATGGAGATAATTTCAGAGCTTTAAGATTTGGCTGCCCTGCTGGATTTCTAACTTGCATGGGGCCTGTAGCCCCTCCATCTTGGCCAGTCTGTCACATTTGGAATGGGTGTATTTACCCGATACCTGTACCCCCATTGTATCTGGGAAGTAACTAAGTTGCTTTTGATTTTACAGGCTCCTAGGTGGAAGGAACTCACCTTGTCTTAAATGAGACTTTGGACTATGGACTTTTAAGTTTATGCTGAAATGAGTTAAGAATTTGGGGGACTGTGGGGAAGGTATGATTGGTTTTAAAATGTGAGAACATGAAATTTGGGAGGGGTTGGGGGCAGAATGATATGGTTTGGCTGTGTCCCTACCCAAATCTCATCTTGAATTGTAGCTCCCATAATTCCCGCCTGTCATGGGAGGGATGCAGTGGGAGGTAATTAAATCATGGGGACGGGTCTTTCCCATGCTGTTCTCATGGTAGTGAATAAATCTCAAGAGTTCTGATGGTTTTATAAATGAGAGTTCCCTTGCACAAGCTCTCTCTTTGCCTGCCACTATGTAAGATGTGGCTTTGCTCCTCCTTGCCTTCCTCCATGATTGTGAGGCCTCCTCAACCAGGTGAAACTGTGAGTCAATTAAACCTCTTTCCTCTATCAATTACCCAGTCTTGAGTGTGTCTTTATTGGCAGCATGAGAGCAGACTAGTATACTTTGTTTATCTTATAATCAAGAAATAACCATAAAAATGGGCAACCAGCAGCCCTTAGGGCTGCTCTGCCTATGGAGTAGCCATTCTTTTATTCCTTCACTTTCTTAATAAACTTGCTTTCACTTTAAAAAATAATAATTATTATTATACATGAATGTTAGCACGGCTGATTTATGGGGAACTAAAATCGTATCCATTGATGTTTCTGGATACAAAAAGTTTCAAATTCCCCTTCACAGCCAACTCAAATCCAGTTATAAACCACAGCTATATTTTGGTGTATTCTTTCCTCAGCCCTGAGGAAAAATGTGGTTAATATTTTTACTCTAAAAATGAGCCTCTCTTGCCCTCTCTAGACTCCTAAGCTTAAGAGTCCACTACCTCCCTGCCCCACAAGAAAAAAACATAAGAAAATAGTAGAAGAAGTATTTCTTATTTTCTATATTTAAGTCTCAAGGTTTTTAATATGTTGAGACTGATTCTTTAACATTTTTAATGGGTACTTATTACTACATAAGTTGAAAGAAAAGTCAAAGTTCTCATATTCAGATGTACTTTTGGTCATTTGTATCAAATCCTTGGAGATCTTCACATATTTTCAAATTTTTCTACCTTATTGTCCAGAAAGGAAGAAAATAACAGCCTTTGGGACTCTGAAGCCTAAGACAAAGAGGGTGCACATGATCAAAAGTGAGTGACTGGGGTGTATAGGGAGAGAAGAGGGTCAGGTCAAAGGTTTCAGGAATTTGTGTCCTCCTTCGGTGAGATCCTACAGGGAGTCTTATGCAAGGAATATGCTGGAGGAATAGCAAGTTGAGAAATGACGTAATGGGCTCCATTTCTGTCTTCTGTGGCTGGGTAGATGTAAAAAGAATTCCAGCTCAAAGGGAGGACTTGCCTGGACGGGCTTGCAGCCCTAAGTGGAAATATTTCATTGCCTTTGATTCCTGACTCCTCCTCGTCTCTCTGTGTATCCATTGTGTATTCATGGGCTGGCAAGCATCCAACAATTCTTGACCACCAGACCTCACCCATGTCAGTATTTTTCCAATTCATCAGGAGGCATCTCCAGAATGTCACAGCAGACACTAAAACTCCAGGGGATCCCTGGATACATAGGGAGCGAGTGGAGGAGATCCTTGCTGGGGCACATTGATGCAGTACAAGATGGAATTGGAGAATAATTGAAATGCCTCTTAATTCCAGTATGAGCCTCCTGAGGTGAACTTCATATAAGGGACTCTAATTAGCTGTCCAATGGAACTTTCGGCAATGATCAGAATGTTCTGTATCTGAGATGTCTAATGTTGTAACCACTAGACAATATGGCAATTGAGCACATGAGATGTGAACAGTGCAGCTGAGGAACTGAATTTTTCATGTTATTTAATTTCAATTAATCTAAAGTTAAACCACATGGTGTAGCACAGCCTTAGTTTAGTTAATATTCCCTATTACTTCTGCAAGTCCTATTGATTGCATTTGGAAAGTTCAAGGTTGAAAGATGGTGTTACCATTTATGCCACCTTTATATAAAAACTAAATTGGGCTGGGTATGGTGGCTCACGCCTGTAATGCCAGCGCTTTGGAAGGCTGAGGCAGGCCAATCACTTGAGGTCAGGAGTTTGAGATCAGCCTGGCCAACATGGTGAAACCCTGTCTCTACTAAAAATACAAAAATTAGCTGGGCACGGTGGTGGGCACCTGTAATCCTAGCTACTCGGGAGGCTGAGGCGGGAGAATCACTTAAACCCAGCAGGTGGAGCCTGCAGTGAGCCAAGATCATGCCACTGCACTCCAGCCTGGGCAACAGAATGAGTAAGACTTCGTCAAAAAAAAAAATTAAACTGAGCTCTCACAAAACTTTTTGCTGTCAAATTAAATTTTTACCATTCAGCTGTAAAATATTGAGAACAAAGTGTAAATATCTATGATTCTACATTCTGATCTTTCCAAGTATCTCTAAAGCTCTCTTTCCACTTATAAGGACCAGAACTGAAGGATGCAATTAATGATGTAGTTTTTTTTCAATATAGGTAAACACTAATAAGCAAATTCAAATGAAGAGCTTTGACCTCATTTCAAAAGATTGGAAAATTTGTGGCCACAATGTTGAATGGAAATATTCTAGTTAAGATGGGTGTGATAAGATCATGGGAGGTATTCAAGATTCAATCCAGCCATGGGAGGCTAACAAAACATGCAATGATAGATCAAAGAAAACACGTTACTGAAGATTAGCCTGGTGGCACACACCTGTCCTGGCTACCCAGGAAGCTGAAGCAGGAGAAACTGTTGAACTCCTGAAGTTAGAGGCCAGCCTGGGCAACACAGTGAGACCCTATCTGGAAAAGAACAGAAAAGAAATGAAATGAAAAGAAAACATATTACTGAGAACAAATCTGCTGTTATCAAATGCCATTCCCAGGAAGGCATGTTACTTTACATGAGGTGCCTTCACAGTCACAGGTGAGAGCCTGGCAGAACTAATTTGATGACCTTTACCAAGTTTTACTTACTGCTCCCATGGTTCATAGGGGACATATACAGCAGTTCTCTTCATTTCCCTTTTGAGAGAAACTGGGTTTCCCTCCTTAGTCACCAAGACACCAAAGATGTCCAAGTTGGCTATAGGCTCTCTTCAAGTGGCCCTATAAATACCCATACTGAAGGATGATAAAGGGATGTATTGATTTGGCAAACACATCAGCAATAGCTCCAGGGCTGATTCCCTCCATTTCAAATTTTGTTCTTGAAGACAGAAGGCCATCTTCCTTTATCTTCCAACTTTGAAGACTATAGATCTTCTATTCCTTTATCTCTAGGCTACTCACTGTTTTCCTCACATTCATCTTCCCTTGGAACCCTCAGGTTCTTACTTTCTCTTTGAGATTACAGAGGCTCAATTTTTTAGGTATTAGGTCCTTGAGGTATTTATGTCTTTGTTTATTCTTTGGTGTGGGCATCATATGAAAAAAAATGGCTTTTGAGGTATTATTGAGAAAGTAGAGATATGAAAGTACACCACAAGAGACCTGAAAAAGCCAAAGCAATCTTGAGTAAAAAGAACAAAGCTGGAAGCATCACACTACCAGACCTCAAAATATACTACGAAGCTGTCGTAACCAAAATAGCATGGCACTGGCATAAAAATAGACACAGAGACCAATGGAACAGAACAGAAAACCTGAAAATTAATCCAAGTATCTATAGCCAACTGATTTTGACAAAGGTGCCAGGAACACTCATTGGGGAAAGGACAGTCTCTTTAATACATACTGCTGGGGAGACTGAATATCCATATGTAGAACAATGAAACTAGACTCCCATGGATCACCCTATACAAAAATAAACTCAAAATGATTCAAAGATTTACATGTAAAACCTGAAACTACAAAACTTATAGTAGAAAACAGGGAAAATGCTTCAGGATATTAGTCTGAGAAAATATCTTATGAATAAAACCTCAAAAGCACAGGCAATGAAAGCAAAAATAAATAAATGGGATTATATCAAAATAAAAAGCTCTGCACAACAAACAACAGAGTGAAAACATGACTTATAGAATGGAAGAATATTTGAAAACTATTCATCTGACTAGGCATTAATATCCAGAATATACAAAAAACTCAAACATCTCAATAGCAAAAACAAACAAGGTGATTTTAAAATGGGCAAATGATCTGAACAGACATTTCTCAAAAGAAGACATAAAAGTGGGCAACAGATATATGAAAAAACTACTCAACATCACTAATCATCAGGGAAATGCAAATTAAAACCATAATGAGGTATCATCTCACCTGAGTTAGGTTAGCTATTATCAAAAAGATAAAAAATAATGCTGGCAAGGATGCAGAGAAAAGGGAACTCTTACACATTGTTGATTAGAATGTAAATTAATACCACCACTATGTAGAACAGTATGGAGGTTCTTTAAAAACTATAAAAACAACCACTATATCATCCAGCAATCCTACTACTGGGCATTTATCACACACAAAAAAGGAAATCAGTATATCTAAGAGACATCTGCACCTCCATGTTTATTGCAGTAGTATTCACAATAACCAAGATATGGAATCAACCTACGTGTCCAACAGCAGACGAATGAATAAAGAAAATATGGTATATAATCCCAGCACTTTGTGGGGCTGAGGTAGGTGGGATCACTCGAGGCCAGGAGTTCCAGACCACCCTGGCCAACATGGTAAAACCCCGGCTCTACTAAAAATACAAAAGTTAGCCAGGCGTGGTGGTGGGTGCCTGTAATCCCAGCTACTCGGGAGAATGAGGCAGGAGAATCACTCGAACCTGGGAGGTGGAGGTTGCAGTGAGCTGAGATCATGCCACTGCACTTCAGCCTGGGTGACACAGTGAGACAACGTCTCAAACAAAACAAAACAAAACAGATCATTTAAATCAGAACCAAGTGAAGTAACACAGATACCCTGGCTATATTGCAGTGTAAGTGACTAATATTCCCCACTTCAAATAATTGTTATTATTAGCCAACCCCAATTATACAACTTGCCTATCCCCAATTATACAGACATGTTGCATAAAGGGTACAGAAACAGATGGGCCTCCGTTGGCATGTTTACTGTCTATGCATACTTTCCACCGAGGGTTCCTCCTGCTTTTTTTTTTTTTTTTTCTTTTCTGACTTCTCCCAAAGCTTTTCAATTCCCACTACTTCGAGCCCTGGGATGTTTGCTGATACAGAGTAGCAAGCATTTCCAAAAAAAAAAAAAAAACGAGATAACATATAAATACCTGTAGAATTCTAGGGAATAAAACATGTAATGTACATTTTAAGTATGTGTTAATAGTTTTCATGTCTGCAAAGCAATTGATATTTCTGCCTTTTTAGGCTGGGATTAATATACTTTTTTTTTTTTTTGACGGAGTTTCACTGTTGTCGCCCAGGCTGGAGTGCAATGGCGCAATCTCGGCTCTCTGCAACCTCCGACTCCTGGGTTCAAGTGATTCTCCTGCCTCAGTCTCCCGAGTAGCTGGGATTACAGGCACATGCCACCACACCCAGCTAATTTTTGTATTTTTAGTAGAGATGGGGTTTCACCATGTTGGCCAGGCTCAGACTTTTTTGATGTAGGTATTTAATGCTACACTGCTTTTGTTGTATCCCAGAGGTTTTGACAGGTTGTGTCACAATTATCATTCAGGTCAAAGAATTTTTCAATTTCTATCTTTAATTGTTGTCCCAATGATCACTCAGGAGCAGGTTATTTAATTTCCATGTATTTGCATGGTTTTGAAGGTTCCTTTTGGAGTTGATTTCCAATTTTATTCCACTGTGGTCTGAGAGAGTATTTGATATAATTTTGATTTTTTTAAATTTATTGAGATCTATTATACCTGTTTTGTGGCCTATCTTATGGTCTAAGCTAATTCTGAACGTTCCCTGTGCTGAATAGAATGTATACCCTGCAGTCGTTGCATAGAATGTTGTGTAAATATCTGTTAAGTCCATTTGTTCTAGGGTATAGCTTAAGTCCATTGTTTCTTTGTTGACCTTCTGCCTTGATGACCTGTCTAGTGCTATCAATGGATTATTGAAGTCCTGCACTATTACTGTGTTGCTGTCTATCTCAGTATTTACATCTAGTACTAATTGTTTTATAAATTTGGGAGCTCCAGTGTTAGGTGCATGTATATTTAGAACTGTGATTTTTTTGTTAGACTAGTTCTTTTATCATTATATAATATCCCTTTTTGTCTTTTTTAACTGCTGTGGCTTTGAAGTTTGTTTTGTCTAATATAAGAATAGCTACTCCTGCTCCCTTTTGGTGTCCATTTGCATGGGATATCTTTTTCCACCCATTTACCTTAAGTTTATGTGAGTCCTTGTGTGTCAGGTGAGTCACTTGAAGACAGCCACGCACTTGGTTGGTGAGCTCTTATGCATTCTGCCATTCTGTGTCTTTTAAGTGGAGCATTTAGGCCACTGACATTTAACATTAGTATTGAGATGTGAGGTACTATTCTCACATCTCAATACTACATGTTCATCATGTGTTATTATTTTTTGGTTTTGTTTTGTTTTGTTTTGTTTTTTGAGACAAAGTCTCACTCCGTCACCCAGGTTGGAGTGCAGCGGCACGATCTCGGCTCACTGCAACCTCTGCCTCCCGGGTGCAAGTGATTCTCCTGTCTCAGCCTCCTGAGTAGCTGGGATTTACAGGTACCTGCCACCACGCCCACCTGATTTTTGTATTTTAGTAGAGACAGGGTTTCACCATGTTGGCCAAGCTGGTCTCAAACTCCTGACCTCAGGTGATCCACCCGCCTTGGCCTCCCAAAGTGCTGGGATTACAGGTGTGAGCCGCTGTGCCCAGCTCATTGTGTTATTGTTTTATAGGTCCTGTAAGATTTGTGCTTTAAGGAGATTCTATTTTGGTGTATTTTGAGGATTTGTTTCAAGATTTAGACCTCCTTTTAGCAGTTCTTGTAGTGCTGGCTTGGTAGTAGTGAATTTTCTCAGCATTTGTTTGCCTGAAAAAGACTGTATCTTTCCTTCATTTATGAGGCTTAGCTTCACTGAATGAAAAATTCTTGGCTGATAATTGCGTTGTTTAAGGAGACTAAAGATAGGACCTCAATCCCTTCTAATTTGTAGGGTTTCTGCTGAGAAATCTGCTATTAATCTGACAGGTTTTCCTTTATAGGTTACCTGATGCTTTTGCCTCACAGGACTTAAGATTCTTTCCTTCATCTTTTCTTTAGATAACCTGGTGACTATGTGCCTGGGTGATGATCTTTTTGTGATGAGTTTCCCAGGTGTCCGTTGAGCTTCTTGTATTTGAACGTCTAAATCTCTAGCAAGGCCAGGGAAGTTTTTCTCAATTATTCCCTCAAATATGTTTTCAAAACTTTTAGATTTCTCTTCTTCCTCCGGACCACCAACTATTCTTAGGTTGGGACGTTTAATATAATCCCAAACTTCTAGGAGACTTTGTTCATTTTTTAAAATTCTTTTTTCTTTGTCTCTGTTGGATTGGGTTAGTTTGAAAGCCTTGTCTTCAAGCTCTGAGGTTCTTTCTTCTACTTGTTTGATTCTATCGCTGAGACTTTCCAGTGCATTTTGCATTTCTCTAAGTTTGTCCTGGATTTCAAGAAGCTGTGATTGTTTTTTATTTATGATATCTATTTCACTGGAGATTTTTCCATTCATATCCTGTATCTTTTTTTATTTCTTTAAGTTGGACTTCACCTTTCTCTGGTGCCTCCTTGGTTGGCTTCATAATCGATCTTCTGAATTCTTTTTCTGGCAATTCAGAGATTTCATCTTGGTTTGGATCCATTGCTGGTGAGCTAGTGTGATCTTTCGGGGGTGTTAAAGAGGTTTGTTTTATCATATTTACCAAAATTATTTTTCTGTTCCTTTCTCGTTTGGGCAGACTATGTCAGAGGGAAGATCTGAGGCTGAAGGGCTGATGTTCAGATTCTTTTGTCCCAGAGGGGTGCTTCCTTGATGTGGTCCTCTCCCCTTTCCCCTAGGGATGGGGCTTCCTGAGAGCTGAACTGCAGTGATTGTTATTTCTCTTCTGGATCCAGCCACTCAGTGGAGCTACAGGACTCCAGGCTGGTACTGGGGAGTGTCTGCGAAGAGTCCCATGATGTGATCCGTCTTTAGGTCTCTCAACCGTGGATACCAGCACCTACCCTGGTGGAGGTAGCAGGGGAGTGAAGTGGACTCTGTGAGGGTCCTTGGCTGTATGTGTGTTAAGTGCACTGGTTTGTGTTGGTTGGCCTCCAGCCAGGAGGTGGCGCTTTTAAGAGCGCGTCAGCTGTGGTTGTGTGGGGAGGATACAAACTTGCCCTAGGGTCACCTTTGAATGAGTATTCAGGTTTCTCAGGTGATGGGCAGGGCTATAGAGCTCCCAAGAGACTGTGTCCTTTGTCTTCTGCTCCCAGGGCCGATAGAGAAAATCAGGTGGGGGCAGCATTAGGCATGTCTGAGCTCAGAATCTCCTTGGCGGGGACTTGCTGTGGCTGCTATAGGGGATGGGGGTGTGGTTCCCAGGACAATGGAGTTATGTTCCCAGGGGAATTATGGCTATCTCTGCTGCATCACATAGGTCACCAGGGAAGTGAGGGAAAACCAGCAATCACAGACCTCACCCAGCTCCCATGCAGCCCACAACCCAAAAGGCCAGTCTCACTCCCACTATGCCCCCCTAACAGCACCAAGTTTATTTCCAGGCAGCCAGTGAGCAGGACTGAGAACTTGCCCCAGGCTACAAGCCTCCCAGCTGAGAAAGCAAGCAAACTCACAGTTTCTTGATTGTCCCACATAATCTGCAGCAGCAATCCACCTCCTTTAAAGGGTCTCTGGATTCTCTCAGCTTTCCTGGTATGTTCCTGTGGTTGTTCTTGGAGAAAAATTTCATGATGTGGGTCTCCACATGCTTCTCTGTCCCTCCAAGTGGGAGCTGCAAGTTAGTCCTGCCTCCTATCTGTCATCTTTTTGTACAGAGAGATTCCCAGCCATGGCCATCAGAGACCAGGAGGCATTGATCAACCTATGTGTCTGTTCTTATACCAGTACCATGCTGTTTTGGTTACTGTAGCCTTGTAGGATAGTTTGAAGTGAGGTAATGTGATGCCTCTGGCTTTGTTCTTTTTTGCTTAGGATTGTCTTGGCTATTTGGGCTCTTTTTTGGTTCCATATGAATTTTAAAATAGTTTTTTCTAATTATGTGAAGAATGTCAATAGTAGTTTAATGGGAATAGCATTGAATCTATAAGTTACTTTGAGCAGTATGGCCATTTTCACAGTATTCATTCTTCACATCCATGAGCATAGAGTGTTTTTCCATTTATTTGTGTCCTATCTGATTTTTTTTGAGCAGTGATTTGTAGTTCTCCTTGAAGAGGTCCTTCACTTTCCTTGTTAGCTGTATTCTTAGGTATTTTATTCTTTTTGTAGCAATTGTGAATGAGAGTTCATTCGTGATTTGGCTCTCTGCTTGCCTGTTGTTGGTGTATAGGAATGCTAGCAATTTTTGCTCATTGATTTGGTATCCTGAGACTGCTGAAGTTGCTTATCACCTTAAGAAGCTTTTGGGCTGAGATGATGAGGTTTTTCTAGATATAGGATTATGTATCTGCAAACAAGATAATTTGACTTCCTCTCTTCCTATTTGAATACGCTTTATTTCTTTCTCTAGCCTAATTGCCCTGGCCAGAACTTCCAATACTATGTTGAATAGGAGTGGTGAGAGAGGGCATTTTTGTCTTGTGCCAGTTTTCAAGGGGAATGCTTCAAGCTTTTACCCATTCAGTATGATATTGGCTGTGAGTTTGTCATATATGGCTTCTATTATTTTGAGGTACGGTCCTTCAATACTTAGTTTATTGAGAGTTTTTAACATAAAGGGATGTTTAAATTTTATCAAAAGCCTTTTCTGCATCTATTGAGATAATCATGTGTGTTTTGTTTTTAGTTCTGTTTATACGATGAATCACATTTGTTGCTTTGCGTATGTTGAACCAACCTTGCATCCCAGGGATGAAGCCAATGTGGTCATGGTGGATAAGCTTTTTGCTGTGCTGCTGGATTTGGTTTGCCAGTATTTTACTGAGGTTTTTTGCATTGATGTTCATCAAGGATATTGGCCTGAAGTTTTCTTATTTTGTTGTATCTCTGCCAGGTTTTGGTATCAGGATGATGCTGGGCTCATAGGATGAATTAGGGAGGAATCCCTCACTTTCAATTTTTTGGAATAGTTTCCGTAGAAATTGTACCAGATCTTTGTACTTCTGGTAGAATTCAGCTGTGAATGCTTCCAACTTTGGGCTTTTTTTGGTTGGTAGGCTATTTATTACCCCCCAATTTCGGAAATCATAATTGGTCTATTCAGGGATTCAGTTTCTTCTTGGTTTAGTCTTGGGAGGGTGTATGTGTCTAGGGATGTATCCATTTCTTCTAGATTTTCTAGTTTATGTGCATAAAGGTGTTTATAGTATTCTGTGATGTTTGTTTATATTTCCGTGGGGTCAGTGGTAATATCTCCCTTGTCATTTCTGATTATGTTTATTTGATTATTCTCTCTTTTCTTCTTCATTAGTCTGGCTAGCAGTCTATCTATTTTATAAATTTTTTCAAAAAAACAGCTCCTGGATTCATTAATTTTTTGAAGGGCTTTTTGTGTTTCTATCTCCTTCAGTTATTGCTTATTTCTGTTAACCAATAACTTATCTTGGTTATTTCTTGTTTTCTGCTAGCTTTGGGGTTGGTTTGCTCTTGGTTCTCTAGTTCTTTTAGTTGAGATGTTAGGTTGTTAACTTGAGATCTTTCTAGCTTTCTGATGTGGGTTATTTATTGCTATAAATTTCCCTCTTAACACCACTTGAGCTGTGTCCCAGAGAATCGGGTACATTGTCTCTTAGTTCTCATTAGTTTCAAGAATTTCTTGCTTTCTGCCTTGATTTCATTATTTACCCAAGAGTTATTCAGGAGCAGATTGTTCAGTTTCCATGTAGTTGTGTGGTTTTGAGTGAATTTTTAAATCTTGATTTCTAATTTGTTGTGCTGTGGTCTGAGAGACTGTTTGTTATGACTTCAGTTCTTTTGCTTTTGCGAGGAGTGTTTTACTTCTGATTTTGTGATCAATTTTAGAGTGAGTGCCATGTGGCAATGAGAAGAATGTATATTCTGTTGTTTGGGGTAGAGAGTTCTGTAGATATCTATCAGGTCCACTTGATCCAGAGCTGAGTTCAGGTCCTGAATATCTTTGTTAATTTTCTGTCTCGATGATCTAATATTGACAGTGGGTGTTAAAGTATTCCACTATTGTTGTGTGGGAGTCTTAAGTCTCTTGTAGATCTGTAAGAACTTGCTTTATGAATCTGGGTTCTCCTGTATTGGATGCATATATATTTAGGATACTTAGCTCTTCTTGTCCAATTGATCCCTTTACCATTATGTAACACCCTTCTTTGTCTTTCTGGATTTTTGTTGGTTTAAAGTCTGTTTGGTCAGAAACTAGGGTTGCAACCCATGCTTTTTTCTGTTTTCCATTTCCTTGATAAATTTCTCCTCCATCCCTTTATTTTGAGCCTATGTGTGTCCCACATGTGAGATGGGTCTCTCGAAGACAGTATATCAATGGGTCTTGGCTCTTTATCCAACTTGCCATTCTGTGTCTTTTAATTCAGGAATTTAGCCCACTTACATTTAAGGTTAGTATTGTTATGTGTGAATTTGTTCCTGTCATCATGATGCTAGCTGGTTATTTTACAGACTTGTTTTGTTGGTTGCTTCATAGTGTTACTTGTCTGTGTATTTCAGTGTGTTTTTGTAGTGGCTGGTAAAGGTTTTCCCTTTCCATATTTATTGCTTCCTTCAGGAGCTCTTGCAAGGCAGGCTTGGTGGTGACGAATTCCCACAGCATTTGCTTGTCTGAAAAGGACCTTATTTCTCCACTTATGAAGCTTAGTTTGGCTGGATATGAAATCCTGGGTTGGAAATTCTTTTAAGAATGTTGAATATTGGCCCCCAATCTCTTCTGGCTTGTAGGATTTCCACTGAGAGGTCCGCTGGTAGTCTGATGGGCTTTTCTTTGTAGGTTACCTGGCCTTTCTCTCTGGCTGCCCTTAACATTTTTTCTTTCATTTCGACAATGAAGAATCTGCTGATTATATGTCTTGGGGTAAATCTTCTTATGGAGTATCTCACTGGGGTTCTCTGTATTTACTGAATTTGAATGTTGGCCTGTCTTGCAAGTTTGGGGAAGTTCTCCTGGATGATATCCTGGAGTATGTTTTCCAACTTGGTTCCAATTTCCCTGTCTCTTTCAGGTACCCCAATCAGTCATAGATTCTGTCTCTTTACATATTTCTCAGAGGTTTTGTTCAGTTCTTTTTGTTCTTTTTTCTCTATTCTTGTCTGCCTGTATAATTTCAGAAGGACGGTCTTTAAGCTCTGAAATTCTTTCCTCTGCTTGAACTATTCTGTAACTGATACTTATGATTGCATTGTGAAGTTCTTGTGTTTTCCAGTTCCATTGGGTCAGTTATGTTCCTCTCTAAACTGGCTATTCTGTCAGCTCCTGTATAATTTATCATGATTCTTAGCTTATTTGCAATGGGATACAACATCCTCCTTTAGCTCAGTGAAGTTCATTATTACCCATCTTTTTCTTTTTTTTTTTTGAGACAGAGTTTCACTCTTGTCACCCAGGCTGGAGTGCAGTGGCGCGATCTCAGCTCACTGTAACCTCTGCCTCCCGGGTTCAAGCGATTCTCCTGCCTCAGCCTCCTCAGCATCTGGGATTATAGGCATGTGCCACCATGCCCAGCTAACTTTTGTATTTTTAGTAGAGAGGGGGTTTCACCATGTTGGTCAGGCTGGTCTCTAACTCCTGACCTCGTGATCCACCTGCCTCGGCCTCCCAAAGTGCTGGGATTAAAGGTGTGAGCCACTGCGCCTGGCCTATTACCCACCTTCTTAAAACTACTTCTGTTAATTCAGCCATCTCGGTCTCAGCCCAGTTCTGTGCCCTTGCTGGAGAGGTACTGTGGTCATTTGGAAGAGAAGAAGCACTCTGGCTTTTTGAGTTTTCAGCATTTTTGCATTGATTCTTTCTCATCTGTGTGGGTTTACCTTTGATTTTTGAAGTTGCTGACCTTTGAATGAGGTTTCTGTGGGGTCTTTTTTGCTGATGTTGTTGGTGTTTTCTGTTTGTTTTTCTTTTAACAGTCAGGCCACTATTCCACAGGGCTGCTGTGGTGTGCTGGGGGTTTGTTCAAGACCCTGGTTGCCTCCGTTTTTCCCGTACCTGAAGGTGTCACCAGTGAAGGCTGCAAAACAGCAAAGATGGCAGCCTGCTCCTTCCTCTGACCAGTTGTTGACCCAAACGTCCCTGTAGGAGGTGGCTGGAGACCCTTGTTAGGAGGTCTCACCCAGTCAGGAGGAATGGGGTCAGGGAACCACTTAAAGAAGCAGTCTAGCTACAATCTGGCAAGGCAGATGTGCTGTGTTGTGG
Source organism: Homo sapiens (assembly GCF_000001405.40). Lineage (NCBI taxonomy): Eukaryota > Metazoa > Chordata > Mammalia > Primates > Hominidae > Homo > Homo sapiens. The sequence continues at coordinate 46,044,610 of NC_000019.10, read as the reverse complement.
GGAACCCTTCCTCATCTGGACCATTTGTATTCTCCAAAGCTGGCAGGCTAGAATGGCTGAGTCTACTGAACCACAGAGATGGTGACTGCCCCCACGACACCCCCACCCCAGGAACTTGGTCCTGACCCAGGCAGACTCCGGCCTGTTGCTGTTGGCTGGCTGGAATTCCAAGCCACTGGGTCTTAACTTGTGAGGTGCTGTGGAAGTGGGGTCCACAGAATGACACTGCTTGGTTCTCTGGATTCAGCCCCCTTCATAGAAATATGTATGGAGGGATGTCCTCCCTTGCTGCAGATCCCAGGGCCAGAGTACGTAAAACTCCTGGGTCTCTGTGAGTGCCCCTGTGGCCGCTCTGCCAAGACTCCACACAGCTCTGTGTATTGGACCCAAATCTCTGGGCGTGGGCTTATGTGGGGATCTCTTGATCCTAAGGTTGCAAATATCCATGGGAGAAGCATGGTTTCCCAGGCAGGGTTGCACAATCACTCACTGCTTCACTTGGCTGGGGGCAGGAGTCCCCATACCTCCACACTGCTCCTGGGTGGACCATCACCCTACCCTGCATTTCTTCGTTCTCCATGGGTTGAGAGTGACAACCTGTATATTTCAGTTGAAGATGCTGAATTCACTCACTCCTTTCATTCCTCTCTGTGAGTGCGGTGGACCACAGCTGCTTCTAGTCAGCCATCTTGCCCGCTTCCTGATCTATCCATTTTTTAAATGGACAATGTTTTTTGTATCTTTTCCCTAAGTCATAAGGATTTTTTTTATGTTTTCTTCTAGAAAATGTATAGTTTAACTTTTTATATCTAGATCATTTTGGAGTTAAATTTTGTAGGAAGTGTAAGCTTTGGTAGAAGATTTTTTTTTTCATATGCATGCCCATTGTCCCACACCATTTGTTGAAATGACTATCTTTTCCCACATTGAATTGCTTTTGCATCTTTGTCAAAAGTCAATTTGCCATGTTTGTTTGGGTTTATTTCTGAAATCTGTTCTGCTCCATTGATCTATGTATCTCTCCACTTGCCAATACTATACTGTCTTCATTAGTGTAGCTGGAGTAATTGTGAAATTGGGTAGTGTGAGTCCTCCAACATTTTTCATCAACCAAAATTGTTTGGGCCATTCTTGTTTCCACTGCCTTTCCAGATAAATTCTAGAATTATTTTGCTTCTATCTGAGACAAATCCTGCTTGGGTTTTCATTGGAATTGTGTTAAATCTGTAGACAATTTGGAGAGAATTGACATCTTAGCTAAAAAGCCCCATATTCTAAACTATGACATGATATACCACTCTATATTTAGGTTTTCCTTGATTACTTTAATCACTAGTTTATAGTTTTAAGCATATATATCCTCTACATGTTCTCCTAGATTTACAGTATACCTAAGTATTCAATTTCAGTAGGGGGGCATTATAAATGGCATTGTTCCCCTCTAAATTTTTGTTTCCACTTATTCCAGGAGCGAGAAATACAATTGATTTTTGTGTGTTGACTTTGTATTCTACAACCATCTAAATTTACTTATTAGTTCCCGGAGCTTTGGGGGTAGGTTTACGGTAATGGCTCTGCCCTACTGCCCCGGCGACCTCAAACATCTCCACGTGGGCCACGTTGGTGAAATTAACTGTAGCTGATGTATGTCATGGCAGAACACTCTCTGGTCTTCCCAGAACGTGAGGTCATGGGAGGCTTGTGGGAAGCTGCTACAGCATCACTTGTCACTCACTTCCCTATGGATAAGGGAGGCCGCCATGACACAGCTTCTCACTGCCTCTGGCTTCTAGGGAGGGATGAGGCTTTCTACCTCCCTATACCATGGAGCCACAGGCTGGATTCTCTACTCAGCAACAGGCATCCTATTATTCTTGTTCAGTCATCTGGCCCTTTTGTTTCAGTGTCACCCTGTATAAGGGACATGGTGCTGGCACCTGTGGCTCTTTCTTTCCCTGTCTGTGTAAGTAATAAAGTGTCTGAATCTAAAAAGAGCTTGTTTTTGTCACTAACAGAATCTGTCAGACTCACCTCTTGCTTGACAGTGGGTTCCGTGGGATTTTCTACATAGATAGTTCAATTATACAGAGATCAATTCTAGTAATCAGCTTTGGGATTTCCCTCCTTAGTCACTTGTACTCTTCATTGCAGCTTTCCCTTTCAAGTGGTCATAAATTTCTTGGTTGCTGGCTCGGAGTTATAATGCGGTATTCACACTACTTAACTTGATAAACAGGAATGTAGTTCTTATAGGTCTGTTTCCGCAGCAGCTGTTCTGTGTAGGTGAGAGAATGTGTCTTTACAGGTGGGATTTCTGTTTGGATGTGTGGGAAAGGAGAAGGCATATTGATAAGCAGACAAACAGACATATCTATGCAAATACGCAACTGCAGAAATAGGCGAGGAGAGCTAGTTTATTGCATGAAATCAATACCGAAGACTTGGACATCCAGTCAAGAAAGGAGAGGCCAGGCTGGAGTGCAAATAAGCACAACAACAACAAAATCAATGCACTTTGGGAGGCTGGGGCAGGTGGATTGCTTGAGCTCAGGATTCCAAGACCAGAACATTGTAGGACCCTAACTCTATGAAAAATACAAAAAAATTAGCCAGGCCAGGAGGTGCCTGCCTGTAGTCCCAGCTACTCAAGAGGCTGAGGTGGGAGGATGGCTTCAACTTGGGGGGCAAAGGTTACAGTGAGCAAAGATAGCACCACTGCCCTCCAGCCTGGGAGACAGAGAGATACGGTGTCTCAAAAAAAAAAAAAAAAAAAGAGAGAGAGGAGGGAGGAGGAAGAGACTCTAGAGAGTCTATACTAACAATGCACTTTTACAAAGCTCTAATACCTGTGCCTTATCCTTCTTTCACCCTCCCACCCTTCTCACTGTGACACAGGGAAGAAACCAGTGGAAAATGGAGGGGCATGCTCTAAAAATACGCCACATGTAATCCCATCACACAGTGAGACACACAGGAGCATTTTCTTGGACAAGGCACTCCACAAACCAAAAAAAAAAAAAAGGTGCTGCTTTCCTATCTGGAATCCCAGAGATCCATCCTACCACCGCCTATTTTTGTTGTTGTTGTTCTCCCTGGCACAGTTTTGCAGCCCCTGCTGTTCTTCTAGATTATGCTGCAACTTCACAAATTCTCCTACGTGACTCTGAAAAATTATAGACAGTGCAGGTCTGCAGGTGAACTGAGACGGGGAGTAGAGGGACTCCTTGAAACTTCAGGGTGGAGGAATATGGGGAGCCTAGAGACAGCCGGTGTTTGGTGAGTAATTTGATCTTAGATAAGCAAGAGTTAAGGAATATCTTCCAAGTGGTTTTCCCTTGGGCGGTGTTCAAAGAAAGACACTCAGCAGAGTCAAAGCTTAGATAGGTTCCTGGGTAGCCTTTACCCTGAGGATCTGAAGGGTCTGAGGAGGCAGCAACCACTTGGAACAGGTCCAGAAGCATCTCATTAAGCTTTTGATGAATTATTTATGTTCCCTGCAGCTCTTTTTGCCTAACTCTTCCCAAGAAACCACTCCTTCTGCACACCTCCCTAAATGGCGGTAAGTTCATATCCTATATAAGCCCCTATGTAAAGTCACTGACCCATTTCCACTGCTGCTCCCTCGTCCGCTGCTCTGAAGCCTAACCCATGGTGCCCAGAATTTCTGGTAAGGAGACCCCAGCCCTAGGCTAAGCTAATCCCTAATGATATCACATCCCTAATTATTTCTGAACTTCAAAGTTAATTCTCTCTTCCCTATTTAATTATTGGTGTCCCACCTCATAATCACTGCTATGTCATCTGTGACTGCATTGTAATCTGTCTCCTGAACTGCAAATTCCAGAAGCTTAACTTTTCCCAGAGCCCTCCCTGCCTTTCCTCACCTGCCAAGCCCAGTCCCCAGGACCTGCACCCACAGCCAGTCCCAAAATCCACTCTGAGCTGTTAACAGCAACCAGAGAAGCTCAGAGACATCATCCTGTGCCCCGTGGTCAAGACCTAGTGACCTCAGAATCATTCTCGCTCTCCTTCTGCTTCTCAGCTGCCATCTTCATTTTTGAACTTTTGGGTTCAAACTCAGAAGGAGTCACAGGTGAGAACAGATGCAGTGAGGGAGGAGAGAACAGCATTAAGGTTGGTGGGGAGGTGGTCCTAGGCTGGTCCTTGCAGCCCATCCAGCCCCGACTCTTCCAGATCTTAGACTGTGGCTATGCCAGCCAGCGCCCAGGTGCGGGGAGTGGACCTACAACCCCTTGGAGCAGTGCTGTGATGACGGTGTCATCCTAGACTTGAACCAGACCCGGCTCTGCGGCTCCAGCTGCACCTTCTGGCCCTGCTTCCAGCACTGCTGCCTGGAGTCTTTGGGCTCTCAGAACCAGACAGTTGTGAGGTTCAAGGTCCCAGGCATGAAGCCAGATTGCAAGTCCTCCCCTATCACCAGGATCTGTGCCCAGGTAAGGATCTGACTCCAGTCCAGGCTGTGGGAGGGGGGAGTAGGGAATGGAGCTTGGTTGTCCATGTCCCACCCAGATGTGCAGTCTCTGCTGGGTTCCATACCTTCCCATCTCTCAGTAACCATGCAACTCTGTCTTTCTCCATGTCTCTGTTCCTTCCCCGCCACTGCTGCTACCACCCTCCCTCTTATTCCCCTCTCCCACTTCTCTCCTTCTGCAGGAATACCACCCAAAAAGCCCTGTGTCAAGATCTGACCTCATCTAGACTGTTCTGGGGTAGCAGAGTCACAGATCACTCTAGAATCTAATACTTGGTAATTATACTGCATTGATTTTGTTGTTGTTGTGACAGAGTTTCACTCTGTCCCCCAGGCTGGAGTGCAAATAAGCAACTTCAGCAAAGTCTCAGGATACAAAATCAATGTACAAAAATCACAAGCATTCTTATACACCAACAACAGACAAACAGAGAGCCAAATCATGAGTGAACTCCCATTCACAATTGCTTCACAGAGAATAAAATACCTAGGAATCCAACTTACAAGGGATGTGAAGGACCTCTTCAAGGAGAACTACAAACCACTGCTCAAGGAAATAAAAGAGGATACAAACAAATGGAAGAACATTCCATGCTCATGGGTAGGAAGAATCAATATCGTGAAAATGGCCATACTGCCCAAGGTAATTTACAGATTCAATGCCATCCCCATCAAGCTACCAATGACTTTCTTCACAGAATTGGAAAAAACTACTTTAAAGTTCATATGGAACCAAAAAAGAGCCCTCATCGCCAAGTCAATCCTAAGCCAAAAGAACAAAGCTGGAGGCATCACACTACCTGACTTCAAACTATACTATAAGGCTACAGTAACCAAAACAGCATGGTACTGGTACCAAAACAGAGATATAGATCAATGGAACAGAACAGAGCCCTCAGAAATAACGCCGCATATCTACAACTATCTGATCTTTGACAAACCTGAGAAAAACAAGCAATGGGGAAAGGATTCCCTATTTAATAAATGGTGCTGGGAAAACTGGCTAGCCATATGTAGAAAGCTGAAACTGGATCCCTTCCTTACACCTTATACAAAAATCAATTCAAGATGGATTAAAGACTTAAACGTTAGACCTAAAACCATAAAAACCCTAGAAGAAAACCTAGGCATTACCATTCAGGACATAGGCATGAGCAAGGACTTCATGTCTAAAACACCAAAAGCAATGGCAACAAAAGACAAAATTGACAAATGGGATCTAATTAAACTAAAGAGCTTCTGCACAGCAAAAGAAACTACCATCAGAGTTGAACAGGCAACCTACAAAATGGGAGAAAATTTTTGCAACCTACTCATCTGACAAAGGGCTAATATCCAGAATCTACAATGAACTCAAACAAATTTACAAGAAAAAAACAAACAACCCCATCAAAAAGTGGGCAAAGGACATGAACAGACACTTCTCAAAAGAAGACATTTATGCAGCCAAAAAACACATGAAAAAATGCTCATCATCACTGGCCATCAGAGAACTGCAAATCAAAACCACAATGAGATACCATCTCACACCAGTTAGAATGGCAATCATTAAAAAGTCAGGAAACAACAGGTGCTGGAGAGGATGTGGAGAAATAGGAACACTTTTACACTGTTGGTGGGACTGTAAACTAGTTCAACCATGGTGGAAGTCAGTGTGGCGATTCCTCAGGGATCTAGAACTGGAAATACCATTTGACCCAGCCATCCCATTACTGGGTATATACCCAAAGGACTATAAATCATGCTGTTATAAAGACACCTGCACACGTATGTTTATTGCGGCATTATTCACAATAGCAAAGACTTGGAACCAACCCAAATGTCGATCTATGATAGACTGGATTAAGAAAATGTGGCACATATACACCATGGAACACTATGCAGCCATAAAAAATGATGAGTTCATGTCCTTTGTAGGGACATGGATGAAATTGGAAATCATCATTCTCAGTAAACTATCGCAAGAACAAAAAACCAAACACCGCATATTCTCACTCATAGGTGGGAATTGAACAATGAGATCACATGGACACAGGAAGGGGAATATCACACTCTGGGGACTGTTGTGGGGTGGGGGGAGGGGGGCGGGATAGCATCGGGAGATATACCTACTGCTAGATGACAAGTTAGTGGGTGCAGCGCACCAGCATGGCACATGTATACATATGTAACTAACCTGCACAAGCACATGTACCCTAAAACTTAAAGTATAATAAAAAAATAAAAATAAAAAATAAAGGATGAGTTCAGACCCCTTTCCCCTCTTGTGTGCATGGGCTCTCTTGTCTTTTGCATTCTGCCATGGGGTGACACAGCAAGAAGGCCCTTGCCAGATGTGGACCCCTGGACCTTGGACTTCCCAGCCTCCAGAACCATAAGAAATAAATCTCTGTTCTTTTTAAATTATCCAATCCACTTCTGTTATAGCATCAGAAAATGTACAAGACAACATGGTTGTGGAAATTGCACTGGCTTATTTGTAGTTTTTTTTTAAGCTACAAAACTAAGAACAAATTTTAGTTTATTGAAACTAAATGACTGGCAAGAGAGGAAGAATGAGCAGTTCCTATGCCATGAAGACCTTTGCCCTGGTCCTGCTGATGGCCCTGCTGTGCATGAAGAGAGCTCAGGGTCTGCACTGCTACAGGTGCTTGGCAGTCTCGGAAAGGAACTCCTGCCGTGTGGTCATGGGCCTCTTCCAGGAGGGGATCTGTGTCTCCCAGAAAGTAAGCACCTTTCAGGAGATGAGGTCTTGCTTTGTTGGCATTTATCTTGCTTGGTGTTCTCTGAGCTTCCTGGATCTGTGGTTTGGTGTCTGACATGAATTTGGGGAAATTCTCAGTCATTATTGTTTCAAACATTTCTTCCATTCATTTCTTTTTTTTTTTTTCCTTCTGGTATTGTTATGGAATCTTTGGGGTGTTGCTCTTTCTGGCTGGAAACCTCTGTGGCTGCTGGCACTTTTGCCTGAGTTCTTATCCTGCATCCAGGAAGAAAGGTACACAGACAAATGGAGGGTGAGCAAGACAAAGAGGAGCTTTGTTAAGTGATAGAATAGCTCAGAAGAGACCCACAGTGGGTAGCTCCTCTCTGTAGGCAGGTCATCCTGTCAAGTGTTCAGCCCTCAGCAAAGAGGAGGCCCTAGAGAGGAGAGCTCCTATCTGCAGCTGTTCATCCTGTCATCTTCCCAGCTCTCAGCAGAGAGGGTGGCTCCTCTTCTCAGCTGGTCATTCAGTCATCTCTCCATCCTCTGCCCTCCTCTGGCTGAGCCCATCGTTTTTATGGACCTCAGAAGGGAGGAAGTGCATACCAATTGGTCCATGGGTGACCACGGGCACCCAGAAAAGGAATCACAAGTCCCCGCTCCTGGCCTGTGAGTCTAGCAGCCCAGCCCCCAGCCATGAGGCCCTCCCAGGCCTGAAGGTGAGGCCTAACCAGGGACGTGGCCCTTTCCACCCAGGAATCTGTTTGCCTCCTGCTGCTGTTCATGGCCCGCTGGGCTCAGCCCTAGCTTTGCTCCAAGATTATGGTAGGCGACAACAACAGGGAGAAGCCAGGCAGCGGAAGCAGGCACTTCCAAGCCTGCAAAGGCAGGGGGGCACTTCTCAGGCTCCCAAGAGTGCAGGAATGCCTGAGGCTGCAGTTGCTGGTTTGGGCAGCTGCAGCTGCAGGGGCAGGAGGAGGCTCCCGCCTGCTCCATGGAGCAGGAGGCCTGGGTCTGCAGCCACGCTTTGGGCAGGTGCAGTGGCACCCAGGAAGGCAGGGCTCCTGCCTGCTCCTGGCCCCCCAAGAGCACAGAGGCTCAGATCTGCAGCCACAACTTGGGCAGGGCTCCTGGCTGCCCTGTGGAGCATGTAGCTCTGGCTGTGCCCCCTCACAGCCTGGGGAGGGGACTCCTGATCCTCGCTGGGCCTGGGCTGGCATCTGGGGTAGGGGCGACATTGCCACAAGCTGCCTCGTTACCCCGGCACTCAGGGATGGCCTGGGACAGAGTGGATCACGGGCCCTGGGCCAGGCCATTTGGAGTGACAGGTTTGGCAATCACTCCAATGCCCAGGTGGACACCAGGGAGGAGACCCCAGCGGCGCAGTGCAGATCCTTCTCCTGAGCCCCAGGAACCTAGCACCCTCAGCAAGGTCGGCACAGTGGCTTCGCCAGTGGCTGGGACCCTGAAGAGAGCACCACTCCCACTTCCCAGCCCGGGCCCCCAAATCATGGCCCCAGATCTGCATCAGGCCCCTTTATCCCACCATAAAAACTAGAAACAAGCTATCTGTGAAAATGCTTTGTGATGTGCCTGAAGGCACTGCTCTCCCACTGCGCTGCTCCCCACCCCGCTACAGGCGACCCAGCCCAATCCCATGGTGCCAGCCCCCAAGACTGCAGCTGTGGAAGTGCTGTCCACCTCCTTCCTGCACCCTCCCTGCAGTGGCCAGCGTGATGGCAGCGGTCACACCAGACAGCCCACTGCTGTCATCAATATTACCATTAAGTGAATGTTACAGGTTTTGTTTGTTTTTGTTTTTGTTTTTTGAGACAGAGTCTTGCTCTGTCACCCAGGCTGGAGTGCAGTGGTGCAATCTCGGCTCACTGCAACCTCTGCCTCCCAGGTTTAAGCAGTTCTCCTGCCTCAGCCTCCCGAGTATCTGGAACTACAGGCAGGTGCCACCACGCTCAGCTAACTTTTGTATTTTCAGTAGAGACGGGCTTTCACCATGTTGGCCGGCCTGTCTCGAACTCCTGACCTCAAGTGATCCACCCTCCTCAGCCTCCCAAAATGCTGGGATTACAGACATGAGCCATCATGCCCAGCCTGTTACCGGTTTTATAGTTGTCCCAGCATCCTTGGATATTCTACCTTTGTTTTTTCAGTCTCTTTGTGGGCTGTAAGGAATCCTAATTATCCCACCAGGTTAAGGTTAGAGAGTGCCAAGAATAGAGTCACAGTATCAGTGGGGACGACAAGGGGAACCTGAATTTCAAAACCCATCAGTATCAAGGCACTCTTCACCCTCTCCCCACCAGGTATCAATGAAGGCTGTCAAGAACCCGGACTTCTACCCTGACCTGGCAGTGGAGACAGCACCCCAACTTCCTTCCCCTGCTATAGTGGTGTCAAACAGAGCCAACTAAAACAAGATTTAAATTATTTCCAGAGTCTCATAACCTAAAATACAACATGTCCAGCTTTTTTTTTTTTTGAGACAGGGTCTTGCTCTATCACCCAGGCTAGAATGCAGTGATGCGATGCTGGCTCATCTCAACACACCTCCTGGGCCCAAGCAATTCTCCCACCTCAGCCTCCCAAGTAGCTGGGACTACAGGCATGCACTACCATATATATATATATATAAATATATATATATATATATTTTTTTTTTTTTTTTTGTAAAGTAGATGCATGGCTTTACCATGTTGCCCAGGCTGTTCTTGAGCTCCCGGGCTCAAGTGATCCACCCACATCAGCTTCCCAAAGTGCTGGGATTACAGGTGTGAGCCACTGTGCCCAGCCATAAATTTCTATGTCCGATTAAAGCAAGATGTCTATCAGTCTATGTGTTTGTGCACATATGAGGAAGATCCACGTTTGGAAGGTGCTATTGATGGTATAAGGCAGAACAGAGTGGTTCAGGACCAGCCATGTCAGAAAAACATATTTCAGCCGGGCACAGTGTCTCACACCTGTGATCCCAGCACTTTGGCTGAGGCGGGCGGATCACAAGGTCAGGAGTTCCAGACCAGCCTGACCAACATGGTGAAACCCCGTCTCTACTAAAAATACAAAAATTAGCCGGGTGTGGTGGCAGGCGCCTGTAATCCCAGCTACTCTGTTGGCTGAGACAGGAGAATCGCTTAAATCTGGGAGGTGGAGGTTGCAGTGAGCCGAGATTGCGCCATTGCACTCCAGTGTGGATGACAGAGTGAGACTCCATCTCAAAAAAAAAAAAAAAAAGAAAGGAAAAGTAAAAGAAAAACGAGTTTCTCTGTTTTCATAGCATGTAGGTGGGGGGTGGCAAACCCAGCAGCAGCTGTTGCTTGATTCGGGCTGCAGTGCTGAATCTGGGGGGCGAACACAGCACTGTTCTTCCTTCCCCGTGCCTCGTGAGCATGTGGCATTCTCTCCCCAGATGCTAGGGTTGCTCTCCTCGCATGGCCATAAGGTCAGCGTGTTACAATGATGGATCCGGATGGCAATGACAGCAGTGAAGGTTGTGCAAATTTGATCAGTAGCTTGATTCCAGTCAGTCTCATCAGAGAATGGGTCCTTACTGTTACAGGATCTTTGGAGTGCTGCTTTTCTGGCCAGAAACCCATGGCTGGTGGCACCTTTGCCCGAGTTTTGCTTGGACCCTCTGGGCTCGTTCTGCCCACTTGGCCTGGCAGGCTGCACTCAGCTTATACTACTGGCCTTGATCCCATGCCTCCAAGGAAGACTGCGAGGGGTGTGTGAGCAAGCATGGGGTCCAGCCACTGCGCAGTCAGACGTGCCAGTTGCTGCCACGGGGCGGGCAGCTCCCGGTGCCAGCATGGTGCCGGCTCTCTGCGAGGCTGCAGCTGGACCCGGTGCCTCACTTCAGCTTCCCTGGCTGGAGCTGGGGAATGTGGTAGCATCCAGATGCCTGGAGACACCAGGAGCTGCAGGGCCCCAAGAGGGAGTCATAGCCCTGGCTCAGGGAGCTCCCAAGTCTGGGCTCCCTGAAGGGCCACAGCTCTTGTCTCCTTCTCTTTGCCTGCAGCGTGGTAAGCAAGGGGCATGTTTCAGCCCTGTTTGTGTTACAGCTCTTTTAGCCCCGCCATTTAGTGGGTCCCAAGTTCTTGTCCTGTGACCAGGAAGAATGAGGTACATAGACAAGCGAAGGGTGAGCAAGATGAAGAGGAGCTTTACTGAGCAATAGACCAGCTCAGTCTCCTGCAGCAGGCAGCTCCTTTCTGCATGCAGATCATCCCAACAAGTGTCCAGCTCTCAACAGAGAGGGTAGCTCCTCCCTGGAGCTGGTCATCCCATCATCTGCTCCAGCTCTCAGCAGAAAGTATAGCTCCGCTCTGCAGCTGGTTGTCCCATCATCTGCCCTGTGCTGGTTGAGCCTGGGGCTTTTATGGGCCACAGAGGGGAGGAAGTGCATGCTGATTGCTCCACAGATGGCCATGAATAGGCCCCAAAAAGGCACCACAGGTTCATCCTCTGGTCCTGGGACTGGCAGCCCAGCCCCCAGCCTTCAGGCCCTCCCTGACCTCAAGGTGGGGCCTCACCAGGACCTGCCCCCTTCTGCCCAGGAGGCTGTCTGCCTCCTGCTGCCATCCATGGTGCCCAGGCTGCTTATGCCAAAGGGCACCTGCAGGCCAGTACCAAGCTGCCCTCAGCACCCCCTCAGCTTTCCTCCTATGCTCATCGGTGCCCAAAGTCTGGAGGGGGCTGTGGCAGGGGGCTGGTGTGTCAGCACTGCCCCGGGTATGTGCACACCCAGCCAGGCTGTGACAGTGCCTAGGCTCGGCCCCAACTTTGCTCTAAGATTGCAGTGGGTGCTGACAGCAGGGAGAAGCCAGGCAGCAGGAGGAGGCACTTCTAAGCCTGTGAGGGCAGGGAGTGCCTTCCCAGGCCCCTAAGAGTGCAGAGATGCCTGGGTCTGCAGCCATGGCTTGGGTGGCTGCAGCTATGCCTGGGGGGGTGGGGCTCTGGCCTCCATGCAGTGGGAGCCCCAGGTCTGCAGCCATGACTTGGGCAGCTACAGCTGTGCCCAGGAAGGTGGGGCTCCTGCCTGCTCCCAGCACCTCCAAGAGCACAGGGAGGCCACAACTTGGGCAGCCGCAGCTGCACCTGGGAGGGTGGGGTTTCTGCCTGCTCCATGGAGTGGAAGGCCTGGGTCCATAGCCATGACTTGGGTGGCTGCAGCTGCACCCGGGGAGCTCCTGCCCCACCAACTTGGAAGGGGCAGGGCTCCCACTTGTCCCCAGCTCCAACCGTCTAGTGGAGTGTACAGCCCCAACTGTGCCACCTGCCCCCCACTGCAGCCCACATGATGGCAGTGGCAGCTCCAGACGGGCCACTGCTGCCATCATTACTATGAGCATCTACATGAATAATGAATCACAGCTGCTAGTGGACTTAGAAGTTTCCATTAGCAGCTGTGATTGAATTTCCAGAGTTCACAGCCTTATAAAGAGATATCTTTAGTCTGCTGGTCTATAGTCTTCCAAGTGGCAGAACAGGTGGCTAAGACATTGTCAACAACTCCAGAGTCAGAAGACGTAACATGTCCAGCCTTTAGAAATATTGTATAAAGCAGGGGTTGGTAAACTATAACCCACAGACCAAATCTCACCTATGTGCACACACACACACACACACACACACACACACACACACACTATATGTGGCCTATTTTAAACAGCCAATGAGTTAATAATGGTTTTTACATTTATAAAACATTTTAAAGCACACATAGACACACAGACACACAGAGAGAGAAACGAATATGCAACAGAGATTATATGTGGTCCATAAAGCCTAAAATATTTACTACCTGGGGCTTATAGAAAAAGTTTGCCAATCCCTGGACTAAGGCAAGAGTAACAGTTTTCAATTCAGCCCATTTTAAACCAGTGCTTATCACCACAGTTGCTAATGGAGTGGGATGGCTGCTGTCACCTTGTGTTGGGGACCAGCCTCAACACCACCCGTAGGGTACCCAAAGTCCGGTGGCGACGAAGGAATGAGAAGAGACAGGTTAAGAGTGCATAAAGGGTGGGGTGCCAGGGGGCCAACTGCACTTTTGGAGGCTGCAAAAGGTGCCAAACTCTGGTCTCCACACTACTGAGTACAATCACTTAGATCTGAGAAGCAGATATTCAGGGGTGAAATGGTGAAAGGGGGGCGGTGTGTCATACACCTAATCTATAGCAATGGCGGTTTAGGTAAATTGTCTTTGTGCTGAAGCAGCATAAACTTAACTACTGATTTATTCTTTAACTCACTGGAGAGCAGCTGTGGGGAGTGGGCGTAACTAGGAGCCGGCATATCTGGCCACATTCCAATGCTTCAAAGGAGTGTCTTTCTCCTTGAGCACAGTGCTTGTAAATAAGAGAGCAGGTCACGCTCTGGCCATGGGAACGTGATGGCAATTAGAAGGCTTTCCTCATCAGAGGCCTCCTGTGGCTTTCCACAACTTATTGTCCCATATTTTTTACGGCCAGTTTATGCAGGCACCGCACAAGCCCTTTTCCCAACAACCTTGTCATCACCAGCACCTTTTCTTTTCTTCTTTTGTAATTACTTTTTGTGTTGAACTCTTACAGACTCACAGGAAATTGCATGGTACATACAGTCCCACGTAACATTCATCCAGTATTCCCACAGTGGGAACATCTTACATAACCATAGTATAATATCAAAACCAGGAAAGTGACATGGGTACATTACTGTTAACTAGATTACAGAGGACCTTATTCAGTATTCACCAGTTTCACATGCATTCCTGTGTGTGTGTGCACGCATGTGCATGTGTGTTTCTATGCAATCTGATCCATATAAATATTTGTATACCTACCACCACAATCAAGATAGAGACCCACAAAGGAATCCCCTTGTGTTACCACTATAGTGGCAGGCACACACACATATACATGCACATACACAAACACACTGTATCTGTCCCTTTGCAAATACCAATCTGTTCTCCATCTCTGTTGTGTTCTCATTGTAAGAATGTTATATAGGCTGGGCGCTGTGGCTCATACGTGTAATCACAGCACTTTGGGAGGCCAAGGCGGGTGGATCACCTGAGGTCAGGAGTTCAAGACCAGGTTGGCCAACATGGTGAAACCCCATCTCTACTAAAAATACAAAAATTAGCCAGGCGTGGTAGTGCACTCCTGTAATCCCAGCTACTTGGGAGGCTGAGGCAAGGAGAATTGCTTGAATCTGGGAGGCAGAGGTTGCAGTGAGAGTGAGCCAAGATTGTACCACTGCACTCCAGCCTGGGTGACACAGCAAGACTCCGTCTAAAAAAAAAAGTTATATAATTGGAATTGTACAGTATGAAATCTTTTGAGATTGACTTTTTTTCACTTAGCATAATGCCCTTGAGATTTATCCAGATTATTGCATGTATCAATAGTAGTTCTTTTTTACTTTTATTTCTTAACCCAGTAATATTCCTGTCTTAGTCCATTTTTTGTTGCTTATAACAGAATACCTGAAACTGGGTAATTTATAAAGAAACAAAATTTGTTTCTTACAGTTCTGAGGCTGAAACTGTGGGGTCCTTCTGTTGACAGCCTTCTGGCTAGTGGGGACTCTACAGGGTGTTGAGGCAGCATGGGGCATCCCATGGCGAGGGGGCTGAGGATGCTAGCTAAAGTCTCTCTTCCTCTTCTTATAAAGCCACCAGTCCTACTACCATGATAACCCATTCATCTATTAACTCATTAATTCATGAATGTATTAATTCATTTATGAAAACAGAACTCTCACGACCCAATCACTTTTTTTTTTTTTTTTTTTTTTGAGGCACAGTTTTGCTCTTGTTGCCCAGGCTGGAGTGCAATGGTTCAATCTCGGCTCATTGCAACCTCCACCTCCCGGGTTCAAGTGATTCTCCTGCCTCAGCCTCCCGAGTAGCTGGGATTACGGGCGCCCACCACCACAGCCAGCTAATTTTTTGTACTTTTAGTAGAGACAGGGTTTCATCATGTTGGCCATGCTGGTCTCGAACTCCTGACCTCGGGTGATCCACCCGCCTCGGCCTTCCAAAGAGCTGGGATTATAGGCGTGAGCCACCATGCCCAGCCCATTTTTTTAAAGGAAAGGAAAAAAGAAGAAAAATGAAATGCCCTGTGACTTTGGACATCAGCATAAAACTCAGTAACTCTGCTCTTGGTCTCTACATTATGGTTGCTATTACTGTTCGTAGGAGCCCGCTACTCCCTGGGAGAGGCAGGCCCTCAGGAAAATCACAGAACAGGATCCCTGTTCCGCTAAAGGGCTGCCCTGTGACTGACAGGTGCGGGAGAAAAAGTGCGCGAAAGAGGACAAACGGGGAGGGCGCGCCCTCTGGTGGCTGAAGGAGGGAACCGCGTAGCATCTTTTTTCCAGCGCCAAGAACAAGCTGAGGATGCGACCTGGGAGCCTGTTTCCCTGACCCGCAGCAGGCCAATCGGGTCATCCACGTGAAATATCGTATATCTGGCTTTTAAAAATAGTTATTAGATGTTTGTTAATTTGCTTCCTGTCTTCCCCACTAGAATGTGGGTACAGGAAGTCCTGGGGGTTTTGTTGTTGTTTTGTTTTGTTTTGTTTTAGACAGGGTCTGGCTCTGTTGCCCAGGCTGGAGTGCAGTAGCGCAATCTCAGCTCACTACAACCTCTGC